>NC_000002.12:98095678-98398708 GCF_000001405.40 Homo sapiens
GGGCATCGTTTTCTTCTTCCAGATGTTAAAGGAAAATCTTTCAACTTTCCTGCCATTCAGTATGTTAGCTGTGGGTTTGTCATATATGGCCTTTACTGTGTTGAGGCACATTTCTTCTATACATAATTTGTTGAGAGTTTTTATTATGAAGAGATATTGAGTTTTGTCAAATGCTTATTCTGCATCTATTGAAGTGATTATGTAGTTTTTTGTCCTTCATTCTGTTAATATGATGTATCCCATTTACTGATTTGCATATGTTGAACCATCCTTGCATTTCTAGGATGAATCCCACTTGATAATGGTGAATGATCTTTTTAATGTGTTATTGAATTTGGTTTGCTAATATTCTGCTGAGCATTTTGCATCTATGTTCATCAGGGGTATTGGCCTGTAAGTTTTCCTCTTTTGTTGTGACCTTGCATGGTTTTGGCGTCAGGGTAATGTTGCCTCAGAGAATGGATTTGGAAATATTCTCTCCTCTTCAAGTTTTTGGGAAGAGTTTGAGAAGAATTGGTATTAGTTCTTCTTTAAATGTTTGGTAGAATTCAGCAATGAAGCCATTCAGTCGTGGGCTTTTCTTTGCTGGGAGATTTTTTTTTTTTTTAAAGATGGAGTCTTGCTTTGTTGCCCAGGCTGGAGTGCAGTGGCACGATTTTGGCTCACTGCAACCTCTGCCTCCTGGGTTCAAGTGATTCTCTTGCTTCAGCCTCCCAAGTAGCTGGGATTACAGGCATGTGCCACCATGCCCAGCAAATTTTTGTATTTTTAGTAGAGACGGGATTTCACCATGTTGGTCAGGCTGGTCTCGAATTCCTGACCTCAGCTGATCCACCTGCCTCGGCCTCCCAAAGTGCTGGGATTACAGGTGTGAGCCACCATGCCCAGCCAGGAGATTTTTTATTACTGATTCCATCTCCTTACTCATTGGTTTGTTCAGATTTTAGATTTCTTCATAATTCAATCTTGGTAGAATGTATGTGTCCAGGAATTTATTCATTTCTTTTAGGTTATCTAATTTGTTCATGTGTAATTGTTCACAGTAGTCTCTTATGATCCTTTGTATTTCTGTGGCATCAGTTGTAATTTTTCCTTTTTTACCTCTGATTTTATTTGAGTCTTCTCTCTTTTTTTCTTAGTTTAGCTCTAGGTTTGTCTATTTTGTTTATCTTTTCAAGAGACTATCTCTTTGTTTTATTGATATTTTTATGTATTTGTATTCTCTATTTCTGCTCTGATCGCTAAGGTAAGGTAAAACATTGGGTTGTTTATTTGAGATATATTTGAGATATATATTTTTTGAAGTAGGTGTTTATTGCTATAAACTTTCCTCTTAGACTGCTTTTGCTGTACCCATAGGTTTTGTTATGTTGTATTTCCATTTTCATTTGTCTCAAGGAATATTTTAATTTAATTTAATTAATAAATTTTTTTACTTCAGTAGATTTTGGGGTTCAAGTGGCTTTTGGTTATATGGATGAATTGTATAGTGGTGAAGTCTGAGATTTCAGTGCACCTGTAACCCAAGCAGTGCACATTGGACCCAATATTTAGTTTTTTATTCCTCACCGCATCCTCCCCACTTCTGAGTCTCCAAATTCCATTGTACCACCCTCTTTGTATACCTTTGTATACCCATAGCTTAGATCTCACTTATAAGTAAAACATTTTGGTATTTAGTTTTCCATTCCTGAGTTGCTTCACTTAAAATAATGGCCTGCAGCTCCATCCAAGTTGCTGCAAAATACATTATTTCATTCTTTTTTTATGCCTGAGTAATATTCCACATTTTCTTCTACCACATTATCCACTCATTGGTTGATGGGCACTTAGATTGGCTCTATATCTTTGCAGTTGTGAATTATGCTGTGAGAAACATACATGTGCAGGTGTCCTTTTAAGACAATGACTTCTTTTCCTTTTGGTAGATACTCAGTAGATCAGTAGTGGGATTGCTGGATAAAATAGTAGATCTACATGTAGTTCTTTAAGAAATCTCCATACTGTTTTCCATAGAGGTTGTACTAATTTGCATTCCCATATATAAGCATTCTTTTTTTCTTTTTTTAACCACATCCATGGCAACATCTATTGTTTTTTGACTTTCTATTAATGGCCATTCTGGCTGGGGTAAGGTGGTGTATCATCCTGATTTTAATTTGCATTTCTCCAGTGATTAATGATGTTGAGCATTTTTTCATATGTTTGTTGGCCATTTGTATATCTTCTTTTGGGAATGTCTATTCATGTCATTTGCCCATGAAATATTTTAATTTACCTTTTAATTTATTTATAGACCCATTGGTTATTCAGGTGCATGTTGTTTAATTTCAATGTATTCGTTAATTTTCCAAAGTTCCTCCTAGTGCTGATTTCCAGTTTTATACCATTGTGGTCTGAAAAGATACTTGATACGATTTCAGTCTTCTCAAATTTGGTAAGACTTGTTTTGTGACCTAACATATCAGCTATCCTAGATAATATTATGTGTGCAGTTGAGAAGAGTGTGTATTCTGCATCTGTTGGGTAGAATGTTCTGTGTATGTTTATTTGGTCTAGAGTTCAGTTTAAATCTAACATTTTCTGGTTGATTTTCTCTCTGGATGATCTGTCCATGTGAAAGGGCAATACTGAAGTCCTCTGCTATTATTGTACTATTATTGCATTTTAGTCTATCTCTTCCTTCAGATCTATTAATATTTTCTTAATTATTAATTAGATTGGATGCATATGTTTGAAATTTTTATACCCTCTTGATGAATTGACCCCTTTTTGATTATATAATAACCTTCTTTGTCTCTTTTTACAGTGTTTGACTTAAAATATATTTTATCTGACATAAACATAGCTACCCCTGTTCTCCTTTGGTTTCTATTTGTAAGGAATATCTGGTTCTATCCTGTCATTTTCAGTCTGTGTGTCCTTACAGGTGAAGTTAATCTCTTGTAGGCAGCATATAGGTGGATCTTGTTTTTTATACAGCCACTCTGTGTATTTTGATTGAAAATTTAGTCCTTGAACATAAGTTCAAGGTAATTATTGATAAGTAAGAACTTACTGCTGCCATTTTGTTAATTGTTTTCTAGTTGTTTAGTGGATCCTTTTTTTGTTTCTTACTCTTTCTTTGTGATTAAGTGATTTTTCTCTAGTAGTATGTTTTAATTACTTGCTTTTTATTTTTAGTGTATCTATTATAGGTTTTTGCTTTGTGATTACCGCAAGGCTTACAAAAACCATCTTATAGTTATAAGAAGTTATTTTAAGCTGATAACAAGTTAATTTTGATCACAAAAACCTTCTAAACTTTAACTCTATCCCCCAATTTTGAATTTTTGATATGATTTATATCTTTTTCCATTGCACATCCCTTAGCAAATTATTCTAGTTATTATTATTAATAGTTTTGTCCTTTAACCTTTATACTAATGATATAAGTAATTTAAAAACCACCATTGCAGTATTAGAGTATTCTGAATTTGTGTACTTAGTGAGTTTTATACTTTTAGATGTTTTTGTGTTACTCATTAGTGTCCTTTTCTTTCAGCTTGAAGAATTCCCTTTAGCATTTCTTATAAGGCAGGTCTGGTAGTGATGAACTCCCTCGGCTTTTGTTTATCTGTGAAAGTCTTTATCTCTCCTTCATTTGGGAAGGACAGCTTTGGTGAGTACAGAATTCTTGATTGGCAGGGCTTTTTGTTTTCCTCCTTGAGCTCTTTGAATATATGATTCTATTCTCTTCTGTCCTGTGAAATTTCTGCTGAGAAGCTGGACATATTGGAACTTCCTTATATGTTACTAGCTTCTTTTCTCTTCCTGCTTTCAGTTTTCTCTCTTTGTCTTTGATATTTGACAGTTTGATTATAAAATCTTTTGGGGTAGTCTTATTTAGATTGGGTTGGAGGATTAGAGACTTTTGACCTTTCTGTAACCAGATACTTATATCTTTCTCCAGGTTTGGAAAGTTTCCTGCTATTATTTCTTTACTCTTTCTACCCCTTTATCATTCTCTACTCCCTTTTGAACATTTGCTCTTTTGATGCTTTCCCATAAGTCCCATAGCTTTCTTCATTCCCTTTTTCTTTTTTATTTTTTCTGCTCTGTATATTTTCAAAATAACTTCTCTTCAAATTCCAGATTCTTTCTTCTGCTTGTTCAATTCAGCTGTTGATACTCCCTATTGCATTTTTCTTTGTGTTCAGTTATTTTTCAGCTCCCTGGTTACTGTTTTGTTATTATCATGCCAATCTCTCTGACATTTTTTATTCTGGTAACTTATGGTTTTCCTTATTTTGTTGAATTGTTTCTCTGTATTTTCTTGAAGTTCACTGAGCTTCCTTAAAACAGCTACTTTGAAAATGTTGTCAGGCCGTTCATACATTTCCATATTTGTAGGGTCAGTCACTAGCACGTTACTATGTTCATTTGGTGATGTCATGTTTCCTGGATCGTTCTTGATCCTTGTGGTTGTACATCAATGTCTGCATTAAAGAAGCAGGTGCTTATTCCAGTCTTTGCCATCTGGCTTTGTCTGGGAATATCCTTCATTAGTAACCCTGTCCACAGATTCTGGGCAAGTCTTCTGGTGTGGTCCCTAAGCATGTGACCACTACAGACATTGCAGCACTAGGGGGTGTCCTAAGCCCAGGACCACCATGATGACTGGCACAGTGCTGGGTTAGAATCTTATGGCCACCAAGGCTGGCACAGCACTGGGCTGGATTCTTATGGCTGCTGTGGCTGATACAGTGTTGGGGCACACCCAAAGTCCATGGCCACTGAGGCTAGTGCCACACAGAGGCACAACTAAAGCCCATGGCGGCTGAGGCCTGCCTGTCACTGTGGGTTATTTTTAGCCCATGGTCACTGTAGTCAGCCAGTGGTGATAAGGGCTAGAGCTTGCATTCATCTCACAGCAGCTATGGGTTCCTGTTTGGCACCAGGATAGATCTAGAAGCTTAGTCCACGAGTACCGGCCTGCAGTCAAGGGCCATGTGGATCTGCCTGCTGCTGGATTTTCCTGTGTCAGGCCCTGTATTAGGGTCCAAGGTAAAGTCCTATTCTTTCTTCCCTGTCTTTTGCCCAGATAGTGGTATTTTTCTGCATTGTGCTGCCTGGGGTTCAGGGAGGGGTGATGCAGGTAAGGTAAAACTATCCTTTATACCCTCATATTATGCTGTAACCAGGTACCGTGATCTGTCACCTGGTTTTCTTAGCTCTTGTGAAGGTATTTTTGTGTGTAGACAGTTGTTCAAATTGATGTTTCTGTAGGGGACAATCACTGGAAAGTCCTGTTTTGCCATCTTGCTCTGCCTTCATCTCTGTTCTTTCTTTTTTAAAAGACAAAATAAAAAATAAATAGAAGTTATTTGTATTTACTGATAGCCCAGCCAATGTCTTGTTCATCTCCTGGGATGTGCAAGTCCTTTTTGGAGGCCACTGATTAAAACAATAGCTGTGTGAAGTTTCAGGGAAAATGTACTGTTTTCCTACTGCGGCCTGCTTTGTGTTATGGTCTGCTTTTTCCTAAATGCATTGGCCAGAATGTTGGTTCTTAACTCCCAGTAGTGCTGCCCACCACAGAAAGCATGAAAATGTGTGAGGGTATATACAACGTATATATACTTTTGCATGATGTATTGTTGGGATGCCATTGAAATATAAGGCCTGGGAATCCAGAGTACTGAGTGTCTTACAATGTATGAGACAGCCCATTCAGCAGGAACTGCCCTGTCCAACATGTTAGTAACATTGCCCCTGAGGAGTACTCCTTCAATCAGGGAAATTTCCACTACTAGGACTTTACTCAGTAATTCTGAATTAGTCAATTAATTAATTAAACAAATATTTATTGAGCAACCATTAATACCATTTTTTAACCAGATTATTTACCAATTCCTTGCCAGCTTTGTTCTATTCTGGTACTAAGGAAGATCTAGGGGATGTGGTTGTTGTAGATTGATTTGGAGGCCCATTCAAATGGCAAGGCCTTGTTCTTCAGGGCTCAGCCTGTGCTTTTTACATATACATCCTTTCACATGGACTACAGCCCTGTGCCATCTAAATATCTTTTGAGTAGGGTCTCCCAGAGTCAGGGCCTGTGGAATTCCCATATAAGGAAAAATACTAGAAGCAGTTTTATCCCATCTTTCTTTTTTTTTTTTGCATGTTTATATTTTTTTATTTTTTATTTTTTTATTTTTTATTTTTTGTATTTATTGATCATTCTTGGGTGTTTCTCAGAGAGGGGGATGTGGCAGGGTCATAGGATGATAGTGGAGAGAAGGTCAGCAGATAAACACGTGAACAAAGGTCTCTGGTTTTCCTAGGCAGAGGTCCCTGCGGCCTTCCGCAGTGTTTGTGTCCCTTGGTACTTAAGATTATGGAGTGGTGATCACTCTTAATGAGCATGCTGCCTTCAAGCATCTGTTTAACAAAGCACATCTTGCACTGCCCTTAATCCATTTAACCCTGAGTTGACACAGCACATGTTTCAGAGAGCACGGGGTTGGGGGTAAGGTTATAGATTAACAGCATCCCAAGGCAGAAGAATTTTTCTTAATACAGAACAAAATGGAGTCTCTTATGTCTACTTCTTTCTACACAGACACAGTAACAATCTGATCTCTCTTTCTTTTCCCCACATTTCCCCCTTTTCTTTTCGACAAAACCGCCATCGTCATCATGGCCTGTTCTCAATGGTCGCTGTCTTTTCGGAGCTGTTGGGTACACCTGCAGAAAGGCTGTCACTTCACACTTGGAAGATTGCACAGTGGCCAGGCAGAGGTGCTTCTTACTTCCCAGACCAGGCGGCCGGGCAGAGACGCTACTCACTTCCCAGACGGGGTGGCGGCCAGGCAGAGGCGCTCCTCACTTCCCAGATGGGGCGGCCGGCCCTTATTTCAAATAAACCTAATTCAGTCAAGGAAGTTAGCGAAAATACCAATTTCTTACATTTTGTTAAGAATTTTTTCATCTAAGTTCGTAAGAGATATTGCTCCGTAACTTTCTTTTCTTGTAACGTCATTGTCAGGTTTCAGCATCAAGATTATGCTGGACTCAAAATGATTTGGAAGTGTTCCTCCTCCTCTATGCTTTGATGGCATTTGTACACGATTGGTATTTCTTCTTTAAATGTTTGATACAACTGACAAGTGAAATTTATCTGGGCCTAGTTTTGTTTGTGGGAAAAGATTAATAAAAAATTCAATTTATTTAATAAACAGAGGGCTAATCAGATATTCTGTTTCATAATGCCAATTTGGAAAATTGTGTTTTTCAAGGAATTTCCTCAACATTCTCTAATATGCACACACCAACAGTATTTTCCTCAACAGTATTTTCTAATATGTTGGCAAAGCATTGATCATAATATGCCCTTAACAGCCTTTTAATGCATGTAGGATCTGTAGTGATGTCACCTCTTTCATTCTTTTTTAATGCCTGTAGGATCTGTAGTGATGTTACCTTTTTCATTCCTGATATTGATAATTTGTGTTTCCTCTGATTTTTTTCTTGCTAAGTCTTGTTAGCAGTATATAATAACTCTTTTCAAAGAAACACATTTTTAGTTTGCTGGTTTTTAAAATTCTTTGTCTTCTATTTCACTGGTATCTGACTTAATCATCATTATTTATTTCTTTCTGCTTACTTTGAGCTTGATTTGCATTCCTTTTTCCTGCTTTTAAAGATATAAATTTAAATAATTATTTTTAAACCTTTCTTCTTTTCTAATATAATCATTTAAAATTGTAAGTATTCCTCTAAGCATTGTTTTAGCTGAATGCCACAAATCTCAATCAGTAGTGTTTAATATTATTGCTTTAAAGTTTTTCCCTTGTGATTTTTTTTCTTGAATACACTTTAAAAAATGTGTTGTTTAATTTCCAGTTATTTTAGGACTTTTAAAAGTACTTGTTTTTGTTGGATTACTAATTTAATTACATTGAGGTCAGAGAATATAGTCTGTAAGATTTTGATCTTTTGAAATTTACTAAGATTTATTTATGGCCAGAGTCTATCTTGGCAAACATTGCATGCACACTTGAAAAGAGTGTGCATTCCACAGTTGTTAGGTAGTATTTATAAATGTTAATTAGATAAAGATGGTTGAAAGTCTTGGGAGAAAAATTATATATATTTAGTGCTTTTTTTGTCTACTGGATTTGTTCATTTCTCCCTTAGTTCTGTAAGTTTTGTTTATGTATTTTGAAGTTCCAAATGCATACACATTTAGGATTGTTATGTTTTTCTAAGGACTTGACAAATTTTAATAATTCTGATATGTCATATTTATTTCAGACATTAGTCATTGTTTTGATGTTTACTTTGATATTAATATAGCCACTGTAGCTTTCTTATTAAGTTTTACATGGTGTATGTGTTTATAATCTTTAATGATAAATATCTATAGTCTATATATTAAAGAGGGCTTCTCATGGACAGCATATAGTTGGAGTTGGTGTTTTTAATGCAGTTGCATATGTCTTAATTAATTAATTCAACCAATTAATTAAATCAGTTAGTGTCTTTATCCATTTGTGTTGCTGTAAAGGTATGACTGAGGCTGGGTAATTTATAAAGAAAAGATGTTTATTTGGCTGATGGTTCTTCAGGCTATACAAGAAGCATGGTACCAGCATCTGCATCTGGTGAGGGCCTCAGGAAGCTTCCACTCATGATAGAAGGCAAAGGAGAGTTGGTGTGTGCAGATCACATGTCAAGAGAGAAGGCAAAAGACAGAGCGGAAGAGGGACCAGGCTCTTTTCAACAACCAGTCCTCATGAGAACTAAGATTGAGAACTCCCTCATTCCCACGAGAATGTCACCAAGCCATTCATGAGGGATCTGTCGCCGTGATCCAAACACTTCCCATTAGGCTTCACCTCCAACATTGGGGATCAAATTTCAACACTAGGTTTAGAGGTCAAATATCCAAACTATAGCAACTAGTGTTTGATTCTATACATTTAATGTAATAATTGATATATTTAAATGTAGGTCTACCATGTTACTATTTGCTTTCTATTTGTCCAATCTTTTTCTTTCATCTGTGTTTCTCCTTTTGGCCTTCTTTTGTGCTAAATGAATATTTTTTAGTGTTTCATTTGATGAAATCTTTATTTTTCATTTAATTGGCTTTCCTTGTTACATCCTTAACTTGTTACAGTCCACTAAAAGTAGATTTCATATGACTTCATATAAAATGAAACAAGTTTTCAACACTCATACCTCCCCTTACTCCTCACTCCTGTCCTTGGTGTTACTGTTTTAATGTATTTTATTTTTACATACATTATAAATCTCACAATTCAGAGTCATAATTTTTGCTTTTAAAAGTCATCTGTTTTTTAAAGAAATGGAGAAGAAAACTATACACTGCTAAGATCCACATGTTTACCACTTAAAATATTCTTCCTTCTTGTAGGATTTGAGGTTTCAACTGATGTTATTTCCTGAATAATTTCTTTTAGGCATTTCTTACAGTGCAGGTCTGCTGGTGACAGCTTTTTTCAGTTTTCGTTTATCTGAAATTATCTTTATTTCACCTGCACATTTATTTATTTACTCATTCATTCATTCATTTATCCATTTGTACATCCATACTTATATATTCTGAGGTAATTGTAAAGTGTAAAGATCCCATGTACCTTTCACCCAGTTTTCCCAATGGTCATATCTTGTAAAATAATAGTATAATATCAAAATGAGGAATTTGACATGTATGCAATGTGTTTGCAAGTCTATATAATTTTATCACTTGTGTAGATTTCTGTAACCACCACTACAATCAAGAGAGAGAACTGTTTATCACCACAAAGATCTTCCTATGTTACCCCCTCCTATGTTTTTTTCTAAATGTTTCATAATTTTACATTTAGCCTGTGATCTATTTTGAATTAGTTTCTGTATAAGGTTCACGTTTTTTTGTAATCCCAGCACTTTGGGAGGCTGAGGTGGGAGGATTGCTTAAGCCCAGGGTATCAAGGTTGCAGTGAGCTATGATCACACTACTTCACTCCAGCCTAGGTGATAGAGTGAGACTCTATCTCTTAAAAAACACACACACACACAAAAGCAAATGGTTCATTTTTTTTTTACTATGGGTGTTCAGTTGCTCCAGTGCATTTTACTTAAGTGACTACCCTTCCTACTTTGAATTGCTTTTGGATTTTTGTTAAAAGTTGGTTGTGCCTATATTTCCAGGTTCTCTATTTTGTTTTTATTTATTTATTTATTTATTTGATTTATTTTTTTTGAGACAGAGTCTCGCTCTGTTGCCCAGGCTGGAGTGCAGTGGTGCAATTTCAGCTCACTGCAAGATCCGCCTCCCAGGTTCACGCCATTCTCCTGCCTCAGCCTCCCAAGTAGCTGGGAATACAGGCGACCACCACCATGCCCGGCTAATTTTTTGCATTTTTAGTAGAGACTGTGTTTCATCGTGTTAGCCAGTATGGTCTCGATCTCCTGACCTCATGATCCGCCCACCTCGGCCTCCCAAAGTGCTGGGATTACAGGTGTGAGCCACTGCGCCTGGCCCTAGGTTCTCTATTTGTTCTATTCATCTGTGTTTCTCTGTCAATATCACACAGTCTTGATTACTGTAACTATAGAATTTCTTGAAATTGGGCCGGGTGAGTCCTCCTACTTTATTTTTTTTTCAAAATTGTTTTAGCTACTCTAGTTCATTTGCCTTTCCAAATAAATTTTAGAATAACTGTGTTCATGTCTACAAAAATATTGCTATAATATTGATAGGAGTTGCATTAAACCTGTATATTAATTAAAGGAGAATTGACATCTTTACTATGCTGACGAAAATGCTGAGTGTTTCAGTTCACGAATATGAAATATCTTTCCATTTATTTACATATTATTTGATTTCTTTCATCAGCTGTCTTAAAATTTTCAGTATACGAAGCCTGCACATGTTTTGTTAGATTTATACCTAAGTATTTTATTTTTTTTAGCAGTTGTAGATGGAATTGTATTTTAAATTTTGGTTTTCACATGTTCATTCCTAGTATATAGAAATATGACTGACTTTTGCATGTTAACCTTCTATCTTGTGATCTTGCCAAACTCACTTATTCTGGAAGATTTCTAGGTAGACTATCATGCCATCTGCAAAGAGGAAAAGTCTTATTTCTTTCTTTCTCATCTATGTGTCTTGTCTTTCCTTTTCTTGCTCTGTTACGCTGGCTAGAACTTCCAGCACTATGTTGAATAGCAACGGTAAGAGTGGATGTCCTTGCACTGAAAGCTTTCAGTCATTCACCACTAAGTATGATGTTAACTGTAGGTTTGCAATAGATTTTTAAAAATTATATTGTGGAAGGTCCCTGATATTCCTAGTAATCTGAGAATTTTTATTATTAATGGGTGCTGAATTTTGTCAATTTTTTTCTCCATCAATTGATAGCATCCTGTGATATTTCTTTGTTAGCCTGTTACTTTAATGGATTATATTATTTTTTTTAATCCAGCCTTGCATCCCTGGAGTAAACTAGAGCATGTTTTAGAAGTCTTTTTATATTATACATTGCAGAATTCAATTTGCTAATGTTGTGTTACGGATTTTTGCATCTGTATTCTTGAAGAATATTGGTCTGCAGTTTTCTCTTTTTTAAATAATGGTTTTGTCTGGTTTTGGTATGACAAGGCTAGCTTCATAAAATGAGTTGGGACGTATTCCTTCCTCTTCCATTCTCTAGAAGATGTTTTGTAGAATTATTATTTTTTGTTTCTTGTTGAGATAACAAGAAACAATGTAGAATTAATATTAATTATTCTTTAAACATTTGGTAAAATTCTCCAGTGAACTCATCCAGGCCTGGAGATTCCTTTTTGAAGAAGTTTTAAGTCAAGAATTTAACTTTCTTAAACAGATATAGGACTAGTCAAATTATTTTATATTGTGTGAGTTGTGGTAGTTTGTTTTCTGAGGATTTAATTCATTTCATCCAAGTTGTCTAATTTGTGAGGAGTTTGTAGTATTCTATTATTCTTTTGATGTCTGCCGCATCTTTTGTGGTATTTCCCATTTTATTCTTGATATCTGTAATTTATACCTTCTCTCTTTTTATCTTTGTCAGTCTTACTAGTGGTTTGTCAGTTTATTGATCTTTAAAAAATACCAGCTTTTTTGTTTGGTTTTCTCTATTGTTTTTCTGTTTTCAATTTCATTGATTTCTACTTTGATCTTTATTATTTATTTCCTTCTGCTTGTTTGGGTTTATTTTGCTTTTCTTTTTTCTAATTTCTTCAGTTGAAAGCTTTGATTATTGATTTGAGATTTTATGTTTTCTTATGTAAGCATTTAGTGCTACAAATTTCCCTCCAGTCAGTGCTTTAGCAATGTCTCACAAATTTTTATATGTTGTATTATTATTTCCACTTAATTAAAAGTCTTTTATTTTCATCAAGACTTCCTCTTTGACTTATGGACTTTTAGATGCGTATTGTTTAGTTTCTAAATATTTGTAGATTTTCCTGTTATCTTTTTATTTATTTTTGATTTCTAGTTTGTTCCCATCTTGGACAGAGCACGTACTTGTTTGGTTTCAGTTCTTGTAAAATGTTTAGGATGTTTTATAACCAAATATGTGCTTTGTTTTGTACATGTTCCATGAATACTTGAAAAGAGTGTGTATTCTGCTGTTGTTTTATAGAGCTTTCTATAAATGTCAGTTAGATCCTGTTCATTGATGGTGTTGAGTATCCTTCCTGATTTTCTTGTTCTTGTTCTATCAGTTATTGAGAAAGCAGTATTGAAGTTTCCAAGTATAATTGTGGATTTGTCTATTTCTTCTTTCAGTTATTCTGTTTTTTGTTGCAAATATTTTGCAGTTCTATTGGGTGATACATACACATTTAGGATTGCTATGTCTTTCTGGTGGATTGACACCTTTGTCATTATATAATGTCCTGCTCTGTCCCCAGTAATATTCTTTGCTATGAAGTTTATTTTTCTAATATAGCCAATCCTATTTCCTTTTTTTAAATATTTGCATGGCCTATCTTTTTCCATCCTTTTACTTTTAACTTATATATATAATTATATTTGAAGCAAATTTCCTGTAGACAGTATATTGTTGAGTCTTTTTAAAAAAATCCTCTTTGCCAATCTCTATCTTTTACTTGGTATATTAGACCATTTACAATTAACTTGATTATTGATATGTTAGAGCTTGTTGACCATTTTATTTTTCGTTTTCTTTTTCTCTGTTTTTGGCTTGTCTGTTTTTTTCCTACCTGCTTTTGGGTTACCTAAACACTTTTTAGAATTCTTATTTATCTATAATGTTTCTTTTCTTTTCTTTTTTTTTTTTTTTGAGACAGAGTTTTGCTCTTGTTGCCTAGGCTGTAATGCAATGGCACAATCTTGGCTCACCACAACCTCTGCCTCCCGGGTTCAAGCAATTCTCCTGCCTCAGCCTTCCGAGTAGCTGGGATTATAGGCATACACCACCATGCCCAGCTAATTTTGTATTTTTAGTAAAGACAGGGTTTCTCCATGTTGGTCAGGCTGGTCTTGAACTCCTGACCTCGGGTGATCTGACAACCTTGGCCTCCCAAAGTGCTGGGATTACAGGCGTGAGCCACCGCGCCTGGCTATAATGTTTTCTATTGTATATCTTCATATGGCTTTTTTAGTGATTGTGCTAGGTGTTACATTATGAATACATACATTATCAAAATCTACTGATGTCAACATTTTACCAGTTTGAGTGATGAGCAGAAACCTTCTTTTCCCTTTATAGCCCTTTGCCCTTCCCATTTATAATAAAATGTATTATTTTATCTTCTTACATTGAGAATTACATTAGACTATGCTAGAATTTTGGTTCAACCATCAAACATTATTTGTAATACTCAAAAGGAGAAGGACTGTCTATTTTATTTGCCTATAGTTTTGCTTACTGTGTTCGTCTTTCCTGATGGTCCAAGGTTCCTTCTTTTGTTATTTTCTTTCTGCTTAGAGAAGTTCTTTTATTCTTTAAGAGTAGCTCTGCTAGCCACAAATTCCTTTAGTTTCTTTGTCTGAGAATGTCTTTATTTCTACTTTATTCCTGAAGAAGAATTTCACCAGATGTAAGATTTAGGGTTGATAGTTCTTTTTTTTTTTTTTTAGCACTTAAAAAATATTGTGCCCATTCTTTCTGGCCTCCATGGTTTCTGATGAGAAAACCACTATCATTAGAATTTATTTTTCCCTATTGATATATGCTTTAAAGATTTTTTTATTTGTCTTTTGTTTTCAGATGTTTGAGTATGATGTGCCTTGGTGTGAATTTATTTGCATTTATTATCTTCGAATTTCACTCAGATTCTTGAATCTGTTGCTTTATGTTTTTTGTTTTTGCCAAATTTGGAGAATTTTCAACCCTTATGTCTTTGAATTCTTTTTTTTTTTCTTCTTTTTCTTCCCCCTACCCTCTTTCTCTTCTCCTTCTGGCACTCCAATAATATGAACATTGGATCTTTAAAAAAAATAATCCTACATATCTGTAAGGCTCTGTTCAGCTTTCTCAGGCTATTTTTTCCCTCTTGTCTAGATTGGGTAATTTTTATTGTTCTCCAAGCTTACTCATTCTTCTTTTTTCATTTTGCTATTGAGTTCATCCATTGAGTTTTTAATTTTGATTATTCTATTTTTTGCTCTAATATTTCCATTTTATTCTTCTTTATATCTTCTATTTCTTTACTGAGACTTCCTATGTTTTTATTCATTTTGAGAATGTTTGTAATTGCCATTAAGTATGTTTATGGTTGTTGCTTTAAAATCCTTGTTAGGTCATTCTATGACATCTCTCATCTTGGTGTTGATATTGTCAGTTGTCTTTTTTTATAATCTTCCTGGTTTTTTGAATGATGAATGATTTTTTATTGAAACTGGGACATTTCCCAAATTTTGTTTATATTTTTGGATTTAGGTGTACAAGTGCAGTTGTGTTACATAGATATATTGTGCAGTGGTGAAGTATGGGCTTTTAGTGTATCCATCATCTGAAGAGTGCACATTGTACCCAATAAGCAATATTTCATCCTTCACCCTTGATACAGTCTGGCTGTGTCTCTACCCAAATCTCATCTTGAATTGTAACTCCAACAATTCCCACGTTTGTGGGAGGGACCCAGTGGGAGGTAACTGAATCATGAAGGCAGGTCTTTCTCTTGCTGTTTTCACAATAGTGAATAAGTCTCACAAGATCTGATGGTTTTAAGAAGAGGAGTTCCTTTGCACAAACTCTCTCTTTGCCTGCTGCTGTCCATGTAAGATGTGACTTGCTCCTCCTTGCCTTCCACCATGATTGTGAGGGCTCCCCAGCCACATGGGACTGTAAGTCCATTAAACCTCTTTCCTTTGTAAATTTCCCGGTTTCAGGTATGTCTTTATCAGCAGTGTGAAAATGGGCTAATACAACCCCTGCTCCCCCCACCTTTTGGATTCTCCAGTGTCTATTTTTCTCTGCATGTCTGTGTGTTCACATGCCACTTAAAAGTGAGAAGATGTAGTTTTTCACTTTGTTTCTGAGTTATTTCATTAAGAATAATGGCCTCCAGTTCCATATATGTTGCTGTAAAAGACATGATTTCATCTTTTGAAATGGATGAGTAGTATTCCATAGTCTATACACACCATGTGGTCTATATATATAAACCACATTTTAAAAATACTACAGCAAACATATAAGGGCAGGTGTCTTTTTGATAAAATGATTTCTTTTCCATTGGGTAGATTACCAATAGTGGGATCAAAGGGTAGTCCTATTTTAATTCTTAAAGAAATCTCCATCCTGTTTTCCATAGAGGTTGTACTAATTTACATTCCCAGCAACAGTGTATAAGCATTCCCTTTTCTCCACAATCTCACCAAAATCTGTAAATTTTTGACTTTTTAATAGTACCCATTGTGACTGGTGTGAAATGGTATCTCATTGTAGTTTTGATTTGCATTTCTCTGATGATTAGTGATGTTGAGCATTTTCTCTTGTTTCTTATCCACTTATGTGTCTTCTTTTGAGAAGTGTCTATTCATGTCTTTTGCCCATTTTTAAATGGGGTTATTTTTTGCTTGCTGAATAGTTTAACTTCCTTATAGATTCTGGATATTCAATCTTTATTGGATGCACAGTTTGCAAATATTTTCAATAAATATTTGCAAATATTTTCTTTTACTTTATAAGTTGTCTGCTTACTCTGTTGATAGTTTCTTTTGCTGAGCAGAAGCTCTTTAATTTAATTAGGTTCTACTTATCAATTTTTGTTTTTGTTGCAATTGCTGTTGAGGACTTAGTTATAAATTATTTGCCAAGGCCTGTGCCCAGAATAATATTTCTTAGGTTTTCTTCTAGGATTCCCTAGGATCTTATGTTTAAATTTTTAATCCATCTTCAATTAATTTTTTTATATAGTGAAAGGTAGGGGTCCAGTTTCATTCTTCTGCATGTAGCTAGCCAGCTATTTCAGAGTCATTTATTGAATAGGGAGTCCTTTCCTCATTGCTTATTTTTGTCAACTTTTTGAAGATCATATGACTGTAGTTGTGTGGCTTTATTTTTGGTTCTGTATTCTGTTCCATTGTTCTATATGTCTGTTTGGGGTGTGTGTGTGTGTGTGTGTGGGTGTGTGTGTGTGTGTGTGTGTTTTACCAGTACCATGCTGTGTTGGTTACTGTATCCTTGTAGAATAGTTTGAAGTCATTACCTTCATTCTTGAAGAACACTTTTGCTGGTTTTAGAATTACTGGTTGAAGTTTTTTTTTTCTGACCTTTAAATATGTCAAGCCATTGTTTTCTGATTTCCACCTTTTCATCAGAGAAATCAGACATAATCCGTAACATTTTCCTTCCATATGATGTATATAATGTATCTTTTTTTCTATAACTGCTTTTAAGATTTTTCCTCTTTATTCTTGTTTTCAGCTATTGATATGCCTTCTTTTGGTTTTCTTTGTACATACATTGCACTGGATTTATCGAGCTTCTTGGATCTGTAGGGTTTTTTTTAATCAAATCTTGGAAATTTTCAACTATTATTTCTTCTAATCTATTTTTACGCCCTATCTGTTCTCTCTTTTTCTTCTGAGACTCAAATCATAGTTTGCTAAGCATCTTGATATTGTCCCACAGGTCACTGAAACTCTGTTCATTTTGTCAATATTTTTTTTCTCTTTGTTTATCAGATTGAGTAATTTCTCTTGACAGATTTTCTAGGTTACTAACACTTTATTCTGGTACCTCCAATCTGCTGTGAAGCCCATACAGATATTGTACTTTTTGTTCTAAAATTTCCTTTCTTTTCAATTTCTCTGCTAAGTTCCCCATTTGTTCACTTATTATGATCACAGTTTTCTTTCCCTCCAACATTATATATATATATAATGTTTATGGTATTTATAGTATACTTATAATATATTGAGGCCTTTTTCTTCTAATTTCAACATCTGGTCCATTTCAGGGTAGGTTTTATTGATTGCATTTTCTTTTGACTATTGGTCACATTTTTCTCTTTGTTTATGTATCTGATAATTTTTTGTTCTATGCTGGACAATGTGAATGGTTGTAGAGACTTTGGGTTGTATAGTTTTCCTTTGGTATATGCAAACGATTGTTTCCAGGACCCCCTGTGTATACCAAATCCATGCATACTCAGTTCCTGCAGTTGTCTCTTCAGAACCCACATATATGAAAAGTTGGCCCTCTGTATGAGTGGGTTTCACATTCCACTGATACTGTATTTTTATCCACATTTGGTTGAAAAAAATCTGCATATAAGTAGACCCATGCAGTTCGAAATCATGTTATTCAAGGTTCAACTGTATAATCCTTCTTCTAGGAGAAGTGATTTTTATTCTTATAAAAATTGATACTATATATTATTTATAACAGCTTTATTGAGCTATAATGTACCTACCTACAATTCAATGGTTTTACTATATTCACAGATATGTGCAACTATTTAGAATGTTTTTATCACCTCAAAAAGAAACTCTGTACTTCTTAGCTCTACACTTTCCTACCCCTAAACTTTCTCTATAGATTTGCTTGTTTTGAGCATTTCATTGAAATAGAATTTATAATATGGGGTCTTTTGTGACTGGCCTCTTTTACTTAGCTTAATGTTTTTAAGGTTCATCCATGTTGTAACCAGCACCAATACTTTATTCCTTTTTGCGACCATATGTATTCCATTGTATGGCTGTACTACGATTTTCTTATCCATTTACCAGTTGATAGATGGAGAGCTGATTTTCATTCTAGTAGGCAGTTAAGTTGGCTGGACTCAAACTCCAAACTCTCTCTTTCCTGCTAAATACATACAAATAACAAATGCCCTCCTTTTTAGGATGGATGCCATTCCAGTTTCTGCATGTTCTAGATTGCTGTCTAATGCCTACAAATAGCTCTTTTTATATTTCGTCCAGAATTTATCATATTTTTTCTGTGTGAAGGTTAGCTACTACAATCTACTCCACTGTTACTGGATGCAGAACTCACAATGCCTTACATTTCAATTCCCAATACAGCTTATGAAGCCTTCCATAGTCTTATTTCCTTCAAGCCTCAAAAAACAGCTTCCTCTCCCAACTCCAGATAAATGTCTTAGGTAAACAGAGAATGCTGCTAGTGATATTTAGTCACTTCATCAATGTCAGCTAAGAAGGTGAAATATTGGAAACACAAATTTTAGAGCTGGAGTGGTCTATTGAGTGAGATTATTGCTGATGGAATTCAAGTATCCATTCTTTACTCTTTACTATTGTGAAAGTTGCACTTCAAGACTTGAAATCACCCCTTGTGATTGGGGAGCAAGCCTGGCCAGGGTGTCTATAAAATTCAGCCTTGCTCTTTTTAGCTCTCCAGAGGAGGCTGTTATCCTGCCTTCCTAGTAAGGCAGAGGGAAGGAAGTACCAGCACCACAAGTACCACCATTCTGTCTCCCACCTTTGGGACTTAAAAATAATAATTAAAATTACAATAAAATAATCATCCGATAAAAAACATCTCTGTGAAGCCTTACCTCATCTTCTGTCCTGCCAAATCCTAGCTAGTCTTTGAATCCTCTCCATAGGCTTCTGAGAGTTCCATGAAGGAGCAGGACTATGTTGTAGGCAACAAGAAGGAGTAGGACTATGTTGTAGGTAACAATTGTATTCCTATCCTGTAAGCATGCCTAGTACATAGTAGGCACCCAATAAGGGTTTATGCAACAGATATTTGAATAGCTGAGCATATAATCTGATAAGGAGAAAATCTTGTAGTTCTGACATTCTGTATGGCAATTCTGAATCTGTGACCGGCTGGCTTTATTTCAGTGATTTAATTATGACCCTTCAGTTGAGAGTACAGTTGAAATATCTAAGTGAAATTTTAAAAACCCTGAAAACCAAGTCCAAGTCACGAATAACTTCCTATGTTGCTTTTTTTTTTTTTTTTTAACCTCTGTTGTAATTACTCTGGACCAAAGTACAAGGAAACTAGGACACAAATTCTATTCTTCCTGTTTATTCATGCATTAAAAGATTACAATGCCGTTCTCACTCATAGGTGGGAATTGAACAATGAGAACACTTGGACACAGGATGGGGAACATCACACACCAGGGCCTGTCGTGGGGTGGGGGAAGGCGGGAGGGATAGCATTAGGAGAAATACCTAATGTAAATGATGAGTTGATGGTTGCAGCAAACCAACATGTCACATGTATACATATGTAACAAACCTGCACATTGTGCACATGTACCTGAGAACTTAAAGTATAATAAAGAAAAATATTACAATGCCATAGACAGTTACATTTATCACAGCACCTAGAAATACTTCATGATTTAGAACAGAATAGAAAGCATCACAAATTATTGATGGCACAAGATATAATTTGAATGGTGTCAGAGAAAAACATTTCAAAATAAAAATAGGAAGGTTCACTCATGTACTACTGTTTTGATTGTTTTTCTTTATAAAAATGCAGATTATGTGGCGTCTCTGGGGAGACCTGTGGCTTCTCGGTATGCTGATGGTCTGTTTCCACAGCTCTACAGAGCAGAAGATGGCAGAGTATACAATGTAAGTCAGAGTTCCCTCAATGCGCAGTCCTGTGACATGGTGCTGACATCACATCGGAGAGTGCAGTGTGGGGAGAGACTTGTGCTGCTTGGCAGGGATGCAGCTGAGCCAAGCCCTTATTAGGCTGGGGGTTTTCTTTTGGCATTGATAGGGTGATGAAAATCATGGCCAAGGAAGGAAGTTTTTGATCCATTAGAAATTAGTGCAGAAAACTCTTGATGAGAGATGAAAACCTTTGCACATTACCACTTCGTTTTGCTTTGAAAATAAAGGAAAAAAAAATATGACAGAGATGATCTGAAAGCCAAGAGCAAACTGCCATTATCTGAGAGAAGCATTAGGAATAGGGGCAGCATTTGCAGATAGGAGAATGAGCACCACCTCTGACCAGAGGCCTTTACTCCCAGCAATTCAGCACCTGAGTCTCACGTCTCCTACATGCCAGGCCCTGTGCAGACCCAGGCCAACCACATGGAGCTCAAAGTCTGTTGGAGACACATGTCCCATCACGTCCATTTATGGATATTTGTTCATGTCTATGTACATCCATGTACCACCTGGACTACTGTTTCCTAATATTTAGAAAATTTAAGTTACTTTTATTGGTAAATTTTTTTTTTTTGAGAAAATTTTTGTAGACCCTATCCTCGAATATGTCTTCCAGTTGTTTACTCTCCTTCTCTTTCAAGAATGCCAATGAGTCATGGGTTTGGTCTCTTTACGTAATCCTATGTGTCTCAGAGGTTTTGTTCATTTTTTTAAATTCTCTTTTTCTTTTGAGACACTTTCTTGTTCTATCACCCAGTCTGGAGTGCAGTGGTGTGTTCATGGCTCACTGCAGCCTTGACCTCCCGGGTCCGAGCGATCCTCCCACCTCAGCCCTCCAAGTAGCTGGGACCACAGGCGTGTGCCATCACACCCAGCTAATTTTTGTATTTTTTTGCAGACGGGGTCTCGCCATGTTGCCCAGGTTGGTCTTGAACTCCTAAGCTCAAGCAATCCGCCTGCCTGGGCCTCCCATCTGCCTTGGCCTCAACCTCATGCCTCAGATTACATGTGTAAGGCATCATGCCTGCCCCTTTTTCTTTATTTTTGTCTGCCTACATTGATTCAAAGGAGTGATTCTTCAACTTTGAAGTTCTTTCCTCAGCTTGGTCTAGTTTGTTGTTAATGATTCTGATGGTATTATGATATTTCTGTAGTGAATTGTTCAATTCCAAAAGTTCAGTTTGGTTCTTTCTTAATATGGCTATATCATCCAATTCTTGGATTATTTTACCATTTTCCTTGGATTGGGTTTCCACCTTCTCCTGTATCTTTATGAGCTTTCTTGACATCCAGATCCTCAATTCAATGTCATTTCAGCCATTTCAGTCTGGTTAAGAACCACTGCTGAGGAGCTAGTGTGATTGCTTGGAGGTAAGAGGACACTCTGGACTGAAGAGTTTACGGAATTCTTGCACTGGTTCTTTCTCACCTGTGAAGGCTGATGTTTCTTCATCCTTTTAAGTTGCCATCCTTTGGATGGGCCTTTTTGTTTTTATGTTCTTTATTTCCCTTGAGGGTTTGACTGTGGTGTGAGTTGGGTATAGCTGATTGGCTTAGTTTCCGGATGCTTTCAGAGGGCCAACGCTCAGCTCAGCATTCCTGGGCTGCATGCTGTAACCCTGGGGCCTAGAACTGGGCTGTGGCTTTGTCCTCTGGCCCCTTGAGGTCGAACACTGGCTGCGCTGGGGCAGCCAATGTGCTACCAGGCTGCTGGCAAAAGCCTTCCATTAGGGGCTGCTGGCAATGCTCTGGTGGGGCAGCAGGGGGGCCATGGGTGAAAATACCCTGGTGGGGTGTTGGGGCTGCCCAGGAAACAGCAGAGAGCCTGGAGGGATACTGTAAGAGGGACAGCCAGGCCATTCAGCCCTTGGAGAAACCTCCATGATGGGGGTGGTAGGTTGCCTTCAGCTTGAAGATGCACCCACTACTTACTTTTTCCAAAGCTTAAATTACCTTTTTTTTTTTTTTTTTTTTTGATGGAGTTTCACTCTGTCACCCAGGCTGGAGTGCAGTGGTGCCATCTCAGCTCACTCCGCCTCCTGCGTTCAAGCGATTCTCCAGCCTCGGCCTCCCAAGTAGCTACAGGTGTGCGCCACCGTATCCAGCTACTTTTTGTATTTTTAGTAGAGATGGGGTTTCACCATGTTGGCCAGGCTGGTCTCGAACTCCTGACCTCGGGTGATTCACTCACCTTGGCCTCTCAGAGTCCTGGGATTACAGGCATGAGCCATCATGCCAGGTCCAGCTTAAATTCCTTTTTAAACTAAGCCTGGTCCTAAGCAATACTATCTGTGGAATCTTCAGTTTGATGTGCTAAGTATATTTTTTATCTGAACCACATTAAAATCAATGCAAAACTTTTAAAAACACCTGTCCCTTTACCTTTAAAATCCACCTCCACATTCCCTGTGATGTGCCCACCCTGGCTTCTGTGTTGTAGCAGTAGCTGTGGATGCTGGTGAAGGAGCTGGTAATTCTGTCTTAAGGGGCCATGAGAAGCCTCCAAGAAGTGATGCTGGAGCTTGAGGAATGAGGTTGACAGACACATGGGACAGGGAAGGAAGGAGCCTGAGCCAAGCCACAAAAATGTGGAATGAGGTGATGTGGTCTGAAAGCACATTTTCCAAGATAAAGTACCGTATCTTCTTTTAAAATGTGCTCTAAGAATCCCTAAGCCTAGCTGGGAAGGTGACCGCATCCACCTTCAAACACGGGGCTTGCAACTTAGCTCACACCGGGCCAATCAGATAGTAAAGAGAGCTCACTAAAAAGCTAATTAGGCAAAAACAGGAGGTAAAGAAATAGCCAATCATCTATTGCCTGAGAACACAGCGGGAGGGACAGTGATCGGGATATAAACCCAGGCATTTGAGCCAGCAACGGCTACCCTCTTTGGGTCCCCTCCCTTTGTATGGGAGCTCTGTTTTCACTCTATTAAATCTTGCAACTGCTAAAATAAAATAAAATAAAATAAAATAAAATGTGCTTTGTCACAGAATAGGGCACAATTTTTTCTTGTTCCTTGTCTATGTCTTCTATTGCCTCTCTACCTCTTGAAAGGCCTTGCACAGTGTGTCTGATCTATGTGAAGGATGGTTTATTTGTACATACAAGAAACTTCCTGCAAGTCTCTGTCACCATTTGGGGGCAGCTCAAGGGCTGCTGGTAGCAGCAGTGAGTGATCAGGTGGTCCAGGTGCAGGAGAGCTTCACCCGAGAGAGGAGGGCATGAGGACAAAAGTCATGAGCAGAAGGATGTGTAGCTGGGATGGCATCCTTTAGAGGAAGCCAGGAAGGTGTGCTGGCATGTTCAGTAGCATTTTCAGAAATATTTTTGGAATGTTATGTTTAGGAAAACGTTTTAGTGAGACATTATTTTCCATCTGCCTTTGTTGGTCTTTTCTCCTACCTAATTTCTTAAGAGTACCCTGGGCTTTTTCTGATAAAGATAATCTGTAACTATAAAGATAAAACATAATCTGGAAAGATATTTTTTAAGGACTGCTGTATTTTGAATAGATCATATTATCATCTTTTCTTCTGTGGAGAATCCAAGCGTTTTTCTGTTGAAAGACTGGAACCTTTTCTCCTGGATTCTGTAGTGTTTGGAGGGTCATTGACAACACTGTTATGAGTGCACAGTTCTCGGTGGCAGCACTGTGGTTCAAATGACTTATTTTGGTGTTGTTTTATTGTTTTTGTCTTTTATTTTCATTAAGCTGACAGCTAAATCAGAACTGATTTATCAGTTTGTGGAACATTTAACACAAGCTGTGGAGAGCTACAAGCAGCGAATGGACTGGCTCACCAGCAAGAGCCGGCAGATTTTTGGTGTCATCTTGGAACAGTGCGTCACCATAGTGCTGGATTTTGGCGGCATTCTGGAGGGGGAGCTTGATCTGTGCCGAGAGGCTCTAACAATGGTTCTCCAGGAGCAGGTGGCTCACATAACCGAGTTCAATATCATACGGTGAGTTCCCATAGGAAGGGAGTATTTTAGTGAAAGTTCATAGTAATTTGTACATATTTGGAATTAAGTAGCACAGCTGACACAGTTAGCTCTCTGGTGAGGGAAGAGGCATTATCTTATACTTTCCTAGAAGATGTAATTTCAGCAGCAATCCCACAGTGAATAAATCTTAGGAACTTTTATCTGCTTTGCACAGGGTGTCTTAGCTTTCACATTAAAAGAGATTTAGAAACATGCATTTCTTCAGTGCATGGGAAGGTTAAAATATAAGAATATGAGTTATGGCAAATATATATTTAAGGCCATAAATCTCTTCATTCATTTTAGCTTTTAACTTGGGTAATGAATTCAAATGTCACTAATTTCACTGATTTTCCAGACTGAAGTTGCAACTCAAGTTGACCTCCCCTATAAGTTGACCCCTTTCACCAGAACAACAGGTGGCTGGCTTTATAGAATTTCCCATATTTCAGAGTTTTCACAACCAATTATTTATGGATTCTTGGATTCAAGAGAATTTGGACCTTAGCATTAACTTCTCATCTGGAAAAGTTATTGCACCTCCCTGACAAAAAACATCTGGATAACGGTTGGGGAAGGATCTACCTCATTCAGTTTTTCTGTTTTTAATCAAATACTTTCAGCTAAATAGAGGACATCTTTGGGGACAATGCCTAATTATGTTCTATCTAGCTTCCTATTTCTGTCACAGGTGTATTACTGAAGGAATCAAGTGCTTAAGTCTGCAAAGCTTTTGCTTTCTTGGAAACCTCTGTACAACACAGATGCCACTCAGCCAGATTCTCTACCCAGGAAGCACACAGCAGACACGAGTGTGAGCCAGCCCTGCTTCTGGTGGCAGGCCATGGGGGCAATCGGGCCAGTTTATTTGCAATTATCAAGTGCAAATAAATTGAGATAATTCAAATGGCTCTTCTTTTTTTGGAATTGGGAGTTCTACCAGTCTTTTATAAGCCCAAACTAAATGGTTTAACCAAATTTTCTCAGGATTTAAAAACTAATACTCTGTTGAACTCAAAACAATACCAGTATTAATCCAAAAGAAGGCAACCTATGGGAATCTTTCAGGACAATGAAAACAATGTCATGAAAGAATTAGAAATAAAATTTTAGAGCAATAGAATTGCTGGTGATTTGCAAACCTTAATACTGTGAATTATTATAAATGTACTATTAAGTGAAGCCAGTTACATATAAACTTGCCTGTTTATAAAAAATAACTTCTCTTAATGTTTTAAAGGACTCATTATTAGTGTTTACCTTTCTGTTTCTCATGTAAACATTGTTTTTCCTAGTCAGCACAGCTTATAGAAGGTAGTGGTGCTTTGGGAACCTGTCTTAAACAGCTTGCTGGTTTTGTTGGTAACATCAGAGGGCTGGGAGCTATGATTTCTTTCTTTTTCAGCTCTAGAGATGGATGTTGGCAGCTTGCTGCTCATGGCTGTGAGACGGAGGTTTGGCATCCCAGTAGCACTGATCACTGCCCAGTGACCACTCCATGTGATCCTTTTCAGGGTTTCTCAAGAGCCTGTGAAGTGGCAGGAAAATGCTACTCCTGTGACCGAACAGTCCATAGCTACTGCCATCAGTTGGGTTGAGAAACTGACGGTTGAGCTGACTGTGAGCGAGGCTGGCCGCCTGGATGCTCTGCTGGAAGCCGGGAGAGACAAGACTGTAAGTGCGTGTTCATGGCTGGCCCCAGGCCATGGAGGTGGCTTCCAGCTTAACTCTTCACACTCAGTGACTTTACACGGCCCTTCAACTGATCTTGGGCCCCTCCCAGCAGGATCCGACAGAGATCCCATTGGGCACTGATGGTGATGGCATAGCTGGAACAACCCAAATGAGGCCCCTGAATACCCGTCTCCTGAACCTGGCTAGGCTCCCTCTGTGGGGTGACTGGGGATGCAGGGTAGACCCTTGTTTAGCCAGTGTCGGGAGAGCCGAGTGCGACTCACACCCACCGAGCACCGAGAAGGGACAGGAGTGAGGCCATAGTTGTGCATCTTTGCCATATTAACTTCACTCTTGCTCTCCTACCAATTAGATCAGTCAGTCTATCTCTTATGAGGAGGAGAGAGAGATTGGAAGACTCCTCATAGAACCCTGAGGATGAGGAAATAAGGTTTTCCCAGCATCCATATTCTGAATCTTTCCTAGTTACTCTTCTTCACAGATGGATCTGTCATCTGTCACACACTTTCCAAGGTGAAGTACGCGCAAGCTGATGACTCCATCCATTTTTGGATGTCAATGTATTGACATGAATTTTGATAGGGACATTTTTGGAAATAAAGCTTTACCTGGAAGAAGTGATTAGATGGTGGTGTGTTATGTCTCTTTGAGCCACAGGGTCTGTGTTTCTGGGAGTGACTCTAGTGATGGGAGTGTTGGGGCAGTGGCAAGCCAGTGGAGACACACTCTGGGCAGGCGGGGTCCTTTGGCCAGCCTGGACTCCCTGTGGGAAGGTCTGCTTGCCTTTGGATACAGTTACTTAACAATTATGTGCTTCCTCCACTCTGGAAGTCTGGGGTTTCTGTAGGTTTCAGACTTTACCCAGCTGCATCAAGAAGTCCATTGTTGGAGAAAGAAGCCACGTGTTGGCATCTTGAAAGATAGCCCCCAGTGGTCACCGGCCTGTGTTTATCAATACTGAGGGCAATGGTTTGTAATTGGAAACACATTGCTTTTCCTTCCAAGGCCAAAAGAACAAATGTTTTCCATTAAAGAAGAACCAGATACAAGCTAGTTTGTTCCTTGGTCCTTTGAGTTTGTTTTAACATCTGTAAAATTTCAAGTGTCTGGACACCTTAATAAGCATTCAAAAAAATGGAACATTCCCAGGCTCAGGGTGTGTGTGCATGAGCCTGGGCACACAGCTGTTCTCTTTGTCTATGAACCTGGCTATTGTGGTCACAGCTGCCTGTGGCCCCCTGACCTGACTGCAGGATCCGCCAGTGACCCTGTCTTTCTGTTTCACTCCTTCTGGTTCGTGCCTCTCCTTTCTCCGGGGTTCATTCCTATTCCAGGAAGTAAGGAACAATTCAGTGAGTTCCAGGGAAGTCCTATGGAAGAAAAGGAATCAAGAAAGAAGCTTCCAGGCACTGATCATCAAATGCAGCCTGAAAGCTTTTGAGAAGAGACCGTGGAGCAGCACATGCAAGCCCTGCACAGACCGCTGTGCCCCTCTGCCCACAGCCTTGATCTGGGGGTGGTCTCAAGGAAAATTCTAGCAAATGCAACTGCCTTGCATATAAAAATGCCGTGTCCTATGTTTTATGAGGAGTTAAAAAACACATGTGTGTGTGGCAGGGGGGAGTGGGTTCCCATAAGTCCTGCTTCTCTGCTCCACACCTGTCATGCCCATCCCAGCGAGTTCTGAATTCATCCAGATGGCTGCAGTTTGCTCTGAATAGAAAAGATGGAAGGCTTAAAGAATTTTTTGAGCAGCTAATATAAACACCTAGACTGTTCCTACTGATGACAGCCTGCTGCAAGTTAGCATCTCCCTCCATGAGCGGGTGCTGAGAGGAGCCAGGAAAGTGGGCATTGTCTTGTGCCCACAAATTAACATGCAAGTCCCGTTTCTATACCAAGCCCACATGAGGAGTAGGGCTGAACCACGTGCTTGGTCATGGAGAAGGAAGATGCCCAGAGAGGCTCCTGGCCCCCTCCAGGCACAGGCTTTGTAACCACCGCGGGCCAGGAAGACTGAAACAGGAAGCAACGAGAGAGAGCCTTGAGGTCTAAGAAGAGCACATGCAGAGTGGGAGGTCTGTTGAAATGCTGGCTCGACACATAGCACTGAAAGAGCATGATTGATAGATGAATTACTGTTGTGTCTCATGAAAAGGAACCTGGCTCACTGGGAGGGCAGCACGTGGGGTCCTGGGGACATGTTTGGTGGTTGAGGGGGTTGACATCCTCAGAGACCAGGTGTGTGGACCGGCACAGAGTTTCTGCTCTTCAGTAGCCCTGGTCCAGGACATGCATCTTTGGAAGTTAGTAGCTTCCCAGGCCTCACGAGGAAGGGTGGTGTACAGGATGAAAGGGAAGGCTGTTTACCCAGAGCCCTGGTTCTAAGCTGCCTAAGAAGACCAAGGGGTTTTGCTTCTCTGCCAGGACAAGGCCACCTACCCAGAAGATACCTGCATTTCTGATTCTGTTCTTAGCCTCTCTTCTATCCACCTGCTGGCACACATCTGTTTAGTTTTTGGTTTCTTTTAATCATATTTCCTGGGAGACCAAGTGAGTGGATTAAAGACAGACCCACATGATTTCATAAAGAACCTTCACTGCTGGACTGAAAGCCGAAGTCCTGGCCACATTAATCCATGACCCTGGCAGTTCATTTATTTCCTTTTAGTGGTTCAGGCAGGCATCAGATCTTTTCTTTTTTGTGTCTCTGATGCCTAACAAGGGCTCTATAAATGCTTGTTGAACAGTGAAAGGTTGGAAAGGAAATAATTTTCATATTCTTGTGTTTGAGGGGAAGATGTGGGTCCCATTTCCAAGCTATGGCATAGATTTGGGTTTTGTGACTTGAAGTGAGATGGTCTGTGTGGGATTGAACAGGTGAATTTGCTGAGTCTTGTAGGACCCTGGTGGGGATGGCAGGTGGGGACAGAGACCCTGAAACCTGGGAGGCCAGAAAGTCGGTGGTGGTCAAGGATCCTAGGAGGGATCTGAGAGGTGAACTAGATCAATACCATGGGGACAGTCACTACCATGGAGGGAATCAGATGAAATGGGCTGAGACAGCAGAGGGTTCCCACAGGTACAGGGAGGATTTGGAGGTCAGATCCAGGGACTGGAGTTGGCCAGAAATGTTGCAGTGTTCAAAGGTGTACGCAGAACAAGACAGAATTTTGCTGGATCTTTTGCTGCTGTTCTGGTTGACTTTCTTTTTGCTCTTTGAAGAGTGAAGATTTTTATACCTGGAAGCCTAGGGGATGAGAGCACAGGCTCTGGCCAGTGGAGCAGAGGGCAGTCAGAGTAGAAGCACACACTCCTAATCTGTTTCTTTCTTCCCCCAAAAGCTGCAGCTAGGAAGATGTCAAGGACTCTTTGGCGGGGCAGAATGCATGTTACTGTGTGAAGCTGCAGAATGAATGGCCCAGATAGAATAAGGAATTTCAAGTGAAAACATAAAGGCTCCTCCCTACTTGATGTCATATGAAGTGGCAAGAGCTTTTTACTCACTCTAAAGGAGCTGAATGGAACTCATGTATTTTATCAAATTCGGTGCAAATCAGCATTTAGGGAAATGTGGTCGGTGAGGAAGCTACTCCTGGACTGAAGGCTGCTACTGAGCCTCAGGACTGGACTTTGCCTTCAAGGAGCTCAAAGACACTGGTTAAGGGAGCAGATTCCCATGAGGATAACTCCTTTAAGCCAAACAATCTCCTGGTCCCAACTTTTGGTCAGTGATGTTGGTATCTGGGGTAGGAGCCTGAACCCTTGGATGGTGGGGTAACCACAGAAGTGAAAAAAGTGACTGTCTGGGGCCACCTTCTATTGCTTGCTCTTACTTTCAGAATTCTGGGGCTCACATTCATCTCTAACAGGTGACCAGCCTTGCCACAAATAGCACAGCGTAGCCGTGGACAGCAAGGGCAGGGCTTGTGGGGCCAGGCAGCCTAGGCTTACCAGCTTCAAGGCCAACTCAGTTTTCCTTTCCAAGCCTCAGTTTCTTCATCTGTAAACTGGGCATGGTAATAATTCATGCTCCACAGGACTGTTGTATTGAGTGAGATAATTCATTTTAGTTTATCATCCCAAATAGCCAACAGTATTAAAGCCATTTTGCTTTAAGAGGCATTTTGCCAGTTTGATGGCAGACAGGAATAGGTAGCATATTTATCCTCCTTTCTGTTTTTCTTTTCTTTCTTTTTTTTTGAAACCGAGTCTCGCTCTGTCGCCCAGGCTGGAGTGCAGTGGCACGATTCGGCTCACTGCAAGCTCCGCCTCCCAGGTTCACGCCATTCTCCTGCCTCAGCCTCCCCAGTAGCTGGGACTACAGGCGCCTGCCACCACATCCGGCTAATTTTTCTGTATTTTTAGTAGAGACGGGGTTTCACTGTGTTAGCCAGGATGGTCTCGATCTCCCGACCTCGTGATCTGCTCGCCTCAGCCTCCCAAAGTGCTGGGATTACAGGTATGAGCCACCGCTCCCGGCCACCTTTCTGTTTTTCTAAGTGTCATCACGTGAGCAGAAAGGAGAGGCAGAAAGACCGTGTACAGGAGAGTGGGGGGGATAGGTGGTCTCAATGTAAAGCATGTCCCAGGAAATCTGTAGCGTAACACAGGGAGTTGACTGAAAATGTATGTGATTAAGAAGCCGAGTAATGAACTTAATGAATAGTGAATAATGTCATAACCTTAGTAAAGGAAAATAAATCCTGACTCACAGCAATTTTCAGTTTGATGAAATCTCAAGGGAAAAACATTTCTGCACAAGAACTTCAGGTTTTGGGATTAGTGCCAGAGGAAAGAAGCTGAGTTTACATGACGTGCATTGGACGTGTGTGGTGTCAGGAGTGGCTGACAGACCACCTCGAGATGTGTGTCCTCACCTCCCTCTTCATCTGACCAACCCTAGAAAATACTCTGTGTCTGCTCCCCTGTCTCAGGCCATGTGTCACTTAGATCCTTGCAACAGGATGAACCTGTCCCCATGCTAAACTTGGGCACTGCCGCAGCTGGAAAACTCGGATAAATAATAGGCCTGCTAAGTGGAAGCCGTTTAAATGTGTCTCCCACAAGGTCATGCATCAGACCAGGAGAAGAGTGAAACAGAACGCATCTGCTGGAAGAGCAGTATTGGCTGGCTACAAGGAATCTGGAGAAGATGGTTTCTTCCTTCCTTCAGGGTTTTTTCTCGCTTCCAGTTTACTGACTTGTATAAATTTACAATATTCCTCAGTCTTTTACTGCTCGATCAGTACTTTTTAGAATCAGGAGCTGGCGTTGAAAGGCCTGAGAGAAAGAGGCCTGGGAGGGGCCAGGGCTTTCTGTGCCTCAAGTGGCCTGATCTCAGCTCCCACTCTGTCCTTCTCCTAAGTCCCAGTCTGGGCCCCACCCACTGCGTCCCACCCCTATCCCTTCCACCTCCTTGGCACAGTCTGCTCCATCTGCTGCAGGCAGAGCACCCCAACCAACTAGAAATCAACCATGAGGACTCCCGCCCCCCACCCTCCCGGCCAGGTGCATTTAAGGCCTCGGATAGATACTGAGGTGAGGCCATTTGTTGACTATCTTCAGCTTATTGGGATTTGGGATTAGAGCAAGGAGAGGGTCATGAATCCTAAAGGGATGGTGACATCTATTTACCTTCTAACACAATGCATTTGCTGGGGTTTCTTCCCCCATTTATGTGTGGACACAGTCCATCGGGACATTTATAGGCCAGGTTGAGAGGATATGGATTCCTGGCTCTCCTTGGGTTTTTTACTTTCTGAGATGTATAGAAATGCACACATAGTTGGAAGTCATCCTGTTTCAATGCCATCATGAATAATAAACTGCATTATCTCCCTTTTAACAAGGGAAGACACTGAAGTTAGGTCAGTTGCCTGAGGTGACAGAGCTCCTGGGTGGCAGGGGTGGGGAGGACTGTGGAAGCACCGTCCCGGGAGGAGCGAGGGTGGCCGGGCTGCAGCAGAGCAGGAGGGGCGGCCGCCCTGAGATAGAGAGTTCTCTGTCTCTCAATTCAGCAGCTGGCACTTCTCTGGGATTGTCTGCTTACTGGGGGAGGTGTGCATCTTCCAGAATCACTGGTTTAAGCTGTGTGTGTGTGTGTGTGTGGGCGGGGGGGGGGGGGGTGTGTCCTGACACAGGGGTTGCTTATTCTTCCATTCTTCTCATGGCCTGGTTTGGCGGCAAGAAGCAGGGCACTGCAGGCGGACCTGGCATCTGACCAGCTGTGCACAGTCAGGACAGCCTCACCCCAGCTCCGGGCGTGTGAGTCCCTGCTTAGGTGAGCCCAGAGGTGGAGCCAGCTGAGGATGTGCCCTCCTTTCCACATTCTGCCTTAGACAGAGGATGCATGAGTTTGCATTGTAGGATTCTGGCACTGCCGCGGGCAATGGCAGATAAGCTCCCTGCCTGCAGTGGCTGTGCCAGTCCTTCCTTCATTGCTTGACTTGAAAATAACCACTCCGAACCTGTGCGATATATTTGTGGCCCAGAGGAAGTTCTCCAAATCTGCCAACCATATTCTTCTCGTGCCTTACCCAAGACAATAGCCACTGTTGACAGACCTTCCTGGTACCAAGCCTTGAATATCTCACTTCCTGACTGGCCCTGATGTCCTCAGAAAACCCTGGGCAGGGCTGCTATTCTTTCTGCCCATTTTTTCTAAGAGATCGTTTTGTAGAATGGGTATTACTGATGAGACTAGTACCAAGCTAGGGCATGTGAGGGAGATAAACCGTTGGCACCACTGTTTTGCAGATTGAATCCATTTACTACTTTGTGGTGGGGGATGTTCCTGAAGAATCCAAGGAGCTTCTCCTCCAGAGGGCCTTGGAGATCCCGTGTCCAGTCTACACAGTGTCCTTCAACGCCAGAGGAGAAGGCACTATAGCTTTTCTAAAGGATCTGAGTGCCAAGACCCACAGCAGGTAGGCAGAAAATGTGCTCTTGAGTGACAGCAAGCGGGTTGCCTGCTCACACAGGATCAACAGTGGGTCTTGCATTCTTCGTGGCTTTAACCAATCTGTTGCTGTGTTCTCCTCTTTCCAGTATATTATTTAGTCTCTCTGCATCTTTTCTTCTCCGTCTTGTATTAATCATGACTTTCTATTTTCTGCAATTCTTATGCTTTGACCTCTTGGTGCCTTGCTGGTCCAGGAGACCCTGTCCCTCCCAGGGCTAGCCAATTCCTAGAGATAGCAAATTACTCACTGGGGCACACTTTCATATGCAAACCAACCAGAGCCCACACTGCCAATCCAGGCTCTCTCACTTAGAACCGCTGTTCTCTACCCTAATCACTCCAGGGCCACACACCAGAAAACTCGGGACAGCCCCTACACCCCAGAGCTCAGGGAAATTATTCAAATAGCCTGCTTACCCTTCCTCTCCTGTTCCTTCCCTTGGAATCCACACTAAAGGTCCTCACCTACCTTTCCCCTCACTCCCTCTGCCTCCCGGCTGAGCCGGTGCTTCCCTGTGTGGCCTGCGTGGCACGCTGTGCCCCTCTCTCCTCCTGGGAACTGGGCTAGTCAGCTTGGGCTGCCATAACAAATTGCCACAGGCTGGGTGGCTTAACAAGTATTTATTTCTTACAGTTCTAGAGGCTGGGAAGTACTAGGTGAAGGAGAATTCGGTTTCTGGTGAGGTCTCTCTCCCCGCCTTGTAGGCAGCTGCCTTCTCACTCTGTTCTCACACGGTGGAGAGAGAGAGTGAGAGAGAGAGAGGAGAGAGAGAGAGAGAGAGTGTGTGTGTGTGTGTGTGTGTGTGTGTGTGTGTGGAGAGAGAGGGAGGAGAGAGAGGAGAGAGAGGAGAGAGAGAGGAGAGAGACATTGTGTGTGTGTGGAGAGAGAGAGAGCAGAGAGACGGAGAAAGAGAGAGAGACAGAGAGACAGAGAGTGAGGGCGCACTCACTGGTGTCTCTTCCTCTTCCTATAAGGTCACTCATCCTATAGAATCAGGGCCCTGCCCTATGACCTCATTTAACCTTTATTACCTCCTGTTCTATCTCCAAAGACAGTCACATTGGGAATTAGGGCTTCAACATAGGAATTTTTTTGGCTTGGGATTGGGGGAGCACAATTCAGTCCATAGGGGAACCATGAGTAACAAACTATCTTTTCAATGGCAGTAGGCTCCTTATCTATTGGCCTCACAATACCCGAATAGTAATAAAACCTGCATTTAAAAACATATGCCCCTGCACCCTGGGTCTGTGTGTGTGTGTGTATGTGTGTGTGTAAGTTTAGGTCTCTTGTGGAGAAAGATCAGCTACTTCTGTGGTTACAAGGAGAATTATAAAATCCTTTCCTAAGTTCTCCTTGAAATGGGTACAACGTCTTCCCAGAGCACTTGTTCTTTAAATATTTTTAAATTGATACATATTTGTACATATTTATAGGGCCCATGAAGGGGTGGGTTGCCCCTCCACACCTGTGAGTGTTTCTCGTTAGGTGGAACGAGAGATTTGGAAAAGAAAGAGACACAAAGTATAGAGAAAGAAAAAGGGGTCCCAGGGGACCGGCATTCAGCATACCAAGGATCCACACCGGCACCGGCCTCTGAGTTCCCTTAGTATTTATTGATCATTATCGGGTGTGGCAGGATAATAGGATAATAGTGGAGAGAAGGTCAGCAGGTAAACACATGAACAAATGTATCTGCATCATAAACAAGATAAAGAAAAAAGTGCTGCGCTTTTGATGTGCATATACATAAACATCTCAATGCCTTAAAGAGCAGTATTGCTGCCAGCTTGTCCCACCTCCAGCCCTAAGGCGGTTTTCCCCTATCTCAGTAGATGGAATATACAATCGGGCTTTACACAGAGACATTCCATTGCCCAGGGACAAGCAGGAGACAGAAGCCTTCCTCTTATCTCAACTGCAAAGAGGTATTCCTTCCTCTTTTACTAATCCTCCTCAGCACAGACCCTTTACGGGTGTTGGGCTGGGGGACAGTCAGGTCTTTCCCTTCCCACGAGGCCATATTTCAGACTGTCACATGGGGAGAAACCGTGGACAATACCTGGCTTTCCTAGGCAGAGGTCCCTGCAGCCTTCCGCAGTGTTTGTGTCCCTGGGTACTTGAGATTAGGGAGTGGTGATGACTCTTAACGAGCATGCTGCCTTCAAGCATCTGTTTAACAAAGCATATCTTGCACAGCCCTTAATCCATTTAACCCTGAGTGGACACAGCACATGTTTCAGGGAGCACAGGGTTGGGGGTAGCGTTACAGATTAACAACATCTCAAGGCAGAAGAATTTTTCTTAGTACAGAACAAAATGGAGTCTCTTATGTCTACTTCTTTCTACACAGACACAGTAACAATCTGATCTCTCTTTTCGCCACAGGCCCATGTGATATTCTGTTGCATGCATAGCATGTGGAATGATCAAGTCGGGATTTAGGATGTGCATCACCTTATTTATCATTTCTATGTGTTGGGAACATCTTAAGTCCCCTCTTCTGGCTATTGTGAAATATAAAATACACTGTTGTTAACTATAGCCACCCTACTTTACCATCGGAACATTAGAGCCTACTCCTTCTATCTCACTGTATGAACCTACTCCTTCTATCTCACTGTACGTTTGTACCCATTAACCAACCTATTTTTATCCCCCGATCCTCACACCTTTCCCAGCCACTGGTATTTATCATTCTACTCTCATCTCCATGAGATCAACTTTTCCACCTCCTACCCATGAGTGAGAACATGCGATATTTGGCTTTTTATACCTGGCTTATTTCCCGTAATATAATGACCTCCAGTTCCATCCATGTTGCTGCAAATGACGGCATTTCCTTCTTTTTGTGGCTGAATAGTATTTATTAAGTATATACCACCTTTCTTTATCCATTCACCCATTGATGGACACTTAGGTTGATTCCGTATCTTGGCTATTGTGAATAGTGCTGTAATAAACACAGGGTGCAGATATCCCTTTGATATGCCGACTTCCTTTTCTTTGGGTAAATACCTGGTAGTGGGATTGTTGGATTGTATGGTAGTTCTATTTTTAGTTTTTTGAGAAATCTCCATAGTCTTTCCTATAATGGCTGTACTAATTTACATTCCCACCAACAATTTATAAGACTTCCCTTTTCTCTGCCTCCTCAGCAGCATCTGTCATTTTTTCTTTTTGATAACAGCCCTCCTAACAGGGTAAGATGGCATCTTGTTCTTAAGTGTAGGTGCTCATCACAGTCACTGGGGAGCTTGTTAATGATACAGAGGCCAGGCTTCACCTTGCCGGCTCATTCCACGTCATAGAGAGAGCCCGGGAATATGAATTTTTCCCATCACTTTGCATAATACCTGCCCAGAGAGCTTGATTGAGATGCAAATTTTATAGCCGCAGCCCCAGGAATTCTAATTTTCAAGATCTGTGAAGGGCTAGAAATTTTCATTGTTAACAAGACTTTGGGACTCTAAGGACCATTGCTGTGGCTGCTCTTACGGCACTTTGAAATCTTTTAACATCAAGTATGTGGCTCCCATTCTGGGTTCCTGAGCCCCTAAGTACAGAAGGGGGCTCCCTCCTGTGACCTCGCTAGTTGAAAGAGAAGAGGCAACTGGCCAGTCACCTCTCTTGCTGTTCTCTGATTAGCTCATCTGGGGCATGCTAGAGCCCAGGGAATAATTTCCTGTGAGAGAAGCTGTGGTTCAGCTACCTAACGAGGCCATGCAGCCATGGAGGTGGGTCTTGCAGAAAAGGATGAGGTATTGATGTATCCTCCTGTCCATGCTCTGGGCCTTTGCAGGCAAGCGTAACCCATCACGAGTAGTGCCCCTGCCTTCTCCACTCCCTGCCTGGACACCCCATGGCTTCTGGTTGGTCTTGGTGCACCTTTGGCCATGGGGCCCCAGCTGGAGGGCAGTTATTCTCCAGCTGCAAGTGGCATGTCCTGAGTGTCTCAGGTTGCAGGAGGCTGCCTGGTCTGGTGACCCTCCAACTGGACTCCGGCTTCCCCTGTGCCAGAGGCTGTGTCTGGGTAGAACCACCAGTCCAAGCACAGCGCTGTGCTCTAAGGCTCAAACAGCCTGTCATAATGCTGAGTTGCTTCTGCACAAGCGAGACTATATCAGCCAGAGGAAATTTCTGCCCTGCTCCCTTTTCTAATCTAGAAAACAGATCAGAGAGTGGAAGGTCCTGGGTGCCAAAGGCCTTGACACTCAGGGCATGGGGCCTGCTGGGGCAAACCTCACCCATCTCCCCTCCTTGCCCTACAGGGCAAGGGAGCTGGACATTTCTGCTCTGGATGAAGCTCCTGCAGGAGTTGGGAATGACCAGGCTAAGAGTTCATTGGCTTTAGGAAGGGCACCAGAATGAGGCTGACATTTTAATTGCCGTCAAGTCATTATTCCAGTCTCGCCTGAAACCCTTTGGGAAGAGACTGAGGATTTCCATAGCCGCGGTGGGTTCCCTAGACTTCTCCCAACATTTCCATCCTGAGCGGTGCTTGGGATTTCTCTGAGTTGAGTGTGTGGTGCTAGGCAGAGACGGAACTCCTGCGTGGCTGGTGGAGCATTACTTGTGACTTCCTCTGTCCACCTGAAAGAAATGTCCTGCTATTTATGGACTTTTTGGATTCCAGTTAAGTGGCTTTGAGGGTGTGACTTAGCCCATCACCCTGTGCACTACATCAGTGCTTTCAAACTTTCATGTGTCTGTCAGCCCCCTGGGGACCCTGTTAAATGGATATTTGGACTCCACAGGGCTGGGTGGGGGCCTGGGAGTGTGTATTCCTAACCTGCTGCTCCTTGGACCATGCTTTGAAAAGACAGGTCCTAAAAACTTGTCTACACAGGAATGCTTCTCATTCGTGCTTAAGCCTGGCTCCTGGGGAAGTGTGTGTTTGCTGAGTTAAAGTTGACTGATGCCCATCAGCAGCAGGCAAATTAGGCAAATGCTGTCTGTGTCATGAGCTGTCCTCACTGAACCTACAGAGCTGATGGGTGCTACTGGGGCCCCTCATTAGACCCCTGGCTTGGCTAAGCTGTGTTGACATGACGGAACCCTGGGAACAAGAGAAAGAATATAAGCATAGAGTGTCATTTTCCCAGGACCAAGAAATACCATTTGGTTGAGCTAATTTACCCTCTAATGAAAGGATGAGTTGTCGGTTAAAATCCCACATCATTCACAATTCTCTGTGCTATTCTGCCTCCCTGTCTTTTGCTTGTGGAATTGACAAGGTGCAGGAAGAAGCAGTGACCATGGCTAAGAAGATGAAGATGCCCAGTGCTGCCGAAGAGCACGTTCAGTCCCAGGAGAAGGAACAAGCATGCACGGACACCTGCGTACTGCCTTCCTAATGAGCATCTCTTCACGTTTCAGATTCCACGCATTTGCCGAGAGAACAGAGTGTGTAGAATTTCCTGCATTCTCCACAAAGGATGGTGACAATGTGATGACTTGGAATTCAAGGAAACTGAAAGGAAAACTCCCTCCAGGTACCTGGAATCCAAAAGAAGTGGTGTAGCTTATGTCCCGAATAGCCTCAGACGACGTGGATCATTAGGAAGTAAAGTACGAGGGAGAGACTCCCCATGTCTTTTGTATAATGTTATTAATGTAGTGCAAGAGCAGAGTTAATGGATATTAGTGGTGAGTTTGTCAGCGTAGCAACCAGGCATAAGTTTACAATCCAGGGAAATGGCCTAAGCGATGTGTGTTTACTAACTTGAGAACCTGCTGGAGATGTGGCCCTGGGCCTGTCAATGCCGGAGTTAGTTCTTGGCAAGGCAGAGCCACTCTGCTGTGTGGATTAGTTGGGAGGCTGCAGAGAGGGTGCCTGCGGTTCTTGAGGGGGTTTCTGCTGTCCTCCCTGTGATGAAAGCAGGGCCTGCGGATGCAGCTTGAGGGAGTGGCCTGCCCCTTGTGAGGGCGGAGGCCGCACAGGAACCTTTACGGAGGCGGAATGAACTTCCCCTTTCATTCAATGAATGTGATCAGAGAACTTAATGAGCACAGAGAATGAGGTCACCAAATCAGCGGGAAATAGGCTGTGATTCAGAAAAACAGTGGAAGGTTACTCAGAAAGCCAGGAGATGGGAGTTTCTTTTAAGCTGATGAAATTGCAAAGTGCTGAAGACTGAATAAACCCCACTGAGAAAAGGAGGGAAGGAAGCCCCTGTTCGATTGTTGGATGAAGGTACCTGGTGGGTTGTTAGAAGTCTAAGAAAGCTCACCCCCACTCTCCCTCTTTTTAAATTATCAAACAGATTTCTAGCTTCATTATAAGGCAGAGAGGCTACTCTTTAGGGATAAGAGAGAAGCTGTAGCAACAGCTGCTTGAAAGATTTACGTAACGGTGCTGCAAAGGCTCCCAGGAGAAGGTTAGGTTTTCAGATGGAGATAAAAGTGAAGATGAGTCATGAGCCTGTTCCTGACACACACTTTGTAGATTCAGATTCTTGGTGTCCAAGCAGAGGAGGGGAGATGTTCCCATAGAGTTCACTGGAGGCACTACTTCACGTAATGGAAACCTTTGTTCCAATCATGAAGGGGACATCTCCAGAGAATTCGAGAAAATGCCAACATATAGGCAAGATCGATGCTAATCTAAGAAGAAATTAATTCAGGATATATGTCATGCCTATTGAAAGTAATTTACAAGATTAAGCCTAGTGGGCAATGATTTAATCACGGCAAAGAATGTGAGATGTTACTAGCAAACCAAGGTGGGCCAATTACTGGAAATGGGGTTTAGTCTTGGTCTCTGGATTCCTTGGCAACTTAGTTATAAAGGGAAATACAAACTGCATAGCTTACATTTTCAGCAACTACCATCTTACCAACCCTTTGAAGCATGCAAATTACATACAAAAACATTTTTCTTTTTTTTTTTTTTTTTTTTTTTTTTTTGAGACAGAGTCTCGCTCTGTCGCCCAGGCTGGAGTGCAGTGGCGGGATCTCGGCTCACTGCAAGCTCCGCCTCCCGGGTTCACGCCATTCTCCTGCCTCAGCCTCCCGAGTAGCTGGGACTACAGGCGCCCGCCACTACGCCCGGCTAATTTTTTGTATTTTTAGTAGAGACGGGGTTTCACCGTTTTAGCCGGGATGGTCTCGATCTCCTGACCTCGTGATCCGCCCGCCTCGGCCTCCCAAAGTGCTGGGATTACAGGCGTGAGCCACCGCGCCCGGCCAAAAACATTTTTCTTAGAATAAAATGCTTGGCATGGATCGTTGTTCTCAATCCATTTCAGTGATCACATCTGAATTTGGAGGGAGAATCTCAAATCCTAAATACGTGATCTTGTCTCCTCTGTCCATCACAATGTCCCAGAAATGCCAACATTTCAAAGCCTACCTCTCCCAAACTGCCCAGAAACCTTGACAGACTGTTTTTATTTGGAAAATGTGTGATTTCCCACCTCACCTGGGCCTCAGAGGCAGGTTTCTTCCCTTTACCTGATCACATCTCTCTCCGTTGCCACATCAGCCGTTTCACGCATTTTCCACATCACTTTCCTCAGGCCACCCTCTCGTTTGGTGGGGGAGTGACTTCTTACATTATTTCCCCCTCCATTGTATAGAAAATAGAGACTCTCAAGTAAGGGGTTGGAGAAGCATAGCTCAGAGGACTTTTCTGGCAATGTGAAGGAATTTCCTGCTATTATTGACTTTTTGGATACCAGATAATAGGCTTTCAGGGTATGACTTACCATGACCCCATGCTCTGTACCAATACAAAAAAACTCTGCAGTTAAGATAAAAAATGTTTTTTAAAAAATTATAGTAAATTATATATGCCATAAATTTACTATCTTAACCACTCTTAAGCTGACAGTTCACTAGTGTTAAGTACATTCCCATTGTTGTACACCCATCACCACCCTTTTCATCTTCCCAAACTGAAACCCTGTGCCCATTAAACAGTAACTTCCTATGTCTATGTCTGTTCATGCTGCTATAGCAAAATACCCAAGACTGGGTAATTTATAAAGAGAAACTTATTGCTCACAGTTCTGGAGGCTGGGGAATCGAAGATCAAGGCACTAGCCGATTTGGTGTCTGGTGAAGGCTCACTCTGCTTCCAAGACGGTGCCTTGCTGCTGTATCTTTGGGAGGGGAGGAATGCTGCACCCTCACGGGCAGAAGAGATGAAAGGGCCAAAAAAAAAAAAAAGGCAAACTGGACACTCCCTTCAGCCTCTTTTATAAGAGCACTAATCTTATTCAGGAGGACTCCATCCTCATGACTTAATCACTTCCCAAAAGGCCCCACTCTCAATACTGTGACATTGGGTATTAGGTTCCAATGTATGAATTTTGGAGGGACACATATATTCAAATCACTGCACCCCATTTGTCCCACCCTCACCCCTAGCAACCGCCATTCTACTTTCTTTCTGTCTCCTTTCTGAATTTGACTACTCTAGGTAGTATCTCATAAATAGGTGCAATTATACAGTATTTGTCCTTCTGCCACTGGCTTATTTCACTTAGCGTAATGTCCTCAAGCTTCATCTATGTTGTAATATGTCAGAATTTCCATCCTTTCTAAGGTTGATAATAGTCCATTATATGGATATACCACATCTTGTTTACTGATTCATCCACCCATGGACTTTTGGGTTGCTTCTACCTTTTGTCTGTTGGGAACAATGTTATGAATATGGGTGTACAAAATAGCTCTTTGAGATTCTGCTTTTCATTCTTTTGGATATATACTCAGAATGGAAGTTCTGAATCATATATGGGGATTCTATTTTTAATGTTTTTTCCAGAAACCTTCATACTGTTTTCCATAGTGGCTGTACCATTTTACATTCCTACCAACAGTGCACAAAGTTCCCACATCCTGGCCAACACTTGTTATTTTCCCTGTTTTTGATAGTAGCCATCCTAATGGGTGTGAGGCAATATCTCATTGTGGTTTTTATTTGGATTTCCCTAATGATTCATTATTTTGAGCATCTTTTCATGTGCTTGTTGAAATTTTGACATAATATTTTAAAAAGTCAAAGTTAATGCCACAAAAATCCATGATGATGAAAATATCACAATTTCAAATAAAGACAGGCTCCAACAAGACTCTGTGAGGCCATATTGGAGCCTGAGGCAAGAGGAGAAATGTGTACCTCTCTATATATATATGTTTTTATTTATTATTTGTAATGATAATTTGTTTCTAGGTTATTAAGTTTAAAGATATTGAACAATTAAAAAGTGTATTAATACATTAAGTTTATTTTGGGAGTATATTTATATCTCTCACTAAAGTTTTTATTCATCACACATACTTTCAAAGTTACTTTCTCACATTTCTTATAATTTACAACTCTGAATTGAAAATGAAATAAATAGACTTAGAACATACTTGTTAATTGATGAATTTGTTTCCATCAAGATTAGGAGTGTAAAATAATAACAAATTCTGTTTTGGTACAAATAAAATAATGTAAATTATTTAAATTAAAAACATTCCTACTTTTTAATTTTCTAGTATTTTTTCAACTACTTTAGTGTTCTGGGAAAAAATTACCCATTGCAAATCCATGCCATCATGTGTGCAGGGGTACACATCGCATTGCTCCCCTTTGCCTCTGCCTCCAACATGGCTCCATGTGGCCCTGCTCAGCAGGCCCCTCCCCACCTTCTAACACCATCCACTTTCCTCTTCCACATGCACCTCGTTTTCAACCTCTGTCTGAATGTCTGCCATCTCTTGGGCCATGTGAACTTGCTCTCATGTAAGCTCTGGAAGATGCTCCTTTGCTTCCCTGCTTCCTTCCATGTAAACATTACCTTTCTGGGAAGCCTTCCGTGGCCAGTGTCTCCCGTCTGCCCTTTTAGGCTGCTTGTTGAGGCATCTGCTGCAGCATACAAGCCATAGACAGGACAGTACCTTTTAATGGTAATTTGGGAAGGTCCAGAAACCAGAGCAGGCAAGAAGTTCTGTTCACAAACTCCTGTATGCTAGAGAGATCCATTAAAAATTCCATAATTGTATTTTTTCATGAGCTCGCCCGTATTTTCTTACACACTGGGGGAAAACTTGCAGAATTCCTGTTTTTCCCTGCTGCGTATGCCCCCTGAGCCCAGGAAGCACAGAGTGATGACAAATATGTGTGGGGCGGGGGCGCGGATCTCATAATATTCATGACATGGTCTCCACCATCTGCACCTCCTGAAGCAAATCTCGATGTTTCCAGAAAGGAATAATTACTCACCTGCGTGAGGGTGGGGCTAGGTTGCTGGCCTGCGCTGGGCTCCCAGGCCCTTGGTGCAGCTACTTGGCTGGGTGGTCAGAATCCCAGGGCCCCAAAAGCTGAGTGCCTGAACCTGGGTACGTGGCGGTTGTCTCAGCTTTTACTTCCAGGGATGACTGTGAGAGGTGACAGCGTGCTGGCAGTCCTCACAGCCTCGCTCACTCTCAGTGCCTCCTCTGCCTGGGCTCCCACTTTGGCGGCACTTGAGGAGTCCTTCAGTCCGCCGCTGCACTGTGGGAGCCCATTTCTGGGCTGACCAAGGCCGGAGTCGGCTCCCTCAGCTTGCAGGGAGGTGTGGAGGGAGAGGCACGAGCGGGAGCCGGGGCTGCGCGTGGAGCTTGCAGGCCAGCTGGAGTTCCGGGTGGCTGTGGGCTTGGCAGGCCCCGCACTCGGAGCAGCCGGCCGGCCCTGCCGGCCCCAGGCAATGAGGGGCTTAGCACCCAGGCCAGCAGCTGCGGAGGGTGTACTGGGTCCCCCAGCAGTGCCGGCCCACCGGAGCTGCTCTCGATTTCTCGCCAGGCCTTAGCTGCCTTCCCGCGGGGCAGGCCTCGGGACTGCAGCCCGCCATACCTGAGCCTTCCCCCGCCTCCGTGGGCTCCTGTGCAGCCCAAGCCTCCCCGACGAGCGCCACCCCCTGCTCCACGGTGCCCAGTCCCATCGACCACCCAAGCGCTGAGGAGTGCGGGCGCACGGTGCAGGACTGGCAGGCAGCTCCACCTGAAGCCCCTGTGTGGGATCCACTGGGTGAAGCCAGCGGGGCTCCTGAGTCTGGTGGGGACGTGGAGAACCTTTATGTCTAGCTCAGGGATTGTAAATACACCAATCGGCACTCTGTGTCTAGCTCAAGGTTTGTAAACACACCAATCAGAACCCTGTGTCTAGCTCAGGGTTTGTGAATGCACCAATTGACACTCTGTATCTAGCTACTCTGGTGGGGCCTTGGAGAACCTTTGTGTGGACACTCTGTATCTAGTTAATCTAGTGGGGACGTGGAGAACCTTTGTGTCTAGCTCAGGGATTGTAAACGCACCAATCAGCGCCCTGTCAAAACAGACCACTCGGCTCTACCAATCAGCAGAATGTGGGTGGGGCCAGATAAGAGAATAAAAGCAGGCTGCCCGAGCCAGCAGTGGTAACCCCCTCAGGTCCCCTCAGGCTGTGGAAGCTTTGTTCTTTCGCTCTTTGCAATAAATCTTGCTACTGCTCACTCTTTGGGTCCATACTGTTTTCATGAGCTGTAACACTCACCGCAAAGGTCTGCAGCTTCACTCCTGAAGCCAGCGAGACCACAAGCCCACCGGGAGGAACGAACAACTCCAGAAGCGCCGCCTTAAGAGCTGTAACACTCACCGTGAAGGTCTGCGGCTTCACTCCTGAGCCAGCGAGACCACGAACCCACCAGAAGGAAGAAACTCCGAACACATCCGAACATCAGAAGGAACAAACTCCAGATGCTCCACCTTAAGAGCTGTAACACGCACCGCGAAGGTCCGTGGCTTCATTCTTGAAGTCAGTGAGACCAAGAACCCACCAATTCCGGACACAACCGCATGCCTTAGAGATTCTCCTTCCTCCCAGCACTGACCCATCCCATCCAGGAATGCTCACCAGCCTCAGATGAGTTCCCCTCCCTGGGCAGAGCAGGATCTTTGGCTTGGATTTACAGAGTGCAGGAGATTTAGTCTGGCAGATGCTGCTGACCGGAAGCTGCCACTCATCTTCTAAGCCTCTCCTCCTCGTAGCTGTCCTTCCCCTTGGCTTTCAGCCCAGCATTGGCTGGATCCCTGCCCCTGTTACCACTCCTGGGGCACTGAATGGGGGAGGTGGGTGTTCCGTTAAGGAGGCAGCACCTTCCCTCCCATACTTCTCTGTGTGAAGGTATTCCTGCCTCTTTCTCTCTTTATGATGGGCTTGGCTGTCTGCTGGAGAGGGTAAGGGGCACCAATGGGACATAGATTATTATGGGACCAGAGCGATGCTCCCTTTTGGTGCTCCTCTGAACCACCCAGCCCCCAGCAGCTTGTCTTCCCTTCTCTGTTAATAAGCGTGGATTTTCTTCATGGCCTGTGTCTACCATGAAATATTAATATTCATCTTACCCATAAGCAAAATAAGACAGAGTCACATTGAGCTTCCCTGAACTCTAGGAATTTTCCTTGGAAAAGATCCCTTTCCAAGACTGGGCAGCATTTTCCCCATTCTTGCCTTGGGGTCTCAGTTTCCCCTGTCCACAGTCTTGTGGCATGTGCCCCAGGCCCCCTCACCAATGGCCAGTTAAGAGGTGAGCCTGATGGGCAGGTAGCAGGGTCACATTGCCTTGGCACCTGGCTCTCAGGGAATCTGTTGGACAGTCCTCCTACCCAACTTCCGGAAGCCTTTTAAACATGGCAGCCGCCCATTGACTGTGGTGACACTTTTCATCTGCTCTGGTTGGCAGGGTTTCATGTGGTGCTGCTGAAGGAGACCTTTTTGCTTCAGAATCTGAAACAGAGGCCTGAAAAATCATCTTCTATGCCTCTCTGTTTCTGTGTGTATGCGTCTGTTTTGCACTGCGATAAAGGAACACCTGAGGCTGGGTAATTTATAAAGAAAAGAGGTTTATTAGGCTCAGCGTTCTGCAGGCTGTGCAAGCAGGGCACCAGCATCTGCTCAGCTTCTGGTAAGGCCTCAGGAAACTTCCGAAAGCCTTTTAAATATGGCAGAAGGCAAAGGGGGAGCCAGTGCATTACGTGGAGAGAGAGGGAGTGAGAAGGGGGAGGACTCAGACTCTTCTTAACTATCACATCTCATGGAAACTCATTACCACAGAGAGGGAGGGCACCAAGTCATTCAGGAGGGATCTGCCCTTGTCACCCACACACCTTCCACCAGGCCCCATCTCTGATACTGGGAATCACATGTCAACATGAGATGTGGAGAGGACAGACATCCAAACTCTTATCACTGGGCATTCTTGGGAGTCAGGGAAACTCATCTTTTAAGCAAACTCTCAAGTGGCCTTCCTGCTGGCCACTTCACACCTGACCAGGGCTTAAAAGTATTCTGTGATATTCTTTGAACCTTAATCTTACCATGATGTTCTCCAAGTCAGCAGTGACTTCCAGGAGGCCACACCCCTCTCTGCCCACCAGTTAGTCATGGTCTTAGCTGTCCCCTCCGGAAGAACTGGCTCCAGTGCATTGGTTGTGTAGGTGACACTGCCTGAGGTCCTGGCAGACCCAAGTGAGGCCCCCTAAGTGGCAGATTTGAATTTCTGGTCACCAAAACAAGGCCGATTACTTACTTTGATTTCTAGAATTCAGTTTAATTTTTTATTCCAGTCTCCTCTCCTCTGGTTGGGTGGGAAATAAAGCTCAGTCCTTGTCCCCATCCCGAGCTTTACCCACAGTTTGGAGACCCTAGGCAGTGTTTATGCATCAGGAGGTGGGGTCTAGTCGTTGGATATCTGTTCTGGAAAATCACACCATAAATACCCCTTGTCCCTGCCTTATTGCCGCTTCAGGCTGAACAGCTCTCTGCTGCTCCCGTGCTGGGCTGTGGATGTGAAAATCTTTTGTAGACCCTGCCCCGCCTCCCTGGATTCCCCCCATGCAGGCTTCCTCCCAGGGTGCTGCAAAGAACTGAGGCCAGTTCCTGTCTTCTCTTGGGGCCTGTCTCCTGTTCTCCCCCAAGCCAAAGGCAGGCTCCCTTTTATCTGAGAAAAAGCCTGGCTCCTTCCAGCTTCTTCAAAGCTACCTGCTTTGTAAACCGTAATACCTCTCCTAGGGGTTCAGGCTTAAAAAAGCCTGAATGTCTTGCAGCCTACTTCATCTTTCTACACTGCCATAGGCCTCCCTGGGGGCAAGTTTGCAATGAGCCTGGTATCTGCTCAAGTGTGGAGGAGGAGATAGAGAGGGGAAAACAGATGATCCTCGCAGAATATGATCCATCCATGTGCATAAATGTGACCTTCTGTAAGTGCCAGAGGCATGATGTTAAACCCTAACAGATGGCTCTTCTGTGGAGGTGGAGACCACTGAGATAACTTAATTAGTTACTCTGTTTTTTGATGTTCTAAAACAACACTTCAAGAATAGATGTTGGAGAATGGTAAATGAAGAGCTGGCAGTCTCTTGAGTGAGGCATGCAGCTCTAGAGTACGATTGGGAAGCCACTGGCCATACGTGGCTGGAGAGCACTCGGAATGGAGCGAGTCCAAATTGAGACGTGCTGTGAAAGTACAATACACACTAGATTCCAAGGACTTAGTGTAAAACATATCAATTATCACGTTAACAATTTTAAATTTAGAGGATAAATCAAAACGATAATACGTATATGTTGAGTTATATCAAATATATATATATTTGTTTGTTTTGAGAGGGAGTCTCTCTGTCACCCAGGCTGGAGTGCAGTGGCATGATCTTGGCTCACTGCAACCTCCATCTCCTGGGTTCAAGTGATTCTCCTGCCTCAGTCTCCTCAGTAGCTGGGATTACATGCGCCTGCCATCACGCCAGGCTAACTTTTGGATTTTAGTGGAGACGAGGTTTCACCATGTTGGGCAGGCTGGTCATGAACTCCTGACCTCAAGTGATCCACCAGCCTCGGCCTCCCAAAGTGTTGGGATTACAGGCGTGAGCCACCATGCCTGGCCAAGTTATATCAAGTATATTAATAAAATTAAGTTCACCTGTTTCTTTTTACTTTCTAAACTGTAGCTACTAGAAAATTTAAAGTTATATATGTGGTTCACATCGTATGTCTATTGGGTAGCACTGCTCTAGCTGTGTACCCCTGAGCATCTTATTTAAGTTTTCTGCCTTATTTTCTTCATCTGTAAAATGGGAATAATATGTTGTTTCTATTATGCTATATTAGCTGTGTTACATGGTGGGGAGGCAGAGAGGAATGAGGCACTGTCCTATATTCAGGGAACTCAAATATAGTAAAATAAAAAAAACCTGGGCTTTGGAGTCAGACCTGTATGAATTTGTCACTTATTAGCTGTGTGATTTCAAGGTACTTAGCTTAACTAACTGGAGCTTTAGCTTTCTTTTCTTTTCTTTTCTTTTTTTTTTTTTTTTTGAGACATGGTTTGCTGTGTCACCCAGACTGGAGTGCAGTGGCACCATTATAGCTCACTGCAGCCTCAACCTCCTTTGCTCAAGCAATCCTCCCCTCTCAGCCTCCCGAGTAGCTGGGACTACAGGTGTGCACCACTATGCCTGGCTACATTTTTTTAAATTTTTTGTAGAGACTGGGGTCACTATGTTGTCCAGGCTGGTCTCAAACTCCTGGCCTCAAGCAATCCCCCCACCTTGGCCTCTTGAAGTGCTGGGATGGCAGGCTGCTTTCTCCTTTATGAATGGGGTAATAATGTTAATAATGTTTACCTTATAGGTTGTTAGGAATATATCTCTATATAAGAATATATATTAATACATGTATGTATGCATATATATGTATGGATGGATGGATATATATGTATGTATGCATGGTTATATGTGTATACATGCATATATATGAAAAATGTTTTCTATGGTCTCTAGCACACAGTTAACCAATCAATAAATTATAGTTGTCATTATTGTCATAACCATCATCATTTGCAGTTACCCTGTTAATGTTATTATCACTAGGTAAACAACTTAAAAACTAAGTCTTATTATCTTTACTTCTCTTCTGTAATCCTAATTCCTACTTTTTTTTTTTAGTTCTATCACTAAATATATTGTACTCAGTTCCCAATTCGAGTCCATTCCATTTACTTTGGTTTCCTGAGTTCTCTCTTGGTTGGCTGAAGTTCCTCTTCTAGTCATTCCTTCGAGAAGGGCTTCCTTCCATTCAAGGAATAATGGTGCCCATAGGGTTTTCTTTCTTTCTTTTTTTTTTTTTTAATTGAAATGGAGTCTTGCTCTGTGGCCCAGGCTGTAGTGCAGTGGTGTGATCTCGACTCACTGCGACCTCCTGCTCCCAGGCTCAAGCTATTCTCCTGCCTCAGCCTCCCAAATAGCTGGGCTTACAGGTGGCTGCCACCACGCCTAGGTAATTTTTGTATTTTTAGTAGAGACGGGGTTTTGCCATGTTGACTAGTCTGGTCTTGAACTCCTGACCTCAGGTGATTCACCCACCTCGGCCTCCCAAGTGCTGGGATTACAGGCATGAGCCACCGCGTTATCCCCAGAGTTTTCGAATGTCCTTTTCTGCAGTCTTTACACACTGAAAGGACAGCCTGGCTGCTACAATGCCCTTGGCTCACTTTTCTCCCTTGAGTGGCTCAGGAGCTGTGCTCCCACATCCTCTCTGCTGCATGCTGCTGAGGAGAAATCTGAGGCCAGCTCGATTAGTTTTTCTTTTGTGAGTGACTTTATCTTTTTGCCTGGTTGCCCCCAAAATTCTTTTTTGATCTTTAAAGTCCATTAAGTGTTAGGATTTGTCTCAATGCTGGCTGCTGTGGTCGATTTTCCCTGGCCTACAGTGTACCCTTTCCGTCTGTATACTCCAGACTTCTATTTTAGACAAGATTCCTTGGATTGTATCTTTAAATATTTGTCCTGTTCCATTTTATTCTTATTTTAAATTGGACAAATATATTACATGTTGCTTTGTATGTGCCAGGCACTCTTCCAGCCTCTTACCAAATTCCAGCTCACTCAATCTTCATAACATACCCCCATGGAGTAGGTACTATTATTATTTTCATTTTAGTGATGGAGAAACCGAAACAGAAGGTGGTTGAGAAACTTGTCCAAATTCACATAACTATTAATAGCACATGGCAGAGTCAGGATTCAAACTCAAGACTGTTCTCATAACCATTGCATTATGCTGGTTTTCTTCAGAGACTCATTTTATCTGTCTGGTGTATCTCCTTTAACAGTCTTCTACATCTATTATTTTCTCTCTGACATTTTTAAGCACTTTATTTCTGCCTGCGTTCACCCTCTGTGGTTTCTCACAGTGAGTTCCATAGCACTTTTTTTCATTGAGCTTACATCAATTTCATCTTAACTGCTGTGATTTTTTTTCCTCTTTCCTGAGTGTTTTTTTTTTGAGACAGGTTCTCACTCTGTTGCCTAGGCTGGAATGCAGTGACGTGATCAAAGATCACTGCAACCTTAAACTCCTGGGTTCAAGGGATCTTCCTGCCTCAGCCTTCTAAAGCCCTGGGACTACAGGCACGTGCCACTATGCCCAGATAATTTTTTATTTTTGCAGAGATTAGGGTTGGGTTTTGGGGGGATCTCGCTATGTTTTCCAGGCTGGTCTCAAACTCCTGGCCTCAAGTGATCTTCCTGCCTTGGCCTCTCAAACTGCTGGGATTACAGGTATGAGCCACTGCACCTAGCCCTTTCCTAATTTTTTTTTATATTTCATCTTTTCTTGTTGCCTTTCCGTGTCATTTTTGAGTTCTTGAATTTCTGCTTTGTGTTCTTTCCTCAGGGAGATGATGGCTTCATATAGATATTTAATTCACAGAAAAAATGTTGGATCGTAATTGTAAGGACTCCTTGGTAACATTTTTAGTGAGTGTTCTTCTTCTCTTGGTAGTTTTACTGCTCTTTTCCGCATAAGTTTCTTATAGTATCCTTGTTTGGATGCTATGTATCAGCTTCCATTTATTGATCACCATGGAATGGACACAAGCTATCTGCAGGCATGTCCTAGGGGAGGAAAGGTAGGGAAGGGGCTAAGATAGCCATCTATGCTTCACAACTCAGGGGCTCTCTGCTTTTTTGCTGCTGCAGGGACAGAGTGGTTCCTGCATATAAGTTTGTTCTGGGTGATGCTTTGCGAAGCCCTACCTCTTTGCCTCTCTTAACCAAGTAGGCAGATTTTGCTGTCAGCACTTGTCATTGAGGTTCTAGCATCCAGGTTGCCAACAAGGCTCACCTTTGACTGTGGGTGAGGCACCCCCCACTTCCTCAGAGCTGCCACAGCCCTTTTGACCACTCTGGGTACACATTCTCTGTGCTTTCTTCTGCATTGCTTCTGTCCCATCTCAGCTGTTCTCCATAGCCCTTATCAGTATGTTATTTTTGTCTCCTAGTTTAGAGGAAAAAAGGTGTTTGTGTTTTCTTTTCCACTCTCATTTACCCTCATAATTTCTAGAAAAGGGAAACAGTATTGACTTATATAGCTTCGTTCATCCTGGAAGTAAAGGCTAAGTATAAACGTTCCAAGATGTATGAAGGCGTGGGCTCTAAGAGCAAATGTGGAACCTGATGTCTTCATCAACTGTGTGGAGTGGACAGTGTCAGCCACTTTTTTTGGTCATAGGGTTATGTGGCATACATTATGTTGCCACTCATTTAAATAAAATTGATAAAGTATCATTTGAATACTTAGCCCATCTATTCTTAATTTCGCAAATTCCAAAATAACTTTTGAAAGCATGATATACAATTGTGGTGTTTTAAAAGAGAATGTAATTTGTAATATTAGAAAATAACTTTCATCCTTTGTTTTGTTCTCTTACTACTACATCAGATATCTCCTGATGTAATTAATTAGAAACCATGATGTTTCTAATTATTGGACCAGGGAAGTGTTGCTTGGTGCATGCATACATTATCTCATTAGTATGAGGCTGGGGGTCTGAATCCAGGCTGTCAGGAGCACCTGACTATATTGCACTCTCCAGACATAATATAGACGATTTGGAAAATATGGAGAAGAGAGGAAAAGAAACATTCTTGCCATCCAGATATTTACACCGTTGGATATTTTGGTATATTTCCTACAGGTCTTCTCACTATATACTTAAAAATAATTAAGGCATAAATATATTATTGTACAAATTGAATATTGAATTTTCTACTTAATATAGAATCAAGTATTTTCCCACATTACTATAAAATTTTTGTAGTTGACATTAAAAATATCAAATACTTCATTAAAGTTCTATATTAGAGTTTTGTCGATCATTTCCTATTAGATATTTGGGTAATTTCAATTTTCTTTTGCTATCAGAGATCATACTGCACTTATCTTTTTTGGGGTGTATTTTTTTTCTTTTTTTAATTATTATTATACTTTAAGTTCTAGGGTACATGTGCACAACGTGCAGGTTTGTTACATATGTATACATGTGCCATGTTGGTGTGCTGCACCCATTAACTCGTCATTTACATTAGGTATATCTCCTAATGCTATCACTCCCCCCTCCCCCCACCCCACGACAGGCCCCTGTGTGTGATGTTCCCCTTCCTGTGTCCAAGTGTTCTCATTGTTCAATTCCCTATTCAGTTCCCTATGAGTGAGAACATGCGGTGTTTGGTTTTTAGTCCTTGCAATAGTTTGCTGGGAATGATGGTTTCCAGCTTCATCCATGTCCCTACAAAGGACAGGAACTCATCCTTTTTTATGGCTGCATAGTATTCCATGGTGTATATGTGTTGTGTGGTGTATTTACTCCTGTAGTTTAGATTTTTTAAAACATAAATTTCTGATAGTGAAAATACTGAATCAAAATGTTTGAACATTGTGGGGTAATCTCTCATGTTGAATTGCTTTCCAAAAAATACTTTAAGACAATATAATTCACACCCATTTCACAGAACCTGAATTAGCATAAAAATAGTATCTCATTGTTTCCATCTGAATTTCTTTGATGAAGAAATTCGTGTCAATTAGTATTAAACAGTAGTGAAGTTGAACATTTTTGGATTTGTTAACTTCTTTTGTAAACTGCCTGTTTGTCTATTACCCTTTTACTTGCGGGGGTCTTGTGTTTCTTATCACATTGTGTGAACAGTCTTTGGTGTATTACATATGGATAATTTATGTTGGTCATTGTGTTCCTTTTCATTTTGGCTGTTTTTTATAGGCAACCATAAAATTTGCACAGTAACTGTAATCTATAAATCCTGCAGTTCCTTCGTAACTGTATTTCTTCTCCTTTTGGTTCTTTATTGCCTGAGTTTAAAACAAAAGCAAAAATTGTTTTGGTCCTTCTAGATTTATTTTGAAGTATGGTGTGATGTGGGAATATAAATGGATTTTCCCTAAAATATGTAACAACTGCCTTCACACCACTCATGCACCCTTTCTCCACTGACCTCTGTGCTACCCTTTGTAATATATTATATTCTTCTATATGACACTTGCTCCTGGACCATCTGCTGTGCTTCAGGGCTCTTTCTCTTTCTAGTCTGAGGTTGGTCATGACCATTTGACCATGATTTGTTTTTCCACCTACCCTTATATTTATCATAGATGTGAAGAATGGGCTTCACGTTATCCAAATAAACGTTCATCTTGAATGTTGCTTGCTGGACTGACTCTTCTAAGGGGAGTGCACATGTGTGCTTGGTTTCTGTGCTGTCTCATTCAAGGCACACTATTTTTCTCATAGTATTTACTGACATTCTAAGCTTTTTGGGTTTTGCTCCAAATACATTTTTCTTCTCTCTTCTTTGGTTTATTGACATAATTTGGTTAGCTCCAGTGATATACTTTGAAAGAAAAAAGATTGAGCTGTATCAGCAGTTTGCTTACTGCAGCTTTGCTTTTTGGTGTATTAAAGCCTTAAACATTTTGAAACAATAATATTATTGTTACTGGTGGAGGGCGTCCAGGTCCTTGGCATTTTGAAGAAAGAATTGGACAAAACTCACAAACAAAGCAAGGGAAAAATGAAGCAACAAAAGCAGGGATTTATTGAAAACGAAAGTACCCTCCACAGGATGTGAGCTGGCTGAGCATAGGGGCTCCAGAGCCCAGTTACAGAATTTTCTGGTGTTTAAACACCCTCTAGAGGTTTCTCATTGGCCGCTTGATGTACACCCCATGCAAATGAAGTAGTGGCCTGCAGTCAGTCTGATTGGTTGTGGAAAGAAACCAGTCAGAAGCTGACATGAAGTTGCAAAGTTTACACCTTATGCAAACGTTTGATTGATTGTGGAAAGCAACCAGTCAGAAGTACTTTCAATTTTCCATCCGCCAGGCAAAAAAGGTGTGTGAGGGTGGGGTTTGCAAAGGGAGTACCTCTGGTTCTTCTGTTACTTAGGTTTGGAAAGTTGGGGTTTCCTTTTGATTTAGTTCTAGGAAGTCACTGTGAATCGGCCTTAGGTTCCCTGCCTCCAGACCCTATTCCCCCGCCTCATTATCAATTATCAACTGGAGATTTAAAAAGCTATAATTGTTTTTGAAAGTTTTCAAAGTACTTTGGACTGCTCTAACCTAAATTACTAAAGCCTAGATAAACAGATAGATGCATTGCTACAAGTTCTGATTTCATTTAATTTTGATGTTTGATACTCATTGGTAAGTAGATATTTGTATGAATCTTCATTTCTTATAATGAGTTTGATAAATAAATTGTAAGGGTGTCTGCAAATAAATTAGTTATATATGAATTATTATCAACTTTTAGGCCTCATATTTTAGGATAGTTCCTTATATCAATGCTTCTTCTGAGGAAAACAAAAAGTAGTTGTAGGCTGAGAGCAATTTTATCTCCTTTGTTGCTTCATTGTAAAGGCAAAAATAGATGTATCATCATGTAAAAGTATTTATTTATTCTGTGCTTGCTTTAGATTCCTATAGGTACATTAATTCCTTGGAGGGATTTCTCCCGAAAGTTTTTTCTGTGTTTGTTTTTCCAGGACTGCTCTTTCCAGGTGATGGAAAGCTTTTCCAGTGTTTTGACTCTGACAACGTGAGCCGCTTAGGTGGTGCATTAGGTAGTGCATTACATTTTACGTTTTTCTTATATTGTCCTTCAGGAGTTCGTGGTCATTCTTCTTTGACTATAAAGAATATGAAGGCAGAGGACAGGAAGCAGACTCAGGTTCATAGCACCTGCTGAGTCAGGAGCCCTCTGAGCACTTGTGCAGAGGTGGCTCTGATGTGATGGTGGTGCCTGCCCACTAGGGATCAAGTGAAATTGCCTCGAACCTTGATTCTGTGGCTTGGTGGTGTCTAAAGACCCTTTTGCCCAATTTCTGTGAACTTCTAGAGCAGGAGGCATACTCTTCTATTCCCATCACCCTCTGGGATCCTGTGCCTGCCTACATGGTGTCTGGTTTCCCCACATTAGTCTGGAAGAAAATTCTATTCTAGACTGTCTATTCTAAAATTCGATTCATCTCCGCACCATCCTCTGACAGTCTGTAGGTGTGATTTTAACAGATGCCACTGACTCTCTGGAGGGTGAGGAAGGACTGACATATATCCTCCCTGGTTCCTCCCTTCTATTTCCGTTTGCCTTCTGAAGCTTCTCACCTTTTCAAGAGCAAAACATGCCACTGAGTCTTCTCGCCACCTGATGGCATATATCTTGCACTTGAGGTTTGCTGAGCTTCTTGTACCTGTTGGTTTACAGTTTTCATCAAATGTGGAAATATGTCAGCCATTATTTCTTGATCACAGGTCTACATGTCACCTGCAGTTTGATTAACATGGAATGGACTCTCCTTTAACTAGTGCTAATTTTTTTTTTTTTTTGAGATGGAGTCTCTGTTGCCCAGGCTGGAGTTCAGTGGTACGATCTCTGCTCACTGCAACCTCCACCTCCTGGGTTCAAGCGATTGTCCTGCCTCAGCCTCCCGAGTAGCTGGGATTACAGGCATCCGCCATGATGCCCAGCTAATTTTGTATTTTTAGTAGAGATGGAGTTTCATCATTTTGACCAGGCTGGTCTCTTACCTTTAGTGATCCGCCTGCCTCGGCCTCCCAAAGTGCTGGGATCACAGGTGTGAGCCACCGCTTCCAGCAATCCAGGGTATATTCGTATTGTGGTGAATGCATGAGCTTGAGCTGAGGCCCGCTATGTGCCACATTTAAGGCCCCCACTCATGTCATATCCAGTTGGCCAGAGCCAGTCACATGTTCATGTCCTACAGCAATGGGTGGGGAGGTCTACTCCACTCACACGGAGGTGGGGAGGAAAGTGAACGTTTGATGAACAGTTGTGATTCCTTTTTTGGCTTGGAGACAGTGTTTGCTGGAAGGTGAATCAACTTTGGGATCAGACCTGGATTCAAATCTGAGTTTTGCCACTAAATACTTGTGTGACCTTGGGCAAGTTACCTAATCTTTCTGAGCTATGTTTCCTCATTTATAAAAATCGGAATAATAACATCTACTTTGTACAGTTTCTGGGAGAATTAAAGCATACGACACACATGGAAATGTCTAGCACAAAATTGACATTCCATTAATGGTAGTTTCCTTTTTTTCTTCTTGGGATTCCAAGTGGGTTTTGTTGTAGATATTGGTTCTGGAAAGTGAAATAATCCAAAAGGATTTGGCAGCCTGTGTCACAAAGAGCATTTTTCTAATGGTCATGGTAGTAACCAGTTTATTTGCATGCATAACGATGGATGAATTGTAATTTGGAACAAGGGAGTGAATACTGTACTGTTAAACTTTGTTCTTATGGGAAATGAGTCCATCTGTCAAGGTGGATCCTAGGAGTAGGCCGCAGGGGCCTTTCTAGAGGAAATCAGGAGTGCCTGTCCTTCCTCTACCACAACTAGAATCTGACTCAGTGGTAAGTAGGGTTATGCCATGGGGCCTGTTCTGGGTGTGAATTTCACCTACTTCTCTGTTGTCAGACTGAGCTCAGTAAGAAGTGTAAATGGTGCAATAATATTTATAAATTGAACATGGTAATTTTCAATTCTCAGAAGCTTTCATGGAGGCATGGATTGTCCCACATGTGGGCTGGGCTTGATGCTGTTTTGGGGAAGGAACTTTAACTGCTGGTTAAAGCTCTCCAGGGACTGTGTCTTTAAGGCAGACAGTCCCAATCTTCTGAGCAGCTGCTTTTTAGGTTGTGAAGGTCCTGTCGGCACAGGAGGAGGGAGTCTATTTAGTGGTTTGGGGACTCCTTCTCAGTAAGGAAAAAGACTTCTGATCTCTTGGGTTTGGAGAAGGCTTCATCTTTTATTTTGGTTCTCTTCCTGTATATCCTTGAAAATTTACTTAAACTGAAATAGTAAGTATGGATTAGTAAAATTACATTAGAGTAAACATCTTCCCTGAGGTCCTGGCATCAGGCTAAAAGAGGTAAACAATTTTGGCATTGATGCATCTAGCTCAGGATCTAGACTCAGCAGTGGAACGAACAGTGGACTTTTCTGAGATGGTGTGATGTCAGGCTTCTCAGACTTGGTGGTGGGATGAGCACCCAGGCTGAAAGCCATGGTCAGAACTCTATGCTGTCACTTCAAGCCAGAGCTTTGTACTTTATACACAAGGGAGAAGAGGAGGCACATTGCAAATGGTGCATATTTTCAACTTTAAGGTGGTTTCATGTATACAACCCAAAGTACCAACAACACAGAACCCTCTCACAGTTTGGTAGACCAGCGTTGGACGACATGGCATACCTTTCACCCTTTCACTTCTAGGCCTACCCCACCCACGACAGGCGTCACTAATCTGTCCATCATTGCTCTCGTCTCTAGCCTGTACTCACCTGGCTTCATCTCCTCTCAGCTCAGCCCTCTGGCCAGCCCCTGCTCATTGTTTAGAACTATCAAATAGCACTCGCTCTGCTCACTATCATATTTTGCTTATGGGACAAGAGAAAGGCTGCAATGAATGAATCAAAAGAATAAATATTAGGTAATAGCAAAAGGTAATGTTTTTCTGAGAGTAGTTTTGTTTGTGTCCAGTACTCCTGGCAAATGTCCTTAGAACAGCTACTATACTCTACCAGTATTATTCTTAAGTCCAAAAATATTGTAGCTGTAAAAATGTGGGTGATTCTACCTTCAGAAACTGTGCTTTTTGTGTTGGTGGAGAAAAATGCATGAACTAAGACTAAATATTATGAAACTGAGTTTTATTTACATAAGGACACATTCAGGCTGCTATGCTTAAAGGGAAAAAATAACCAAGTCATGTTCCTGGCAGACACCTGTGATCTCTAATTAGGTATTTAGAGTGTATTGGCCCATCACTTAGGCTTGGCATTGCTTCTTTGTTTCTAATCTCCAATTTAATTTAGAAGCACTGATTGGTGCCTGTTTATGGCTTACTGGCAGCGGGAGATTCTTTCAGAAGTCTCCTTCCTTCCAGCTAAAATTCAGTTGAATTCAGCGGATGGAGCCGGAGCGGCTGTGCATCCAAAATTGTTGCCACGTTGCAACTGACAAGGCTGAGAGACTTTAATTCCCTTCAAAGTCCTGCCCCTTGTAACAGTGGGCTGCCTTGGATTTCTTTTCTATTTTTTTAAATCTCTTGAGACAGTCTCGCTCTGTCACCCAGGCTGGAGTGCAATGGCGCAATCTCGGCTCACTGCAACCTCTGCTTCCAGGGCTCAAGCGATTCTCCTGCCTCAGCCTCCGGAGTAGCTGGGATTACAGGCGCCTGTCACCACGCCCAGCTAATTTTTGTATTTTTAGTAGAGACGGGGTTTCACCATGTTGGCCAGGCTGGTCTCAAACTCCTGACCTCAGGTGATCCACCAGCCTCGGCCTCCCAAAGTGCTGGGGTTACAGGTGTGAGCCACCGCGCCCAGCAGGATTTCTTTCTACTGCTCTGACATAGCCCTCTGGTTAGTTAACAAGCATTTATTAAACATCTCCTGTGTGCTTTAGAAACTTACTAGGGTTGAGGAGGAGGAGATTCAAAAGGAATAAAAGACAAGGTTCCCAGTCGGCGGGGAGCCCCAGATTCTCAGAATGTCATTTTTGCTTCTGCCTTATGACTTAGGGGTTGTTCCTTCCCTCCATTACTGCAGGATCCCAATTAGCTTAAGAACTGTCCACCTGCACCTTGCCCTCTTCCCTTAGCGCACACATTTATCTGAGGTGTTTGCAGATCTCGTTTTCCCAACTAAGGAGAGTAAGCCCCTAAGCCCAGGGAACCCCTCTGTTCCCACTCCCGTCTTGGGCTTATGTCTGGCATACCTATTTTTATTCTAGGCTCCTGGCTGCACTACGTCTTGTTTAAAGTAGCCCTCTTGACACTGGGCAGGGGTGGGCTCAGCCCAGGGCTTGGGTCAGCCAGTGCAATCAGCTCCTTAGAATTGTACTGAAATAATCAAGGGAATCCGGGCATCCTGCATCACCTAACACACGGGGCAGAGAGAAACCCTCAAAACTCTTAAACATGAAATTGAATTGCCAGGGAAAAGAGCCAGTGCAGATTTCCGACTGCATTTGAATTTCTGATTTTAGGGTGATGGCTCTGATTCCAGGGTGACAGATCCGTTTCACATTTACTATTGCAAAGTTGGGTGCTGTGCTGGGCTCTGGGGATACAATGATGAAAAAAGGAGGTCCCTCTCTTCAAGGGACCTGTGTTCTGGAATAGCCTATTTGGAAGTCTCGACCAGGTGTCAGGAAGGTACCAGGGAGAGTGGTTACAAAAACAGATAAACATAGTTCTGTCCTCAAGGAAGTCACGGTTTAATGAAGAAGACAAACTTACAGATAGTGGAAGCCCAGCAAGAGCTCTCAGCCTTGATAACCTGGTGGGCCATCCCCGTGGGTGACAGCCGATTCCAATACAGGCAGATCGCTGTGGAGCCAGCAGGTGTGTCACTGCTCACTGGAATGTCACTGGAGCCCCTGACCTTGGGGACACAGCTCACCCACCATCACCACCTGCATCAGAATTACAAACTGGGTGGTTTCAGACGTAGGAAGAGGTAAGTCTATAAGCCCCTTGAAGGAAAACGAAAAGTGATCAACACACAACAGATGGGTTTGCTCACGTAGATCTTGTATCATGAGAATTTTCCAGGATACCCAAGGCCAGCGTTCCAGTGTGGCGGTGGGGAGCTTTGGAGACTAACAGCCTGAAGCTGAATCCTGACCTCACCACTTATTAGTTGTGTGGCCTTGGGCAAATTTCTCTGAGCCTCGGTGTGCTCATCTGTAAAACGGGGATGATGATCTGGACTCAGGCAATTGTTGCAAGTCAATGTGGTAACGTGTTTAAGTTCCCAGCACGGTGGCACATAGTAGATACCTGGTAAATTTTCATTTCCCCTCTTTCTCCTCCATTTATCAGCAGGAAGCAGCCATTATAACATACATCTAAAATAGGTGACACTTAGAACCAGTAGAATGTTATGAAGATATGGATGACAGGTGGCCTGGAATGGGTGTTGGAAGATGGTGTCGGGGGTTCCCAGCACTGTGCAGGGGAAAGGGAGTGCTGCCTTCTCTTGTGAGCATTTCTGTAGGGCAGACACAGGGACATCCAGGCATGAGAATATTGCTCCTGGAAATCACCCAACTTTTTTTTTCTCCAAGAATATTTTGGAGAGTGATCATGTATTTACATGCCTCTCTCACGTCTTAGACTAAAGCTTTGTGAACTTTTGTTGCAAAGAATCACTGGGACGCTTTAAGAATATAGCTCCCTGGGGTTCCACCCTCAGAATGAGTCTGGGGTGGGGCCTAGGAATCTGCACTGACAAGCATTTCAGGGGCGTCTGCCACAGGTTCTGAGGACCACACTCTGGGAAGACCGCACTGGAGTGAGGGCCTCCTCAGAGCTGGGATGGTTTCCTGTTCATTTTGTATTTCCAGTGTCCGGATATAATCGGCAATGATGGGGTGTTGTTGAATAAATGAGTGAATGATGATTCTCCAAGTAGATTGTCCTACTGAGAAGGGGATATTTTAAAGCATTGGCTTCCTAGTTCCTAAGTCAGTGTCTTCTGAATTTGAAGAAGATAATTAGCCTCCTAGAACTTGCTCATTCCTGAATGATCTGGCAGAGCTGGGAGCAGATCCATCTACGTGAGTGATATCCAGTCCCCAGTAGCCCACGCACACAACCATCCTCACAGAGATAGGGCCGTTGCTGAGGACAGAGGCTGAGCAGATGCCGGTGCGGGGTTGCTCCCCAGTAACAATAGTCCTAGCCCTGCTCTTTGTGGTTCAGAGTTGGTTGATGGGAAATCAAGGAGCAGCCCTGCCACCGTCTTTGTTATTTTTATGCGCTATAGATCCCTTAGAACAGAAAGAGGTTCAGGCCTTTTCTTGGATGGAAAAACTGAAAAAAACTCAGTTTTTTTTTTTTTTTTTTTGTAAATTTGCTCTAAAGGAAACTCATAAAGTTCTTCTGAATTTACATGTCAATAAAACATTTACCCCTGAGTTGATGCCTTATAAATGGTATCACTTATCCTAAGTAGAATAGATTTATTCAGCTAAACTTTGTTGATGAGCATCTTTGCATCTGTTCCTTAGATATTATTTCTCTGTCTCCTTCCCTGGGTCTTTATGGTCTACTAGCCCCATAGCATCCTGGAGTCTGCGGTCATTTTTCTCACCAAGTTTGGGGGAGCACCTACCCTTTACCATGGGGAGAATGGTGATGGTTCATTTTTGGGTTTTCTAAACGAATTTTGGACAATTAGACTGCATTACATTTGCATTTTACAGTGTGCCATTTAAATGAATTTTGGACAATTAGACTGCATTACATTTGCATTTTATAGTGTGCCATTTAGAAGAGACGGAGAGGGCCCAGAGGACGGTGCCACATTCACGTATTAGACGATAGCTCAAGTTGCCCATTCTTCATATTGAAATTGCTTCTAAGATAACATAATGGCTCTTGTGAAACATATCTATTCATTGCCCCAATAAAACATTAGATGGTTATCCAGATGGTGAAATGACTCTATATTCACTTTAAATTAATGAATGGTTAATTTCCATAGGGTGGGACTGAGAGCAGCCCCACACTGTGCCTCTGTGGTTAGGGCAGTGGGGCTGGATCAAGCTAGCAGGTGTTTAATTACTTCTCAACAACAAAACATCTTAACATATAATATAATAGAAATAACTGGGAATTTTTTTATTATGACAAAAACCACTGATTTTCCTGCTTTCATTCCCTTTATGGATGCAATGTGGCCCTTTTACCAGATCCTCATGGTAATTTTAGGTCTCTGGGAATGTTTAGCACCTCACAGTGTATTATATTTTTTAATGTTATATCGCTTTCTGAAAATAGAAGTATGTGCTACTTTTTCCTGAAAATACTGCCTTTTCATAGTTATATTCAAGTCTTTCAAATCTGCATGACTGAATAGGAGTTTGGGGGTCAGGCAGACTGCAAGCTCGCCACCTGGCGGGACCAGTTCTTCACCGGAGAGTCCTGGGGTTGGGCAGGGCCACAAACAATGAGCCACAGTAGGACCGAGGGGATGGTCTGGGACTCAAGGGTCCCGAGGGTGGTTTTGTTTCTGGGCTGCCCTCTCCCAGGGCAACATTGAACTGTACCTTGGATCAGCACCGCACCTGCCTATCTTTCTAATTGCTTTTCTCCTCCTGTCCTGGAAACGATAGTACTTCAGATACTTGGGGGAAGTCTTGCTTACTGTGGCATGAACCTAGAAGGAAATGACTTCGTGTTTTAAGGGATGTCATTGTCAGTGTCTGGAATACCTCGGGCATAGCCATGTGCTCAGATGATCTGAGTCTCTTGCACACCCCTCTGAAGAGTTTCTTGTAATCATGAGGAATGAATGTATTAGGTGCTCCAGAACTGTTTCTATGTAATAAGGAAAAATAAAAAAGGAGGACAGAAATTCTTGCAGAAAATACTAGATAGAACCTGGGCTGAGTGCTGTGGAGGATACAAAGAAAGAAAAGACACTGTCCCTATGCTTAAGACATTTACCATCCAGTTGGCAAAGTCAGCCGGTGCACACACACACAGCAAGTGCCCGAGCACTGCAGGAGAGCCGCAGACCCCAGCCCACAACAGCTGGCAGGCTGGGGACATGTTGCTGAGTGCTGAGCTGTGTTGTAGGCAGCTGCCTACTAAAAATAAGCACTGGGTTCATGGAAGGCTGACTTAAATTAGACTGGACTCAAGGTCATGCACAGAATGATGTCACCATCACAGGCTTCTAGTTCTTTGTGTTCTTGGGAATTGGAGGTTGAGTGACAGGCAGCCAGGAACTGAAATGCACACATGGACAGGTTCACTAATGGTGCGGCCCGAGCGTGTCCTGGCAGCAAGAGGATGGAGTCTAGTGGTGCCCTGGTTCATTCCACGGGACTGAGAAGGGGGAGTAGGAGGCAGCTCACCGTTTCCTGGGGGTGGTGGAGTCAAGACTATGTCTTCAGTGAAGGGTGGGACGGGGTGGGTGCAGCGGAGGGCTCAGTCCTCTGATACAGAGGACAGGGCTGAGAGGACAGTGCTCTGACCGGGTTCATGGTGCAGAGTGTTAGAGGAGTGTCATGGGAGCTTTGAACCCTGACCTCAATGCCAGCCCAGGGAGCTGGGCCCTGGTCACTGCATCCCCAGCACCAATAGGACCCACCCACTACAGAGGAGATGCTCAACACATACTTGCCAAATGACCGTATTAATGAACTGGACTCTGGCAACTGGGTTTTATCCTGTAGGTGAGATGTGGAAGATTGGACAGGGAAATGGCATTTGGCAGCAGGTATCCTGTGGACTTTTCTCCTTGACATCAAAACTTCCTGTCCTGAGTCTCATTTTATTTGTCAAACTAGCCAGTCTGAGAAGTCAATACTAGGTGCTAATGAAAAACAGCAGCAGACTGTGACATTGCTCCCAGGTATGTTAGCATTTTAACACGAGCCTGCAAATTGTTTTTTTGTTTTGTTTTGGTTTGGTTTTTTTGTTTGTTTTTGAGATGCAGTCTTTCTCTGTCACCCAGGCTGGAGTGCAATGGCTCTCTGCAACCTCTGCTTCCCAGGTTCAAGAGATTCTCCTGCCTCAGCCTCCTGAGTAGCTGGGATTACAGGCACCTGCCACCACACCCGGCTCATTTTTGTATTTTTAGTAGAGACGGAGTTTCACCATGTTAGCCAGGCTGGTCTCAAACACCAGACCTCAGGTGATCCTCCTGCCTAGGCCTCCCAAAGTGCTGAGATTACAGATGTGAGCCACTGCGCCCGGCCTTCAAATTGTTACCAGGTGTCTGGGAGGGCAGCAGTCATGCAAGGCGGGGGATTGGGCAGGCATGCATTCTGGTTGGAGAATCCACTAGGTCTCCTGAATGACTCCATTAGGAACCGTATCCAGCTTCTGTTGTCAGGCAGACCTTAGTTGGCTTCCACCTTGACAGTCAAGATACATACAGCTTTGGTTGGGCACGGTGGCTCATGCCTGTAATCTCAGCACTTTGGGAGGCTGAGGCGGGTGGATCACCTGAGGTCAGGGAGTTCAAGACCAGCCTGTCCAACATGGTGAAACCCCATCTCTACTAAAAAAATACAAAAATTAGCCAGGTGTGGTGGTGATCCCAGCTATTCGGGAGGCTGAGGCACAAGAATCGCTTTAACCTGGGAGGCAGAGGTTGCAGTGAGCCTAGATCGTGCTACTGCACTCCAGCCTGGGCGACAGAGCAAGAATCCATTAAAAAAAAAAAAAAAAGATACATAAAGATACATACAGCTTCCTGCTGTTTCATCTCCTCCCTGGTGTAGCCTGGAGAATTTCAAATTCACGGAGGTCTGAACAGCGGGGTTTCCTGTGCCCCCATCGTCTTCCATCCCCAATGGGGCTCTGTCCCTCGGCTGTGGCTATCTGAGATCCCAACTAAGTCCTTAAAAGTGACCTTGATAAAACTGGCAGTGCTTCCTTACTGTGTGAGGAATAACTTGAAATAAAACCTGTGCATTGTCATGATGCTTTTACTGTTCTGTAGCTTTCTTTTTCACTGTTTTTTTGTTTTGTTTTGTTTTCTTTTCTTTTGTTTTTAAGCAAAGCAAATCAGATGGACTTGTGTTGCTCTCTGATCACCGACATAGCAGTCTGTAGCTGCTTCATCACGATCACTAGACTGGGGTAGTGATAATCCTAGATACTGCCTGCACAGGGAGCACGTCCCGGTCACTGCTGTCCCAGAGACACATTTCCCTGTCCCTGGATGACCAAGAGCCGACTGGGTTTCCTCGGAACTTTCTCCTTTGACCCTGCCCTGTGGTGTACTCCCTCTTAAGATATTATTGACAAGTCTAGAGGAAAGCCTTGACTCATTTGAAACTTTTAAGAGACTCCTGCTACTTAACACCTCCAGGCTGAAGCAAGCAGCTGGCAGTCTGTCTTGATTTTACAGCGTTCAGAGGGCCTGTGGGCTTAAGGTTCGCATTTGGCAGCAGCCTGTGTTATTTTTGGATTTTCAACATGGAGCTCAGGACACATCAGATTTCACTTCCTAGGCTGTTGATGGCCACAGAGCCATGGTAGCCGTCCGTCTCTGTCAGGGCTTGTCACTTGCCCCTTTAGGAACATAGCTATTAATACTCTCTCACTTGATTTGTCCCACTTCAAGAGGCTAGAACTTTGATGTCCCTTTTTTCTGCCCTACCCTTCTTGACTATATTTTAAAATTCAGAAACATCAACTCTGGTCTGCCCTAGTCTGCCTTGTTGGCTTAGGATCAGTCCTTTGGCCCCGGGTGGATGAGTCTCCTGGGGTGCCCCGTAGACTGGAGGGTGGTCTCTCATCATCTGTGATTGTGGGATATTGGGCATCAGTTAATTATCATGCAGACTTGGGAAGTGGGAGGAAGGGGCTTTTCGGTGTATTTGGTGACAGAACATGTCTCAGCCAAGGGGCAGGGACTGCCAGTTGCCACCCAGATACACTCCCTTGCTCCTTAGGCTGTAGCCCCAATTTTACTTAGGGTTGCAGTATACCCAGCCTAAAAGCATTTCTCAATTTCCCTTGCTGCCAGATGGGGCTGCGTGATGCCATTCTGGCAGTGGCTAAGTAATGAAGCTGTGGGGTGGGCCTTCTGGGCAGGGTGCCTCGAAGGAACTGACTCCATCAGGGGGTGTGCTTCTGTGTCCTCCCAGTGGCCCTGCTGCTCAGGACGTGCTGCTTGGCACTAAGGACACCATGTTGAATCATAAGGTGGCTGAAGACAGAAGGATGTGCTGAGATGACCGAGGAGCAGGATAGAAAGAGTGTGGATCTGTTTTCAAGATTTTAAAAATTAACCTTTTTATTTTGAGATAATTATAGATTCACAGGCAGTGGTAATAAGTGATACAGGGAGATGCCCATCTATTATTTATCTATTTATCTATTTATTTATTTATTTCAAGATGGAGTCTCATTCTGTCTCCTGGGCTGGAGTCTCACTCTGTCTCCTGAGCTGGAGTGCAGTGGTGTGATCTCAGCTCACTGCAGCCTCCGCCTCCCCAGTTCAAGTGATTCTCCTGTCTCAGCCTCCTGAGTAGCTGGGATTACAGGCACGGGCCACCACGCTCAGCTAATTTTTGTATTTTTAGTAGAGACGGGGTTTCACCATGTTGGCCAGCCTGGTCTCGAACTCCTGACCTCCATTGATCTGCCCGCCTCGGCCTCCCAAAGTTTTACAGGATTACAGGCGTATGCCACCGTGCCCAGCCTGCCCATCTATTCTTTACCCACTTTCCCCCATAGTAACATAGTACCACAGCATGGCTGGGACCTTGACTTTGATACAGTTAAGGTAGCAGGACAGGACCTCTCACCGTGCACCTCTGCATGGCACACCACAGAGTGCACATCCATTTCCCCCCGGCCCACCCGCCCCAACATCTAGAAACTGCTGATCTGTTAGAGCCTGGATCTCGATGAAGGCAGAGCCTGTATCCCAGCCCTAAACCACTCTCCTTGGCATGAACTTCGATTGATTGAAAGACATAAATATCTAAATTAATGGTGCCATGTCATTTTAAAAAAGTGTTATAGAGTCAAACCTATCCCTTAACTGAGACAGTAGAGGTCCAGAAAAGGAGACCAGGCAATCACTATTACATTGGGGGAAATATTATACCTGTGGTTTCAAAGAAGCAGGACACCTTGGCTACATGGCGAAAGGATTAGGGGTTGTTGCTTTCACAACATTCCATTGCATTTCCCCTCCTCGCAGCGGTGACCCTGGCTTGTGTGAGGTGCTTTTGAATGTTTTTATTCCTATCTTATTTGGGTATTATCAATAATTCATTTTAAATATTCTGGCTGCTACAAACATTTACTTTAGAAGGATTTATTGTATCCTAAAGTCTGCATTTATGATTTCTTGAGATGATATCACTTCCTTGGGGATTTCAGTTCTGATTCTCAGAAAGAGATTAGTGGGGGAAGCGGAATTTGATGTTCAGAAATGTTCCAGAAACTTGGCTGCAATGCGTCAGGCCTGCTAGGCGGGCTGCCACATTCCTGGGCCTGTCTCAGCCGGCCGCTCATGCTGTGTCTCCCCTTTTAGGAGCTGGAGTCAGAGAGGACGTGTTTCTCGTTTGGCAAGAGATGGAGGAAGCCTGCAGCACGCTGGCCCAGATCCAGAGGCTGGTGGCCGAGCCTCCCAAGCCCGACGTGGCCACTGTGGACTGCGGTTGGTGCTATTTCTGGTCACTGGTGTAAAAGATTCATAAATGTTACTAGCTGGGGACCAGGGGCTGCTTCCATGTTCCTGACCAGAGAAGCTCCAGAGCCCAGCTGCGAGGGGCTGCTGAGGAGAGCAGCCAGAGCTGTGTGGGGTGAGGGGTGGGGAGGGGGCTGAACACACATGCATGGACATGTGTGTGTGTGTGTGCCCACGTGCTCACATGTGTGCATATGTGGAGATTGTCAGTACCCAGAGCTGGACAGTAAAGTGGTAAAAACAGATGCTTGGGCCGGGCGCGGTGGCTCACACCTGTTACCCCAGCACTTTGGGAGGCCGAGGCGGGTGGATCACGAGGTCAGGAGATCGAGACCATCCTGGCCAACATGGTGAAACCCCGTCTCTACTGAAAATACAAAAATTAGCTGGGTGTGGTGGCCCGTGCCTGTAATCCCAGCTACTCAGGAGGCTGAGGCAGGAGAATGGCTTGAACCCGGGAGGCAGAGATCACAGTGAGCCGAGATCGTGCCACTGCACTCCAGCCTAGCAATGGAGAGAGACTCTGTCTCAAAAACAACAACAACAACAACAATAACAATAACAAAACAGATTCTTGACAAACTCTTGTATACTAAGGAAAACCAGACCTCTGTATAAAACTGGGCTCAATTCTGAGTACAACATGGACAAGTGGGGATTCATAGCCAAGGTCAGGGGGACGCCAGTGGATGGAAAATTATTAAGAGGAGATGTTAAGGGCAGGGGGGCTTCTCGCTAAACCAACTTGACAGGATTCTTTCAGGAGAGAGGCCAGTGTGATCAGATGTCGCCTGGGGGACGGTGGGAACGAGGATGTGGATCAGATAGCAAAGCGATCAGATACTGAGGGTGGGGCATTCTGGCTACACTGACTTAGGCTTTTTGCTAAAATCAGGCGATGCAGAGATGAGCATAGAAGTGCAAAGGTTGAGGCCTCGCTGAGAAGAGCATTCAGAGGAGCCTGGCTGAAGGCTGGGCAAGGGGAGACTGTCGAGTTGCCGGTGCTCTTCCAGGGAGGAGGAGCAGGAGAGCTCAGTGATCGGCTCGGCCAGCCTTGACCCTTGCCTGCAGACAAAATCCCATCCACGCTGTCTGTGTCTGTGCAGGCAACCATCTGACTTGCTCTCAGATGCCTACAGGAAGGCCTAAATCAGTTTTCTTTGAGCAGGGTCCAGGACCTTGCGGCAGAAGGGGACACAGGCTGGGGAAAAAGTGTGGAATGTTTACTTGGAAGGAGTAGTGTGAATGGGGGTTTGAGTTATTAATATTAAAAAGAAATTATTAAAATCCAGTTGCATTTCTGATATTCACCTAACACTCTTCTATCTAATTTGGAATAGCCACTTGAAACTTTGGAGTTTGGAAGACTGATTTGCATTCCCTAAATGGTAGTAACAGCAATATGACCACTGAATGGGCACATACTATGTGTCAGGTGCTGCCCTGAGGGGTAGGCCTATATTTAGCTCATTTAAGCCTCATAACTCTATGAGGGAGTTTCTTATTATCTCCAACTGACAGGTGAGGAAACTGAATTACAGAGCGATTAAGTCATTGGCCATGGTCACATAGCTAGCAAACGTAGTCTGATTTTGAACCCAAAATGCAGAACAGCAACTTTCCTGCCTAAACTTTTACAAAAAAATATTAGCAGTGAGGCTGTACTCATCTTGATGTTGGTTTCCATGATTTAATTAGCACCTACCCTATTCTGAGTAAATGAAAGCACTTCTTGGTGTTTGATGGGTTCCAGCCCCACAACTGCACCATACAAACAACCTCACTGCATTTTTACTAGTGAAAGACATTGAGACTACACAAAATATTTTCTCCCTTTTTTTCTTATAAACCAAAGCATTTTTCATAACAATGGACATGAGTTTGGGGGTGAGAAAGACCTGGTTATAAATCCCAGCTCCATCACTAGACCCACCTGAGTTTGTCTCTTTTAGCCTTATTCTTCTGCACAACGACTATCATAATCTTGATGCTGAGGAACCACTGTACAGACAAAATACAATGATGCATGCTCCACACCAAGCAGGGACTTGATGTCAGCGCATTCTTTGCCCTTTCACAATTAGGGGAGTTGGTACACGGATTCTCCTGCATGGCCTTTCCTCTGTAAGGTGCTGGTTTCCTTTGGGGCACACCTGGTGGACGCACATACCTTACACATCAGGCACTGTTTAAGGCTCCTTATGAGCGTTAGCTCATTTCATATTTGCTACAATCTTAAGAGACAGGTGCTACTGCTAGTATTATCTCCGTTTTGGCTTCAGTAACTTGCCCAAGGCTACACAGCTAATGAGATGATGAAGCCTAGATTCAAAACCTAGTCCACCAGTAAAAATACTGATATCTGCTTCCCACCCACCGGACATGTAATCAGGATGTCTGATTAAATCATCCTGATTTAATCCCTATGGGATGACATTGGGACTTTTGAAAGCTCCCCGGGTGATCCTAGTGTGCAGCTAATTTTGGAACCACTGCCAGGCTGCAGTGCCTCCTGGGTTACAGAGGTGCAGAGGGCAGAGGGCAGGGAGGTCAGGCCGGCTGGGAAAGGGATGCAGTTAGAGGAGAAATGGGGATGGGGACTTGTGTAGAGGGAGAGAGAGGTTGAGGCATGGGCAAGCCTGCTGTGTGACTTGATAAATTCCTGGTGACTGTGGCTTTTTCCTGTGACTGGGTGTCCTGACCTGGGCTTAGGGCACTGGTTGCTGTGGTTGCATTGCCAGGGTTGGCTCCCTGGGTGTTCCTGAGAGGGACCTAATAGGCTTGTCTGGAGGAGCTGCTCACATGTAGTGACACCCACTCGAAAACCCAGATGGTCCCCTGTCATCCTGCAGATGAACAAAATGAACACCAAGCAGGGGACCCAGGCCAAACCCAGCACCTCCGCCCGGCAAAGAGAATGGGGAGCCTGCTGCTAAGGCATTTGTTTCGGGGAGTGTGTGGCCTGAATTGTGCCCCCCCAGTTCATACAATGAAGCCCCCATCATGAGACTGTATTTGGAGACAGGGTCTTTAAAAAGGTAATTAAGGGACCAGGTATGGTGGCTCACGCCTGTAATCCCAGCACTTTGGGAGGCCAAGGAGGGTGGATCACCTGAGGTCGGCAGTTCGAGACCAGCCTGGTCAACATGGCAAAACCCCATCTCTACCAAAAATACAAAAATTAGCCAGGTGTGGTGGCGCATGCCTTTAATCCCAGCCACTCAGGAGGCTGAGACACCAGAATCACTTGAACCCAGGAGGTGGAGGTGGCAGTGAGCAGAGATTGCCCCATTGCACTCCGGTCTGGGCAACAGAGCGAGACTCTGTCTCAAAACAAACAAACAAACAAACAACAAAATGGTAATTAAGGTTAAATGAGGTCATAAAAGGAGGGCCCTAATCTGATAGGATTGGTGTCTTTATAAGAATAGGGAGAGACACCTGCGAGCCCTCTCCCCAGAAGCACATGGAGGAAAGGTCGTGTGCAGCACAGAGAGAAGGTGGCCGTCTCCTAGCCGGGAAGAACAGCCTCATCAGAAACCAGCGTTGCTGGCACCTTCATCCTGGACTTCCAACCTCAGAGAGAAAATAAATGTCTGTCCTTTAAGCCCCCCAGCCTCTGGTGTTTTGTGATGGCAGCCCAAGCTGACTAATACAAGGCGTATTTAAGTTTGGTGTGGTTAGTCTTAAGAGTTAACAGAAGGTCTTGGATGTTATTCCTAAAGGAAACAGATGAGTTATAAGCCTCAGATACTGGGCAATGATGTATCAGTTCCCTTTGTTTTAATCTAATACACACACACACACACACACACACACTCAAACTAAAACCCAAAATAACTCTATGCAGAAATTTTCAAAAAATTCTTTGAATGTACCATCTCTATTGAAAAAGGAAAGTTTGGCTGGGACCTTTCATCACTGGCTAGCCATCTCAGCTTTCGTAGCTTCAATCTGGCCCTCTATACCACGTGTCCGACCTGCTCTCATTCCCACCGCAGCCCAGAGTTACTGAGGCAAAGGCTGGGTCAGTTCAAGACTGGCTTGGAAGGCCTCCTAGGAAGGCAGCAGCTGTTCCCCTAAGCTGGCTGCTCAGGGCCTGCAGACCCCAGGAGAGATGGTGGCCAGCGGGACAGGGAAGGGGCGGATTGGAGGAGATCTAGCAAGCTGCCATTCCGCACACTGGTTCGAGGTCACCTGGCACATACAGGTCCATAGTACCAGGAGGGCAGTTTCTGGGAGAAATGTCTCATGAGTCTGGTGCCTGGGATGAAAAGAAGGTGAGAAGAAGGTGAGGCCACTGATAGTTTTTTTTTAACCTCTTTTAATTACCAAGAGCAGGACGTGAGAGTTCCCTGGAAAAAAAAAACTGACAAAAATGTATGAATCAATGGTTTGTAGGATGCTGAACACTAAGAATGAAGGCCAGTGATTTCTGACATACAGGGCCAAAGAAAGGTGAGCTCTAGCTTTCCCTCGCTTACTGCCTTGAGAGAGTTTCCAGGCCCTGGCGCACAGAGGAGGAACGTAGGTGGAGCCCAGAAAACATCCTGAGTTTGGGAGACTGAGCTGAGGGTCTGGAGGGACCAAGGCAGCTACAATTCACAGGACAAAGTACCAGAGAGGAGACAGATGCACAGAGAGAGAAGTCCAGACATCTGCAAAGGGTCCCCCTCAAGAATTCATTTGAATACTGATCCGCTCATGCCTGTGAGAAGGTTATCTGAGTCTGGGGAAAGGGCCATTGGAAAGAATTAGAAGAAACGGGGCTTGGAATTCACACAGGACCAAGAACAGTGCCTGTTTTCATCAGCCTGAAAGCTTTAGAATCCATGGGTCCCTGGGTAGACTACTTGGAAAGGTCTTGCCTCAGTCATGGGGAATAATTAGCTTTAAATTGAGCACTGCTCTGGGCCCTCCTAAGAAATCATTAAAGCAAGACATGAAAAGAACAAACTATTTCTAGGTAACATAACTGCATCTCTGAACAAAGCTCAAGAAAATTTGTAAGAACAAAAGCATCCAGTACCCAACAAGGTCAAACTCAAAATGATTGGCATCTAATCAAAGATTACAAGGCATGAAAAGAAGCAGAAAAATGTCATCCGTGATAAGTAGAAACATCAATCAATCAAAACTGACTGAGAACTAACACAGACATTAGAAATGGCAGAAGAGTCACTCAGAGTTATAACTGTATTCCATATGTTCAAAAGCTAATACGAGGCATATTTAAGTTTGGTGTAGTTAGTCTTAAGAGTTAACAGAAGGTCTTGGATGTTATTCCTAAAGGAAACAGATGAGTTATGAGCCTCAGATATTGGACAATTATGTATCAGTTCCCTTTGTTTCAATCTAATACACACACATACACACACACACACACACACACACACACACACAAACTAAAACCCAAAATAACTCTAAGCAGAAATTTTCAAAAAATTCTTTGAATGTCCTATCTCTATTTAAAAAGGAAAGTTTGGCCGGGACCTTTCATCATTGGCTAGCCATTCAGCTTTCTTAACTTCAAGAAAGATATTTAAAAAGACGCATACTGAACTTTTAGAGACAAGAAAGATATTTAAAAAGACACATACTGAACTTTTAGAGACAAGAAAGATATTTAAAAAGACACATACTGAACTTTTAGAGATGAAAACTTAAGAGAAGAAAATATGTTAGCTGGAAAGCTTACTGAATGGAATCAATAGCAGATTAGACATCGCAGGAAAAGAGATGAGTGGACTTGAAGACAGCAATAGAAACTATCCAAAATGAGACAGACATATGAAAAAAAGATTTAAAAAAACCCGAAAGAAGATCTGTGAACTGTGGGACAATTTCAAGTGGCCAAATAGACATTAGATGGGATTCCTGCGGGGAGGAAGTAGAAGGGACAGGGAACAGAAAAATATTTAAAGAAATGTGTTGACAAGTTTCCAAATTTGATGAAAACTATAGACCCAGAGATCCAAGAAGTTCAGTGAATGCTAAGCACAAGAAAATGAGGAAAACTACACCCAGAGACATTTTAATTGGTTTGCTTAAAATCAGTAATACAGAGGAAATCTTAAAAGCAGCCAGAACAACAACAAAAAAGATATGTGCAAAGCCACAAAGACGAGGATGACAGCAGATTTCTCACTCAAATGAAAAGACGGTGGGGCAGCATTTTTTCTTTCAGTACATGAAACATTCAGCCTGGAATTCTATACAAAGCAAAAATGTCTTTCAAAAACAAAGACAAAATAAAAACATTTTCAGACATACAAAAGCTGAAATAATTTATCATTGGCACATATTATACATGAAGTGATGTAATAGTACTTGAAGTTAGACTATGATAAATTGAAGATGTGTAGTATAAACCTAAGATAACCACTAAAATAACAAGACAAGCTGACAAAGGAAATAAAATGGAATTAAAAATACCCAATCCAAAACCTGTCAGAAAAAAAAAAGAAGAACAAAGAACAGATAGGGCCAATAGAAAACAAATAGCAAGATGATAAACATAAATCTAACCATACGTATGTCAAAACTTACCAGTGTGTACACTTTAAAGGTGTATGAGATATTATATGTCAATTGTAGCTCAATACAACTGTTGGTAAAGTGAAAGAAGAGGACAAAGTAGAAGAGAAGGAGAGTCACTCCTCTGGCGCTGAGCTGTTCAGAGACGTGGGTGGGACACACCTGGGCATTCTGTGTGTGTGTGTGTGTGTGTGTGTGTGTGTGTGTGTGTGTGTGTGTCGGTGTGCCTGTTCTGGGCATGACCCTCAAACATGAAGATGGCTTTTCTCACAAAACGTTAAAGGATTTGTCCAGGCTGGGCATGGTGGCTCACACCTGTAATCCCAGCACTTTAGGAGGCTGAGGTAGGCAGATCACTTCAGCCCAGGAGTTTGAGACCATCCTGGGCGACATGGCAAAACCCCGCCTCAACAAAAAAAATGTGAAAATTAGCCAGGCATGATGGTGCGCACCTGTAGTCCCAACTACTTGGGAGGCTGAGGTGAGAGAATCGCTTGAGTTGAGAAGTGGGGAGTCGAGGTGGCAGTGAGTGGTGATCGCACCACTGCATTCCAGCCTGGGTGACAGAGCGAGACTCTGTCTCAAAATGAATGAATGGATGAATGAATCAATCAATCAATGAATAGAATTTGTCCAAAGCTTGACCCTTCTTTGATGATGCTGCCTCTCAAAGCATTTCAGGAACTCCTCATTTGGAATAACCTTCACAGCCATTTTGTGACTCAGTAGAAATCATTAGTCGAATCACATTGTGTAGTCATGCTTTAATCATGAACAAAGACAGTCCAAAAGATTACCATCTGAGACTCAAGATTTGGCTCCAAATACTTGCTTGTTTCAAAATACCAAATTCAGTTTCAAAAGACAAGGAAATGGCTGAAGGTTCATTCAGGCTCTGCAGGCAGTTGCAACCTACAGTAGGTCTACAGGAGTTTAGAGCACATATTTTTTGAACAAATGGAGAGGGGGATGGTGCTTATTTTCATTAGTATTGTATTAAATAATCAGCAAGATGTCTTTATAGTCCTGGGTGGTGATGAAGTACACAGACTCAGAGTTAGGAAGATTTTTTTTTTTTTTGAGATGGAGTATATCGCTCTGTCACCAGGCTGGAGTGCAGTGATGCCACCTCGGCTCACTGCAACCTCTGCCTCATGGGTTCAAGTGATTGTCCTGCCTCAGCCTCCTGAGTAGCTGGGACTACAGGTGTGCGCCACCATGCCCAACTAATTTTTGTATTTTCAGTAGAGACGGGATTTCACTGTGTTGGCCAGGATGGTCTCTATCTCTTGCCCTCATGATCCGCCTGCCTCAGCCTCCCAAAGTGCTGGGATTACAGGCGTGAGCCACCGTGCCCGACCAGAACAATATTAAACCTGGCTCTGCCCACTCCTGTTGTGTGATGCTGGGCAAGACACTTATTATCTGTGCTTCAGTTTCCGTATTTGCAAAATGTGAATGATAATGATAATACCTACTCCACGGACTGTTAGGAAAGTTACATCAGAAAACACATGTAAAACACCTAGAAATGTGCTGTCACATAGTTAGAATGTAATGATGGCTTAAGAAAAGTTTAATCCACTCGTCTATTCTTTCCTTTATTTAGTGCTTACTCAATGTAGCACTATGGTAGGTGATGATGTAATGGTAAATAAGAGACATGGAACGGGCCCTCATAAAGCAGGACCTACATGAACCATCTCTTGCTCCGTGAAGGTAGAAAATCGGATGAACACAAATGGGGTATTTACGATTGAGGAAAAGTGGGAGCTTCTGAGCTATTCCCAGGGTCAAGGAAAGGTTTCCTGAGGAAATAACTTTGGAGCGTGTATCTGAGGGTTGAAGAGGTAAGTTAATGAGGTGAAAAGATGGGAGAGAGCCGGGAGTGTATGCCAGGAAGAAGAATAGCATATGCAAAGGCCCCGAGGCAGAAAGGAGAACAGCACTTTAGAAGAACTGAAAAGAGGAGTGTGGCTGGAGTGCAGTGTCCAGTGATGAGTCTGGAGAGGGAAGCAGGGACCCGATTGTGCTGGCTCTGGAGGCCGCGGTACAGGGGTTCACCCTCAATTTCATACCAATGGCCAACTGCTAGAGGATTGTAAGCAGGGGAATGCTAAGATCAGATTTACATTTAGAAAAAAAAAAGATCACTTTGGCTACAGGGTGGGAAACAAGTTGGAGATGAGGGGACAAACAGGATGAGGGAAGAGAATAAAGATGTTAGTACAGTGATGGTGGCATCCTGGACAAGAGTAGGAGGAGCCTGTGAAGGTGATAAATGGGCAGGTATGAGGGAGACTTTGGGTGCTGAATCGACAGTGAAAGAGGAAAAGTTCCCTTGTCCCCTTGCAGGATGTGTGATGGGGGAGTGGCTCGCTTCTTTAGTGCCCTGCTGCTCAAACTTCTAGGGGAGCATACAGATGGGCAGGCTGTGGGGTGCCAACCCCGTGCCAATGTCTAGGAGTGAATGTTTACAGCTCCTGCAGCCCCAATGGGCGTGTGTTACAGGGTGCTCTTTTAGTTTGCTATCTATAGGCAGCTTGTGTTAACCAGCTCAATTTGACCCTCTACCTTGTCGCAAGGACAGAGGCTTTCTGTATCCTGGGTTCTTGCCTTGGTGTACCAGAAGAATCGGATCACACGTGGGCTTGGAGAATGAGTGCCAGGTTTTATTGAGTGGAATTAGCTTTCAGCAGATAGGGGAGCTAGAAGGGTGATGGTTTTCCCCTGGAGTCAGGCGGCTTGGCAGCCTGGGCTCTCCTCTGACTGCCCCAGCCAAACTCTGCGTCATTCTGCTGGTCAGGGGCCTGCTGGCCAGGGGCCTGCTGGCATGCCGGTGCGTTCCTCCCGACATCCAGCCACCTGTGTGTTCCTCCTCCGATATGCTCCTCTCGATGTCCAGCTGCTTCTGTCTCTGCACAGAATGGGGGCGTGACAGGCCAGGTTGGTCTTGGGAAATGCAACATTTGGGCAGGAAAACAGAAACGCATGTCCCCACCTAGGTCCATGGGGGTGGAACCCTAGCCAGGGTCCACACCCTTCCTGTACCCAGCACTTTCCTTCCCCACTTCCATATCGTTTAAAGGGACCAGCTCTTCCCTTCCCAGCACTTCCGCATCAATAGGACTTGGGGGTGGGGGAGATGGAGGTGTCAAAAGTAAGCTCCTAGATGGATATGGTGTCGTCCACTACACTGAGAGAATGCTGGAGGAGAACTGGGTCAGGGTGGGGAATGACACATTTTGTTTGAACCTATTGAGACTGAAGAATCCTTGAGAGCCCGGTAGAGAAATAAAGGACGCAATTGACTATGTAGGTGGAGAATTCAGATACACTATTGGGGTGAAGTGAACATTCTTGGTATAAAGATAAATATAGACATATCAAGCAGGAACCCCATGTTTCTGAATCTTTGACCCCTAGTTTTTTGGACTCTGATAGCCACAGAGGTGAACATATCATCTGAGTTTTCTGTTCTGCACCAATGCTAGATGTTTAATAAGTGTACTAGATGAAGACTATTTTACCAACAGGATGACTTGCAATTTGAGAGCAGAACAAGCTAATTTACAGAGTACTTGTACATGTTTATCTTTTCAAGAGTGTCTTCCCTTTTTGCTCAAAGAAGGCTGCAGAAGAGATCTGGGGCAGGGCGCAGCTGGTTTCTTATGCAACCAGAAGCGAATGACACACTTGTCAAAGTGTTCACACTTCAGGCAAGGCAAAGGATAAAATAATATTTCTTCCCAGAACTCACATTTTCTTCAGAATGCCTTTATATATGTAGAGCTCTGTGTAGAGTCAAGTGAACTTTGACAAGGTTGATTGATAAGCAACAAGTGAGAATGCCAGAAAGGACCAAGACTGTGCTTACTCAAATATGTATTTTCCAATGGGCACTGAGCTTCGCATTTTCCAGACAAAAAGCACACATGGCAAACATTTGCAGAAAAATACCATGTAATTCTCCCATGATTCAAGATTAATTGCTGAAAATTTTCTCCCCAAATTTGGGAGAATTGGTCGATTAGCATTTTGTAGATGCTATACATATAACTTGGGAAAGATACTGGAATGCGATACAGGTATGGTGAAATGTCAATGTTAAAAATCATGTTGTTAAAAAATGACTGTGGAGGGCTGGGCGCCAGTGGCTCACGCCTGTAATCCCAGTACTTTGGGAGGCCGAGGTGGGTGGATCACGAGGTCAAGAGATGGAGACCATTCTGGCCAACACTGTGAAATCCCATCTTTACTAAAAATACAAAAATTAGCTGGGTGTAGTGGCGGGCGCCTGTAGTCCCAGCTACTCGGGAGGCTGAGGAAAGGAGAATTGCTTGAACTCGGGAGGCGGAGGCTGCAGTGAGCCCAGATCGCACCACTGCACTCCAGCCTGGGCGACAGAGCGAGACTCTGTCTCAAAAGAAAAAAAAAATGACTGTGGAAAAGCACAACAAATCTATTGAGGAATTATATTTCGTGTATTTGGACCCCTAATTATGGAAACACCAAAAATACCTGGGCAAAAATGGCAGAGTTAAGGACCTTCAAAACTTCTCCTTCATAGAAGGCATAAGGACCTTATCAGAATCAACCTTTTTCATAACTCTAGAAATTAACCCAAGGTGTGCAGCAATCTGGGAAGTGTTTATTCAAGAAAAATAATTAAATCTCAGTAAGAATAGTGAGCTGGTGGCATTTTAGCTAGTCCTATTCACATTCCCCAGCTCCAGCTCCTCACTAACCTTAAAAACGAACAGTTTGTGATCACAGTGGAAACCACAGGCTCACAGCCACTGGAGGGGGCAGGATGGGGTTGGAGTTCCTTCAAAGCTTCATTTCCAGATAATTCTCATTATGTGACCTGTTCACTGGCTCTCTGGAAGACCCCAGTTACAAAGCTTTCTTTATTTGACTTCACTCAGTTCTTCCTCAGTGGGAAAAGCCTTTTCCCTGGGAACCGTTGTCAAAAACAATGAGAGGTGATTGATTAATTTTGTGGCTGACTAAGGTTGTAGATAACAGTCAGGACAAACAAGAGGTAAACCAAAACACTTAAGATGAAAAACTGGGGAATGGGATGTCCATTGGTCTTTCCAAAGCTCTGAGGTATTCCTGGGAATCTATCATGCATAGCCCAGGCAGGCACATGCACAGGGCTGTGGGCATGCCCAGGCTATGCATATGTTCAAAAAAAGACTCAGGAGGGCCCTAAGCTCTCATCTTGGGCTGACCCTGAGGCTCTGCACAAGCAGGAAGTAAAGGCTGAGGGAGAGTTGTTAACTGCTACAGCATGGAAAGTGTGGCCTGATACACACACAGCTCCTCAGCAAGGAATAGTCCAAAAGATTTAAGGAAATCTCTGTTCAATTATTAGCTGACCACTGAGTTAACTGAGCAGAGACTCCAGTGGCTACAAATGATAAAGAATGCAGATTTTACAGAATTCAGGAGTGATAAACAAACAACCACCAAATCACAACAAACTCTGGGCAGGTGGGAGAATCTGATTTCCAGAGTTGCTGCATTTTATTATTTAAAATGTCCAGTTGTCAACAACAACAAAAATGAGGCATGCAAAGAAATAAAGTATGGACCATACAAAGGAAAAAAAGCAATCCATAGGAACTGTCCATGAGGGAATTGTCCATGAGGAAACTGTCCATGTCCAGGAGGAAGCCCAGACATTGACCTTACTAGATAAAGATATTAAATAAGCGATTTTAAATATGTCAAAGAACTACAGGAAACTATGTCTAAAGAACATAGGAAGTATAAGAACACTGTCTTACCAATTAGAGATATCAATAATGAGAGAAATTTTATTTAAGAAGCAAATAGAAATTCTGTAGTTGAAAAAAGTTCTGGAGTACAAAGTATTGAAATGAGGAACTGACTAGAGGGGTTCAACACCCCGATTTGAGAAAGCAGAACAAACCAATGAATTTTTAGATAGCTCAATTGAGGTTACCCAGTCTGAAGAACAAAAGGAATAAAGAATGAAAAAAACCAAACAGAGTCTTAGAGACCAATGGCATACCATAAACATAACAACATGTGAACAATGGGAGTCCCCAAAGGATGGGGGAGAGAGAGAAAGAATATTTGAAGATGTAAGGGCTGGAAACTCCCTACATTTGATGAAAACATTAATTTACCCATCCAAGAAGCAAAATGGATTCCATGTAGGATAAAAGACACCCACACCTAGACACATTATAATCAAGCTGTTGAAAGCCCGTGGGGTGCTCCAGAGAACATTTACCTGATCTCCACAATGAATCCGTTTGGTAGAATGTTGGTGGGTTACCATCCTCCATCTCCTTCATTCCCTCCTCCCCATTTCTTGGCTCCCCTGCAGTGCCAGGCAGATATGCTTATTGCATGGTACTTTAGCAAGTGTAGGTTGACAGCAGGTTTAGTTAGCAACTGCAGCAAAGGGCTTGACTGCTCAGAGACGAGCTTCTCTCTCACACCACACTGTCGCCACCTGGCTCCCGGATCTCAGATTGGGATGGGCTTCATCTTACCTTCAGAGAACCCACAGCCCTTGCAGCTGCTCCATGCTGAACCGGCTCACAGGGCTGAAACCTCACTCATCTCACCAGCAGGCGAGACCACATTTCTTTTCCTGACAGTTGTTATGTTTCTCCCTCCTTTCCCAGCTGTCCTCAATTCTGGTTTCCTTCCTTCTTTTCTCCCCTCCCTTCCTTCCTTCCTTTCTTCTGTCCTCCCTTCCCTCCCTCCCTCCCTTCTATCTTTCCCTCCTTTCCTCCCTCCCTCCCTCATCATCACCACTTAACATGTGAATTTCAGGTCACTCAGTCTAAATTTCCTTAACTCCATCAATCCTGTCTCACTTCCTAATCTCAATTGTTCCATATTATACCAAACATCTCCCTCCCTCCCTCCCTCCTTCCTTCCTTCCTTCCCTTCTTCGGTCTTCCCCTCCCTCCCTTCTTTCTCTTCCTCCCTCCTTCCTTCTTTCCTTCTGCCTTCCTTTTCAGCTAATTCACAGCATTCTTTTCCTGTACCACTCCCCATGTGGTGGCCAAGAGTTTGTTCATTGTCTCATGGCACCCATGATCACAGGGGTTATGGTCTCTCAAATACAAGCCCTCTAAAATGTTCTATGCAGAAAGACTCTGGGGCTAAATAGCTTTGGGAATCTTGCTTGTGGTAAGCCCCACTGCCCATTCCCCTAAGAAAGTCTTACAGAAGTCCTGTGATCAAGAATCCTTTGAAACTTTCCTTTCAAGCTCCCCAAACTTTTTGTCTAAGGAGCCCTCTTCCTGAGTAGAAGCCACTGACATGCAGTGGAAGCAGTTTCTGTGGGACCCACTCTTGGAAACATCAGACTTGGTCTAGAGTTCCAGTTTATTCATACGCTGACAGCCCCCCTGAAAGGCATGTGGGGCTAGCGTGGCAGGAATGAGGTGCCAGGCAAGTAACATTCAGTGGAGGAGGCTGGGAGAAGAGAGTTATGGTGGTGAGAAATCCCTGATGGCTGTGAGCCCCTCTGGAGCTGAACCTGGAGGGTGGGTGGATGAGGGACAGGAAGAGGAGTGGGCACTGATACCTATGCCCAATTTATCTATTTGTGTGTGGCCCTGGCTATAGCAGGGATGGTTTTCAAAAGCATTTTCCCAGTAGGTCTTTTTCATTGAAAAATGTTCTGAGATTGACAAGTGGGATGGGGAGGACAGGGCTGGTCAATTCTGTGGCATAGATGTGCTCCCTTCTCATAACAGAAAGAACATCTTTAGCAATCTGTCCTGTGGAATAGGAAAGCCATGTAATCAGGATTAGCTGTGAGCTCATACTTCTATAATAAATGAATTCTCTGTGGGTGAGAATTCATGTAACATTTTTAATTAAGATAACTGCAGGGAAAAGGAAAGGACCCCTTAGTAAGTGACGCTAGTGAATGGATGATGCCCTTCCCTGCCCCTCCCAGGAAAATGAGACTCAGCCACTAATTGGTGTAATTAGCACTGGAAGTTAAAAGATTTCCCTCCTTTTTTTTTTTCTCCTTTCTTTAGCTTTAGAGTGCCTGGGTTCTTTGGTTTTGATTGCTTGGTCATCCTTTCTTTCCTCTATGAAAGTTCAGGTGGCTCTGGCGGCTTGCCTGAACCCCCTTTTCAGATGGTAATTGGGAGCCTGAATCCTGCCCTCAGGACTGCACCGCCTGGTCCACTGTGAAGTTGGAGTCAGAAGTTAGTCTCTGACTCTTTCAAAACCCTTGCGAGGATTGGTTCGAATGTGTTTTTAGGAAGTTCTGTGGTACACTTGAATTTATACTTGATAGAGGGCTCTTAACTTTTTTAAAAGAAGGCAGCCCAAAACAGAGCAGAAGGGTATAATAAGGTGTGTGTTGCTATGGAAATAATTGAATGAAAATTTAATTTCCTACTGCACCTATTGATCAGGAAAAAAAAGGGAGAGGAGAAAAGGAAAGGTCTTCCTAAGCAGAAACACAATGAATGGGAATATAATTAATAATAATTGAAGAAAATGTCACCCCAAGGGTTTCTCCAAGGAGGCTGATCTCCCTGACAGAAATGGCGGCATCCTCTTTTTGCTGCTTCTTTGTGATGGGAGAGAGTGTGCAGGCGAACCCCAGGGACTCGGAGCTCTGAGAAGCCTCTGGCTTGAGCTCCCGGAGAAGCGTGAAAAAATGTTTTGTGATTCATGGAAAAGCCAGCTCCAGGTGTCGGGGATGCTGCTCTGAGGGGCTTTTGATGCAAGGTTGGTTTAAAGTTCAAAATCCAGAACAAGCTTCTTTGAGAAGTCCCCACTCTAGTAGGTTTCAGAGTGAATTCTTTCAATGGTGTTCTATTAAAATTCAAGGACATGGGTCTCATGAAGCATTAATGGGCAGGTCCTTTACACATTATACAGAAGGAATTGGCTCTAACATGATTTATGTCTTCCCATCTTATCCTAATTCTATATCCCCTTAAATATAGTAATAGGAAAGCCTGGGTCATATTTTTGTTTCCCTAACAGTGAGTGCTACTTTTTAATTAATAGTACTTCACTTGCATGTGTGTCTGATGGAAGCATCAGCTGATGGGGTTACCAAGTCATAACTGAGAAGCCCTTTCCACCTTAAGCCAGTGGCAAAGCTTGGCTGCACAATACAGTTGCCTGGGGAGCTTTGTAAAATCCCAATGTCCAGGCCACACTCCCAAACCAGTTAAAATAGAATCTAGTGGATGGGACTCAGGCATCAGTATTTTTTTTAAAGCTCCTCAGGGGATGCCACTGTGAAAGGTTGAGAGCCATTAATGTAAGTGGAGTTAAACAAAACTCTATAGCGCTGGTGGACATCCTACGTGATAGTTCATGTTAGAAAAAAACATTTCCCTGCCAGGAACCCCTTCTGCGTCTTCGTAGGGCTCCCGTGGTCCCAGTGGGGCCAAAATCTCAGGGTCCTTTCTGCCTTCCTTCCAGTGGTGTGCAAATGTTTAACAACCCACTCCCGGGAATGAAAAAAGCCCCGATGTGTAGCATGTGCTGATTTCCAGATTCCATAAATACTCCCACCATGGTCTCTTTCATCCTACCAAGCGGCCATCGCCCAGCATGGAGTTGGGAGATGTGCACAGCCAGCTCCAGACACCAGTGCCTCCTCAGCTTCACAGTTCCTCACCCCTCCTTTGTGTCCACCCCTGAGTAGCTCATTCTCCCTTAGGTGCTGTTCCAAGTTTCGAGTCATCTGGAAAAATAGTTTTCTGCTTGTGTGATATGCTGGCTTGTCCCGCTCAGGTAACATAACACAGTCTTCTCAGTGTAGATTACCTCTGGAAAACACCACGAGAATGTGCCTGAGGCTGGAGATGTTTAGGCAATTGGCATTGTGGTTATTCTTTTCCCTGTGAAGCTAAGGTGAGTTGTCCTAGATAGGGCACATGAGGTTTCTGAGCCTGCAGGGTGGAAAGCCAGGCTGTGAGTCAGGACACACTCACCAAGGTAACAAAGGGGCTTCAGGGGAGGCAGCCTCCTAGCCTTCGCGTGTTGATCGCCTCCACCTCATCACTTCTCTTTCCACCACATTACAGAGCATTTTCACGTGACCTACCTTCCTTCCTTTCTTCCTTTCTTTCTCTTTTTTCTCTTTCTTTTCTTTCTTTCTTTCTCTTCCTTTCTTTTTCTTTCTTTCTTCTTTCTTTTTCTTCTCTCTCTCTCTCCTTCCTCCCTTCCTCCCTCCTTCCTTTCTCTCTTTCTTTCTCTTTCTTTTCTTTCTTTCTTTCTTTCTTTCTTTCTTTCTTTCTTTCTTTTTCTTTCTTTCTTTCTCTCTTTTTCTTTCTTTCTTCTCTCTCCTTCCTCCCTCCCTCTCTCTCTTTCTTTCTCTTTCTTCTCTCTCTCTCCTTCCTCCCTTCCTCCCTCCCTCCTTTCTCTCTTTCTCTTTCTTTCCTTCATCTATCTCCTTCCTCCCTTCCTCCTTCCCTCCCTTTCTATTTTCTTTCTTTTTCTTTCTTCTCTCTCTCCTTCCTCCCTCCCTCCTTTTCTCTCTTTCTCTCTTTCTTTCTTTCTCTCTTTCTTTCTTTCTTTTCTTTCTTTCTTCTGTCTCTCTCCTCCCTCCCTCCCTCCCTTTCTCTCTTTCTTTCTTTTCTTCTCTCTCTCTCTTTCTTTCTGTCTTTCTTTCATTCTTTCCTCTTTTTTGATGGAGTCTTGCTCTCTTGCCCAGGCTGGAGCGCAGTGGTGCATTCTCGGCTCACCGCAACCTCCGCCTCCCAGGTTGAAGCAGTTCTGCCTCAGCCTCCCAAGTAGTTGGGATTACAGACACCTGCCACCACACCTGGCTAATTTTTGTATTTTTGGTAGAGATGCGGTTTCGCCATGTTGGCCAGGCTGGTGTTAAACTCCTGACCTCAGGTGATCCACCTGCCTTGGCCTCCCAAAGTGTTGGGATTATTGGCGTGAGCCACCATGCCTGGCCTCACATAACTTTTCTCACTGGATTGCTGCAGTTTACCTAGGAAGGCCAAGCAAATACTGTCTTCCAGCTGCAGGTGAAGAATCCTGCCTAAGCTCAGAGAGGTCAAGTGGAGTGACTCACCCAAGTTTGAGCAACTTGCTAGAAGGTGATGGAGCCAGGCCTTGAAGCCAGAGCTTCTGACTCCATCCTTACACATACATGGCTCCTGACACACAGCCTTGGTCTACTGGTCACCTTCACCCAGGCATGGGGCCAGTCAACTTTGGTAGAGGAGGAAGTGAAATAAAAAGTAACCCTGCTTTGCAGTCTTTTGAATTATTAGGTTGGTGCAAAAGTAGTCGTGGTTTTTGCCATTAAAAGCCTAATAATTCTTTGCCAGTCCTGCTTTGGAAAGCTGTTTTCTGAAATGAAACATGGGCTTTGTGTCTAATAAAGAACACGTTCCAAGTTGGTCAATATTAAGTTGGGGGTGTAATATGAATGGCTCATGCAGTATGAATGGCTGACAAGCTGTGATTCTACAGAGTCAGAAACAACCTCTGTTGAGATTGCATCGAATCCAGAAGACACCTGGGACTCTAAGACATGGCTGCAGAAATATGGCTTGAAGGCCCAGAAGCTATCCTTGTATGATGTGCTTGCCGACTGCTCTTTCCGCCACGCTGATGGGGTTGTGGATATAAAAGCCAAACCGGAGAATGAGTCCGTGCAGACCAGTGCGGTAGGTGAAGTGCACTCCTGGGAGGGGCTGGGGCCTCCCCTCAAGTCCTGGGTGGGTGAGGCCTCCATCGGGTCAGAAGGCAGGGGAAGGGGCAGCAGGGAGAGAAACCAGCTTGGGTTTCTGTGAAGAACAGGGTTCCTCTGTTTCCCTCCTCACCCTTCTCCAAAGGGCATCTGTGGGAGTGGAGATCAAGGCTGGGAATGAGTTCTAGACATCAGTGAGTTGTACATAAGCCAGGGGCTGGGTTTGGAGAAATCAGGCATTATGAGTTTCAGAATTATTCAACATTATGCAAATAGAGAAGCCCTTTGTTCCCCCATATTGAATGGAAAAGAGAAATTGCTGGTGAGTATGCCCAGCGCAGCAGGCGTTTCTGTGGTCCTCTTGTATTTTCCCTCATTATTCCAGTGACTAGCAGCCAGCATACAGCGCAATCCCAGCAAATAAGGAGTCAGATCCTCCAAAGGGCTATAACCATTAAAAACTTTGAAAGCTGCAGTTCTATTGTGGGTTTTGTAGGAATACAGCTTCTCCTAGTGCCTGACTCTGGCTCCCAATGAAGGACAGTGCTCGACAGCAGTGCTGCCTTAACTCCAGCATCATGCATATGAGTCAGTAGGTCCGAAATGTGGCTCAAGAATTTGCATCCATAACAACCCCCAGATGATGCTAACACTGCTGGTCCAGGGGCCACACCTTGAGAAGCAGAGAGGTGTAGAACAGGAACCAGAAGACAAGGTGTCAAAGGTTTAGAAGCATGGAAAGACTAAGAAGTGTCCCAATGTGAAATAGAAATCAGGATAAAATGAACATGGCAGATTTGCAAAACCAAAGGCAGGCTCTTTCAGGAGGTGGCAAAGTTCCAGGTACATGCTGTGAAGTGAACCTAAAATGCAAGCCCAGGGCAGACAGGCAGGTGACAGGCGGGTGACCGCAGCCCAGAGGAGACACCTGGGAAAGAAAATCAAGGCCCCCCCCTCAAATGCAGTGTCACCTCATGTATTCTTGAAGGCTCCGATTCAAAGTCAGGGTCATTACTGAGATGTTGTAACTCCAGCAGAGGGGGAACTCCAGTCCTGTTGCCACTTGTTATTAGGCTGGCCGGCCACTGAGCCCTACATGCCCTCCATGGAAAGGGCACTGTCCGTCGGGGCTATGTGAGCCACACCATGTTATGTTCTTGCCCCCTCACTGCTGTGCATTTATGACAAACTGCAAGGAAGAAAATATAAAAACTGAATTAGAAAAATGCAGAATTGATGCACGACTTGTTTCCTGGCTTACCCTAGGATGCAGGGTAATTGCTACAGCGCAGGGAAAATCTCATTTGTGGGTTTCCTCCCCCAGCACAGTTTTCTGGTTTTGTAGACATTATTCTGTAATGTTCAGGAAATCACACATAACTAAATTTTCATTTTAAAAATAGGCCAGGCATGGTGGCTTACGTCTGTAATCCCAGCACTTTGGGAGGCCAAGGCGGGCAGATCACTTGAGGTCAGGAGTTCGTGACCAGCCTGGCCAACATGGTGAAACCCCATCTCTACTAAAAATACAAAAATTAGCCAGGCATGGTGGCACGTGCCTGTAATCCCAGCTACTTGGGAGGCTGAGGCAGAACCCGAGAGGTGGAGCTTGCAGTGAGCCAAGATTGCGCCATTGCACTCCAGCCTGGGCGGCAGAGGGAGACTTTGTCTCAAAATAAAATAAAATAAAAAATACATTAGATTCTGGATATTTCAAAATATTAATCCCCATCAATTTGAACATAGCTTACTGCAAACTGACAACAATGTAGTATATTCAAGCTAGCTCTAATACTGATCATCTCCTAACTCATTCTTGTCAATTTTAAATGAAATTTTACAGGATCACTTTGAATAATTTGGCTTACAAGAGGGAATTTTACCTCAATTTTTTTGTGCTAGTCAACTGTATTATGGTAAAGATTGAGAATTATTAATATATAGTACAGCTCCCTTTTTTTTTTTTTTTTTTTTTACAAATACTGATGAGAAAGGGACAGTTTTATTTTTAGTCTTTGGGACTACATACTGAAACTGGATTCACACCTAAAATTGTGATGTGTATAAAGTAGGAAGAAACTAAGGCTGTGAAATAGGTAGATTATTTAGGGTTCCCCCAGACTCCCACTGGGCAAGACCCCCTAAATATTTAACAATAAAAACTAGTTTATAGGAACAGACCCAGGAAACTCGTTAACACAGAAATGAATGGCTAAAAAGGCCTTATTATGTAGCAGTTCAAAGATGATGAACAACTGGGAGGAGGAGACAAACATGCATTTCTAATAAGGGAATTTCAGGCCAAGCCTAAGAACTTGATATTTCAGGCATCCCTGAAATCACACTGCATGCACGGTTGCTTGAGCTCATGCACAAAACCAGGCCTGATGTTCAAAAACCCATTCTTGTCTCTTTGTCTATTTTTCAAACAAATATTTATGGAGCCCCTGCTATGTACCAGTTCATGTGATATGGCGGAAGGCACACTGGATACGGAACGAGAAGTTCTAGGTATAAATGCTGCTTCTAGTAGTTACTGATGATGAGATGTTGAACAAATCATGTGACTTCTTTGAGCTTCACCCTTCATATTTGTGAAATGGGTAGTGTAAAGTGCAAATTTACAAATGCATGTCTGAGCACAGTGCCCGGCACATAGGAGATGCCCCACAGATGTTGCCTTCCTTTTTTTCTGCACTACAAACATTGTGAGTCAGAATTGAGCATTTATGGAACGCTTCTATGCTTTATATTCAAGGTAAACATTTGTGCTCTCAGTTTACACAGGAGAAAACAGTCGCGGGACCTGTGAGAGGTTAGGTAACTCGCTTGAGATTGATCTTGTGGCAGTTGGAGGCAGGGTTTGAACTTGGGTCCACTGGGCTTTCACACTGTGCTTTTCCCATTCTGACACGCTGCTGCCTGACACAGAACCTGCCTCTCTGTGGTGTATGGTCTGGTGGTTTTCCATTTGGCTGTGCATGAGGCACACTCGGGAAATGCCCTTTGATGGGGATGTGGTGAACATGAGAGACAAGACACCTTTCTCCTTCCATCCTTGCAGGGCAGCGGAGGTGTCCACCTCTGCCTGCCTTGGGAGCATAGGACAGATCTCATCATGCCCTTCAACCTCTTTCCGCCTTTTCTGGCTTATCTCCATGCAGTTAACTGTACTGGCAGAAACTGGAGGAAAACAGCCACAATGCAATGCCTGGTTTCACTGTAAATTCATGCCCGCTCATGTCAGTGGATCTTTTGAGCTGCCCAGTAGTCTACTGAGTCCACTCGTTCTCACCAGTCACCACTGGACTCAGGAATTCTCATTGCCATGCGGCTCTGAACATCCCTTTTCTGACCCCACTCCACCCTCTCTGACTCCTAAAATCCCCCCACCCCGCCCTCTGGGCGCATCATCAGCAAACCCTGATTGCTTCCAGGCCTCTGAAACGTTCCCATTGGATGCTTACCGGGGCTCCTCTCTGAGAAGCCCTCCCTGCAGCCCTCTGGAGTGGGGGCTGGTTTCTCTCCCATTCCCTTTGGACCTGTGGACCTGGGGTGGGTGGTGGCCTCCTTGCTCCTGTTTTCTGGTTCTTGACCTTCTCTCTCCTTCTTCCCACGTCATCAGACTGTGTCACTGAAGACATCTCTTGTGGTTGTCACTTACTAAGCTCACCCTCGTCAGTCCTCGAAGATTATGGGGCTTCTCTCTTGCTTTCATTGGCTCCAACACCTGCTTTAGTTCATAGTGACTTCAGTCCCATATGGAGGACCCTTCCAATACCCCAACCTCTCATTTCTTTTACCTTCTCTTTCCCAGTGACTTCCTCCCCAACTCCATCTCTACCACTCCTGCCTTAGGCATGCCCTCAGCCTTGTCATTACAAATAACTGTGTAATCATAAGCCACATCCTCAGTTCCAAACTGTCTGACCAGCCCCCCTGTCTGACCAAGTCATCTGTAGGTTGTTTATTCTCTTGCGCTATTCCCACCCATCTGTCTCCTCCACCAGGATATAAAAGTTACTGTTTCTACCACCTCCTCTCTGTCCTCTCTATCCTCCCATGCATCCTCAACCATTTTTCCCTTCTCTTAAACTATTGCACTCACCTGGCAAAACCCCAGATTTAACCCTGGCTAATGCCAACTTTCCGTCTTTTCTGGCTTATCTCCGTGCAGTTAACTGTACTGGCAGAAACTGGAGAAAAACAGCCACGATATATAATGCCTGGTTTCACTGTAAATTCACGCCCACTAATGTCAGTGGATATTTTGTGCTGCCTAGCAGTCCACTCAGCCCCTCACTGGCTGTCCTCTCCTCCTGAAACACCTAGCACCTTCCGCTCCACGCTCACTCCACTCACTCTCTGCAGGTGAGCTTGCTTCCTGTGTTGTGAACATCGACGGGAATGTCATGAGCTTCTGCCTCCACATCTCAGCCCCCAGTGTCTGCCATCTACCTTTATTTCTCCCAGGCCGAATTGTCCTTGTCCTGTCTAAGGCCATTCACTGCACAGATACATGGCTGTCTCTCCACTCGTTTATTCACTCTCCCTTTCTACATCACAGCCTCCTGTTGCCCTTGTTTCCAGATAATTCGCATCAGCACACACACATTCTGCCATTTCTCCCATCTTAAAAAGTTTTTTGATCCCATATGTACCTCTGGCTGTGCCCCCACGCCTCTGCTCCTCTTAGAATTCAATTCCTCAGTCGAGTTGTATACGTTTCCTTTCTCTGCTTCTTCAATTCTCCTCCCATGCTCCTGGGAGCTGCTGTCATCAGGCAGAAACTCCCCCACTTCCACCTCTCCACCAAAACCCACGTTTTGCAGGGATCTCTGAATTGCTAAATCCAGGGGTCCATTCTCAGTCTCTTTCTTACTTGACCTTTAGTAAGTTGATCTAGTTGGTCACTTCCTTGAATTTTTTTTTTTTTTTTTTGCAGAATATACACTGCTGGTTATCCTCCCACCTCGCTGGCTGTTCCTCTCTCAGTCTTCTTTGTGACTTCTCCTTGTCCTTAACCTGTCAATGCCGAAGCACCTCGAGGTGCAGTGCTCTGATCGCTTCTCTGTCTACACTCATTTCCTGGGTGGTCTCCTCCAGTCCCATGGCTTTTAATCCCCTGTGCATGCCGGCCGGCGCCTTCAAAATGTACCCCTCCAGCCCCGCGGCCTACCCTGATCTCCCGACTACTGCCGTGCTACCTGGATGTCTAATAGGCACCTTGAACCTGATACATCAGATGGTAAATCTCGATCTTTCCCATTCAAAGCTGCTCTTCCACAACCTTCCTCCTATCAATTGATTGCAACTCCACCCTTTCCCGTCCCGGCCTGAAAACCTCAGGGTCATTCCTGACTCCTCTCTTTTCTCACATACACACATCTGATCTCTCGGTGAACGCTGTCGGTTCTGTTTTCAGAACGTGCCTGTCATTCAGGATCTGGCCACTTCTTACCATGGTCTTGGCTGCCCGGGGCCATGCAACTCCATGACCTTCTGGCTCTTTGCTTCTGCCCTTGGTCCTCGGCCGTCCAGTCTGCTTTACAGAGTAACCACTGTAAAGCTGTGAAACCCTAAATCAGACATGTTGCTGCTCTCGTGAAAGCCCTGGGAAGAGTCCTTTTTCACTCAGAGCAAAAGCCAGCTCATTTCCGACAGCTGTCAGGCTTTACGGGACCTGCTCCTGGCCCTCCTCTTCGTGTGTCCCGGCTTCTCTCACTCTCTCTTCCCTCTCTCTCTTTCCTTTGGCAATATTGGCCTTCCTAAAATTCGACAAGCATGCCAGGTGGACTCCCAGCTCAGGCCTTTGCTCTCGCTGCATCCTCTGACCTCCTCCCAGCCTCGCTATGGCCACACTCTGTTCCGCCAGGCCTTCTCTCCTAGCTCACTGTCTCTGGGAGGCTTTCCCTGCGAGGTTCTAACTTGTCCGGTCTCTCCCCTCTTTCTCTGCTCTCTGCTCTTCCTCCTTGCCTTCCTCCACGTGTCATCCTCTGACCTGATGTGTCATGATTTGCTTATTACTGGGCTCCCCTCCTGCACTGTGAGCTCCATGAAGGCAGGGGTTTGGTCATTGTGTGTGTTTGTATTCCTGGTGTCTTAGAAGGTCTCCTAAGAGGAGGAGCGCCGGTTGAGTGCCTGTGGGCCAAGTCATGGAGGTCCACTGAGGAGGGCTCGCTCCGTCTGTCTCAGTGGAGGGCGCTAGATGTGCAGTGGGGTTCTTGGTGGGAAAAGAGGATTCATGAGAATCTCAGTCCTGCCTCCTCCAGAATGGTCTCGCTGGCCGTCTAGTCCACTGTCGCTCTCTCTTCTTTACCAGGACTTTCCAGGTCCTTACTGTCTCAACCCAGTGCCAGGGACTGAGTATCTAATTCTCCACATTGCTATGTCTCTCTCTCTCTCCCTCTCCCTCTCCGTCTCTGTGTCTGTGTGTGTGTGTGTGTGTGTGTGTGTGTGTGTGTGTGTCGGTTGGGGGTGTCTCTATGCTGGAATCATTAGCTTTTCTGGGGCACACATGTGATCTCCTGTATCTTTCTGGCCTATGTTCATGACATCTAGTGCAGGGCTCCATAGGAAGCGGGCAGCGGAACATATTTGGTTGAACTAACAAAGGAATGATTGACGGTAGAGTGGAGTGCTAGGAGCCACTTGAATACGACAGAGCTTAAGGTGCCATCTGGAGGCTCTTCTCTTTGGACAGTTTCTGAGTGGCTTCTGTCCTTTGTCATCTCCTTAGGAGACGAACAAGAAGACAGTCCATGCAAAATATTGCAGCAGGTTTGTCCATGCTCCCTGGAAGGATGGGAGCTTGGTCCACGTCAACATTACCAAAGAGAAGTGCAAGTGGTACAGTGAGAGAATCCACACAGCCCTGGCCCGGATCCGAAGGAGGTTGGTGTTATTTGCAGGAAGTTACAAGTGGTCTCCTCGCTCTGGACATTCTCATCTGCTTGATCTTTTTTCCTCCCTTTTATTTTTAGTTGACACATAATGATTGTACCTATTTATGTGATACAGAGTGATATTTAGGTGTGTGTATACAATGTACAAAGATCAAATCAGGGTAACTCACATATCCATCACCTCAAACACACGTCGTTTCTGTATGTTGTGAACATTCAAAATTCTCTCATTTAGCTTTTTAAAAATATACATAAATTATAGCTGACCATATTGACCCTCCAGAGCTGCAGAATACCAGAGCTTGTTCCTCCTATCTAGCTAAACTTTTGTATTCGCTAACCAACCTCCCTATCCTCTCTCCCTACCTTTCTCAGTCTCTAATACAGTTCTACTCACTACCTCTATCTGCTCAGATATTTTTAGCTCCCACATATGAATGAGAACATGTGGTATTTATCTTTCTGTGTCTGACTTAATTTGCTTAACATAATGTCCTGTAGGCTCATCCATGCTGCTGCGAATGACAGAATTTTATTCTTTTGTATGGTTTAGTAGTACTCCATGGTGTATATATACCAGTAAAAGCTCAACTGAGACAAAGGGCCAACAAAACATTGTTAAGTCAAGGTTGCCATCTGATGGTTTGCTGATAGCCTTGTTAAAAAAAAGGTGGGGGTTGTTTGGATTCAGATCCCAGCTGCCTTGATGCCAGTGCAGTTTATTGAAAACAGCAAGCCAACGTGTGGCTATCACACTGGTCACACCTTGTGGTAGGAGGCTAAGGAATGCTTCTGTTTCATACCTCACATTCTTTTCTAGGCCACACGTGTATTGCCCAATGTGTTATACCTTTCTTCTGTACTCTTTAGCTGCCTCTCACAGATTTTGATATATTGTATTTCATTTTCAATCATTTCAGAATATTTTCTAATTTTCCCCATCATTTCTTCTTTGACTAAAGGGTTATTTAGAAATGTGCTGTTTAGGCTGGGCGCAGTGATTCACGCCTGTAATCCCAGCACCTTGGGAGGCCAAGGGGGTGGATCATGAGGTCAGGAGTTCGAGACCAGCCTGGCCAACATAGTGAAACCCTGTCTCTACTAAAGATTCAAAAAATTAGCTAGGCATGGTGGCGGGCACCTGTAGTCCCAGCCGTTCGGGAGGCTGAGGCAGGAGAATCGCTTGAACCCGGGAGGCGGAGCTTGCAGATCGCACTACTGCACTCCAGCCTAGGTGACAGTGCGATTGTGTTGTTTACTTCCCAAATATTTGTGGATTTTCCTGATAGCTTTTGTTACTGATTTCTGTTTTAATTTCACTGTAAACAGAGAAATACTGTGTGATTCAATTCTTATAATTTTATTGGGACCTGTTTTGTAGTACAGATTTTGGAAAAAAAAAATATGGTTTTGTTGGGTGGAGTATACTACAGGTATCAATTAGCTCAAGTTGGTTGAGAGTGTCATTCAAGTCTTTCATATTATTACTGATTTTCTCTAGTTGTTCTATAAATTATTGAGAAAAGAGTGTTGAAATCTCCAACTGTAGTCTTTAATTCTCATTTCAGTTCTGTTTTTTCTTCATGTATTTTGAGGCTCTATTAATAGTTGCATGTACATTTAAGATTGTTATGTTCTCTCGATGAACCAACTTTTTTGTAATTATGAAATGTCCCTTTTATATGTCTGGTAATATTCCTTGCTCTGAAATTTACTTTGATAGCAGTTTAACCGCCCTACATTATTTTTATTATTCTTTTTTTCTATCATTTCATCTTTACTTGTCTGCATCCTGTATTTAAATGGATTTCTTACAGACACAAGATATATAATTATATATGAGCATTGTTTTATTAATCCAACCTAACAATCTTTGGCTTTTAATTGGAGTGTTAAAATCATTTACATTTAATGTGATTATTGATTTGATTGGATTTAAATCTAAGATTTTGCTATTTGTTTTCTGTTCCCTTTTTACTGGTTTTTTGCCTTCTTTTGTTTGAGTATTTTTTATTATTACATTTTATCTCCACTATTGTCTTATTAGCTCTACCTCTTTGTTGTGTTTTGATGTGTGTGTGTGGCTATTTAGGATTTACAATATTTATCTTATCAGTCACCCTACAAATAATATTATATCACTTCATGTATATTACAGGAATCTTACAACTTTCACTCCCACTTACGCCCTTTCTATTGTTGTGCACTTCTGTGCATGCATTACACAATACATTCTAAACAGTCAATTGTCTTGTAACTAGATTAGAAACTAGAGTAGATGTATTTTATATTTAACCACATACTTGATATCTCTGTTGCTTTTTATTCCTTTGTATGCATCCACATTTCCATTTGGTATCATTTTTTTTCCACCTGAAGAAGTTTCATTCATATTTCTGGTAGTGCAGGTCTATTGGTGATGAATGAGCTGTTTCAGTCTGAAAAACTCTTTAATTTACCTTTATTTTCGAATGATGTGTTGGCTAAGCATAGAATTCTGGTTTTACAGTTCTGTCTTTCAGTACTTTGAAAATCCTTCTCCATTGTCTCCTGGTTTGCATGATTTATGATAAGAAGTCTCCTGTCATATTTTTGTTTGCTCCTCTACACATAATGACTTTGATGCTTTTTAAAATTTCTCTGTTTCTAGATTTTATCAATTTTATTGTGATATACCTGGGTGTAGTTTTCTTTATTTTTCTTCTTCTTGGGTTCTTTGAGCTTCTTGGATCTGTAGGTGCACTGTTTCAATCAAAATTAAAACATTGTGGTCATATTTTCTCAAATATTTTTTCTGCCTCCCCCTCTCTTCTCCTTCTTCTACTTTGATTACACATATGTTAGACTCCTTGATATTGTTCCATGGGCCACTAATTATCTCTGATGAAAATGCTTTTGTCTTTTTTCTCTCTGAGTTAACTTTAAATTGTTTCCTTTGCTTTGTCTTTTGTTCCCTAATCTTTTCTTCTCCTAATGTCTAATGTACTATTAATACCATGCAGTGTATTTTAAATTTCAGATATTGTATCTCTCTACAAGTTTTATTTGGGTCTATTTAAATATCTTCCATTTCTCTCCTCATTCTGTTTATACTTTACCTTTTTGACCATATGGGTTATATTTGCAATAGCTGTGTAACATCCTTTTCCACTAATTCTATCATCTGTGTCATTTTGGGATCTGTTTCTGTTGATCAGTTTTTCTTCTGGTTTGGATCGTATTTTCCTGCTTCTTTGTATGCCTGGTAATTTTTTACTGGATGCCAGGCATTTTAACTTTACATTATCAGGTACTAGATTTCATTGTATTTTTATATATGTTCTTGATACAGTCAAGTTACTTGAAACCAGTTTGATCTCTCTAGGAATTGCTTTTCAGTTATGTTAGAATAGATCTAGGGTCGCCTTTAGCCCAGGGCTAATTTGGTCCTGCTACCGAGGCAATACTCTTTCAAGAACGCTACTTGTTGCCCCATATATTAAGGAGATTTTCCTACTCTGGCTGGTAGATGAACTACTCCTAGCCATGTGTGAGCCCTGAGGGGTTGATCAGCCTACTCCTTTGGTGATTTCTTCCTTGGCTTCAGTAGTTTCTTCACATGCATGCCTTGATCATTATTTAGCCAAAATTTCGAGGACACCCTTCTGCAGATCTCTGGAGCATGCTCTCTCTCCCTTTCTCCTGTGCAGTAGTGTCCTTTCAATATTTTGCCATTCAAATTTTAGTTTCTTAGGCTTTGCTGAACTCTGAGCTCAATTCAAATATTTTTTCCATACTCTTTCCTTACCTCCACCCCCCAGGCTTTGCTTGCAGCTACGAATTTCATTTATTTATATCCTGTGATGGGAACCTGATCATGGACCACAGACGCAGTCCTTCTCACACAGCCACCAGGGCCTTGGTTATTACAGAGCTCTGGGGCTGCTTGATGCTGTCCATAAGTTTCATTGAAGCTTCAGGAATGTGCTGGCTTCACTAGCTTGACGGCAGTCAGCCAGATTAGAAGAACAAATAGTCTGAAATCATAGCTGAGGTCCTCAAAATATCAGATGACTAGAAGTAATTTATTTTTGACTTTGGCACCTTTCATGTGCGTCCGTGTGAAGAGACCACCAAACAGGCTTTGTGTGAGCAATAAAGCTTTTAATCACCTGGGTGCAGGCGGGCTGAGTCTGAAAAGAGAGTCAGCAAAGGGAGATAAGGTTGGGGGCGTTTTATAGGATTTGGGTAGATAAAGGAAAATTACAGTCAAAGGGGGTTGTTCTCTGGCGGGCAGAGTGGGGGTCACAAGGTGCTCAGTAGGGGAGCTTTTGAGCCAGGATGAGCCAGGAGAAGAAATTTCACAAGACAACGTCATCAGTTAAGGCAGGAACAGGCCATTTTCACTTCTTTTGTGGTGGAATGTCATCAGTTAAGGCAGGAACCAGCCATCTGGATGTGTATGTGTAGGTCACAGGGGATATGATGGCTTAGCTTGGGCCCAGAGGCCTGACAGCACCCACAATGGATTTATTTTTCTGTCATACTGATTTTCTTAGTTTTGTTTTACTTGGCTTGATGGTGGGTAGTGCATCCTACAGCCCAAATGTAGGATTTTCTACAGAAAAACCTCAAAGCGAATGATCTACTCACAGAAGATTGGGTATAAACAACATAGCGCAGCTCTGTCCTCTGCAGATGCATCGTTAAGTTCTTGGGAAGATGCTCTTGTTGCCTGCAGGCTCTCACCATTCACTTTCAACCTACTTCCTGCCTAGGATTAAATGGCTACAGGATGGGAGTCAAAGCCTCTTTGGAAGATTGCATAATGATTGCATCTACATTCTCATTGACACGTCTCACTCAATGAAGAGCAAACTGGACTTGGTGAAGGACAAGATCATTCAGTTCATACAGGTTAGATGGAACTGTCGGTTCATGCATTTGGGGCTTTGTGTATCAGATGGTTATGAGCAGTGGATAGGGGCTTGTTGCTCTAAAAAATTCCTAAGAAAGCCAAATTCAGAGAAGTACTCCCTTTTGTTAGTTAAAGAATCATCAGTTCTCTTTTGCAAATAGACCCTTTCTCTGGTGGATTCTTTCTGTCACACATGAGTTGCTTAAGGGAGTTGCTATGTTCATTGTTTCAGATTTTCTCTGTCCTGAAATCTTTGGTATACACACACTTCCATTGTCTTCCAGAAACTCCTCATCTTAGCATTTTTAATTTCAAATGTTTATTGGGGATGCTGTGTACCCTGGTGCATGGGAGGCGTGCAGGCTGGTGTTTAGAAGCTCCCAGTTCTTATTCTGCCTGTGCTGCCTCTGAGCTGTGTGAACTGAAGCAGGTTGCCCAAGTGCCCTAAATCCTAGTGTCCACACCTGTCAAATGACATCACAGTAATGTGAGTTTGTAGTATTGATGTATTATTAACCATAGAAATAATAGCGGGGAGTGTTTGAGAAATACAAAATGCACTTTTTTTTTTTTTTTGAGATGGAGTCTCACTGTGTCGTCCAGTCTGGAGTGCAGTGGTGCCAACCCGGCTCACTGCAAGCTCCGCCTCCCGGGTTCACGCCATTCTCCTGTCTCCCAAGTAGCTGGGACTACAGGCGCCTGCCACCACGCCCGGCTAATTTTTGTATTTTTAGTAGAGACGGGGTTTCACCGTGTTAGCCAAGATGGTCTCGATCTCCTGACCTCGTGATCCGCCCGCCTCGGCCTCCCAAAGTGCTGGGACTACAGGCGTGAGCCACCGTGCCCAGCCAAAATGCACTTTTTAATTTAACAAAGCTCTACTGGAGAAATATGAACAAGTGTATAAAGTTGTAACTGAATAATGGCTTTACCTAAAAGAGAATGACTGAAATGATGTTGTTTTAGATTTCTTTTCTTCCAGCATATTGTATTTGGTGTGCTTATTTGGTATATCCTTAATGTTAGTATTAAAATCAATATTTAATGTCACATTATATATATAAACTTTTACATATACGTGACATATATAATGTATATTCATATAATCATATATACATTTGTAAAGGTCTTAACACACAAACTGGATAAATTTTATTTAAATATCCTTTATACTAGATAGGATATTCTCTATTGAATATAATTTTTTGCTTCTTGAACTGAAAATAGAGACCATCATGATTAAAATATATCAAACTGTGGCCTACCCAAACCCTTTCTAACATCTGAGTGGTTTTATGGTTAAATAATCATTGTCTCTTTTAGGAACAGCTGAAATATAAAAGTAAGTTTAACTTTGTGAAGTTTGATGGTCAAGCAGTTGCTTGGCGGGAACAACTTGCTGAAGTCAATGAAGATAATTTGGAACAGGCTCAGTCCTGGATTAGAGACATAAAGGTAAGTTGGAGACTAAGCTGGGAGAAGCATCCTAGGAGTCTCTCACCTGTGTACTGAGTTCATTCACAGGACAGACATTCCTGAGAGGTGTTTTGCACTCTCAGGATGGAAGTGGCTTAACATGTAGACTTTTGTTTTGCTTGCAGTGGTCACGTTAATCCAATCTCATTTTGTCAATATCATAAGGTTTAGATGAGCCTCTTATTCTTATCTACTCACAGTTCTCTATTTCCAGCTCTGCCCTTGGCTCAGGTTGAAGCCCCCTTATGAAAACACATTTCAAAACAGAGTTTTTTTTTTGTACTCAGACATTCAGATTTTTTTCTTCTGAAATTTCATTATTGTTGCAAACGGTATATTGCAGCCATTCTTATCAATGGGCTTTGTTCAAAAGTAAGGAGCATGTGGAAATACACAGTACAATCTGAGTGTTTAGGACTGAATGCAAGAAGAGAGCTAGGGCAGGAGAATGTAGTAAGAAGGTGAAATCATTTCCTCAGAAGTGACTGCCCTTGGCATTTACACAGACTCCTGGGAAGGATTTTCCTTGCCCTAAATTTTCTTATCTTGAGCTTATCTTAATTTTTTATAGCATATAGCATTGCGAACTTCCAAATATTTGAGATATACTACAATTGAGACCAAGAGTTGTTCTTAAAAAGTCAAATATAGGAGCTGGACATCGTGGTGCACACCTGTAGTCCCAGCTCCTTGGGAGGCTGAGGTAGGAGGATCGTTTGAGCCCAGCAACTTGAGACCAGCCTGGGCAACAGAGCAAGTCTCCGTATCTTTTCTTAAAAAGGCAAATATGTATCAGAAACATCTTTAAAGTAGTTTAGTGTCTAGTTTAGAGTCTTAGATTTGACAGAAAGTCACAAATAGACATTAGCAGATCATTGAGATGCACCAGGGCTCCCTTGTGACTTGTTTTTAAAACTGGGAGGCGAAAATCTGTTCTATAAGAAATAATAATGCCTGTAAGATTTTAATTTAACTGGGCACCTTATCCTGGGAAATAGTGTTGAATTCATACCCAACTTGTTAAATTTCCAGGATTAACCAATGAAGTTACTTGTGACATACGTTCTGTCCTTTTTTTTTTCTGTCCTTTTATGACACAATAATAGGAAATACCTTGTTAACTCAGAGCCTACTAATTTAGGGTTTATGATAACAAGATATTATATATATAATCTCATTGCATAAAAACATCATTGGGTTCTGCTTTATATAAAAATCACTAATGAATAGAGTCAGCCATCTATTCAGATTTTAGCCATTTGGCTAAAAACACATATTCCTATAAAGCATAATTCTGTTCTCTTTACAAATTTTCACTGATGCTCCCTTGCTGGCTTGTTGAATGTCCAAAATTCATTTTCAAAAGGACCAAGGATAAAGAAAATGTGGCATATATACACAATGGAATACTACACAGCTTAGAAAAGAAGGAAATCCTGTCATTTGCAACCAAATAAATGAACCTGGAGGACATTATATTAAGTAAAATAAACCAGGCAGAGAAAGAAAAAACACCACATGATCTCACTTATATGTAGAATCTAAAAATGTTGAACTCACAGAAGCAGAGAGTAGAATGGTGGTTACCAGAGACTAGGAGCAGGGTGCTGGGTGGGGATGGGGAGATGTTGGTCAAAGGGTACGTAGTTTCAGTTAGACAGGAGGAATAAGTTCTGGAGCTCTATTGTACAACATGGTAACTATAGTTAATAACAATGTATTGTATACTTGAAAATTGTCAAGAGAGTAAATTTTAAGTGTTCTCACCACTCAAAAATATGTCAGGTGACAGATTTGTTAATTAGCTTGGTTTACTCATTCCACAACATATACATATATCAAAACATTACATTGTATACCATATATACAATTTTATTTGTCAATTAAAAGTAAATTAATTTTAAAAAGATAATAAAGAAAGCCAAATTCTATTATTCTTTCGGCTGATTTGGTCCAGTAGTCAACCCGGTAGCACTCAGGGTGGTCTGAGCCTGCTTTGTGCTGTTGTCATGCAGCAGTAGGTCCCCAAACAAGCATAGGCGTTCCTAAGGCCAGGGAGCACAAGCTGTGGCCGCGCCTGCCCAGTAGTTGAGCGGGGGAGATGGAGGGAGCAGGTGCAAAACAGGTGCCACCCCCAGACCATGTTTCCCCGGGCTCTCTCTGTCTGCCTCTTCCCCAGCTTTGCCACCATCTTTTCAGCAGTAGGCTTTTCAACAAAAGACTATTGAGAATGGGCTCAGAGGGAAGAGTTGTTCTGTTTACCATCTGGAATACACATTTCTGCTGCCCAAATCCTGCAAGAGGGTTTTGTTTTGCTTTTAACTTTTAAATTTGCAATAATTTTAGACTTACAAAAAAGTTGCAAAAGTAGTACGGAGCGTTCACATTTACCCTTCACCTAGCTTTCTCCAATGTTCACCTCTAACATAGCCATGGTATAATTATAAAACTAAGACATTCACATGGCTACTATGAGCTAAATTGCAGACTTTATTCAGCCTTCATCAGTTTTCCACTAATGTTCCTTTTATGTTCCAAGATCCAGCCAAGGATCTCACATGACATTTAGTTGCAATGCCTCCTTAGTCTCTTCCAATCTGTGACAGTTCTTCAATCTCGCCTTGTCTTTTGTGACCTTGACACTTTTGAAGAGTACTATTCAGATCTTCTGTAGAATGTCCTTAAGTTTGATTTTGTCTAATGTTTTCTCATTATTAGATTGGGTTATGGATTTGGGGGAGGGAATACTCTTCCCAGTGGATCACCTGAAGGCACACATGATGCTGATATGCTCTATGACCAGCAGTGTTTACTTTGATCATTTGGTTAAGGTGACATCTGCCAGGTTTCTCCTCCAAAAGTTACCATTTTTTTCCCTTTGTAAATAATAAAAGTTTTGGAGGAGGTGCTCTGAAGCTATGCAAATATCATTTGTTCCTTAAGCTTTTGCCCACAATTTTAGCCCTCAATGTGGATCATCCTTACAACAATTATTACTGAGCTGAGGTGATTTTATATTTCCTCTATTCCTTTTACATTTCTATATTGGAATTATTCTATAAGGAAAAGATTTCCCTTTCCCCCTTTTACTTATTCATTTATATATTTATTTCAATGTGGACTCATGGAAATTTATTTTATTCTTGGAGTTATAATCTAATACTATCATTATTTATTTTGTTACTTTGGCCATTGGGAATTCTTTTATGCTGCCTCTAAATATTTAAATATGCATCCACCTTTTTTTCCCCCTTTAGCATTTCTTGATTTTCTGTCACTATAAGATGTTCTATGATCATCTTATATTTTCCCAGCCTCAGCCCTGAAATCCACCACTACTCCAAGGAACCTTGGTTTCTTTTGTTACAGAATGGTATTTAGAAACCAAGATCTGGACACCTGGTTGTGGTTATTGCTACCGGATTGTATCACTGCTTTTACGCCCTCTCAGTGGACAGAGATAGAAATATATATACATAGAAAATATCTATATTATATATTGATATATATGATAATATCTATTAAATGTATATTTCTATAGCTACTCCATGTATCCATAAACATCTATATTTATTTATCTGTATATCAGTCTGTATTTATATTAAATAAGCAAACAAATCATGCGTTCATACTGATACCTCTAATTCCAACACAGAGCCCAGGGTTCATTTGTAATGAACTTATTTGCAACTTCTTCAACAAGGAGAAACCTGATTCTCATTACCTATAACATATTTACTTATATTTTCAACCCTACTGTACATATAGTTTCGATATTGCTAGTTCATACTCTACAAGAAACAAATTTATCAGCTATAGTGTTTGTATACAGCTTTTTTTTTCTGCTTTAACTTTACAGTATCCATTCAAAAAACTGTCTTCCAAAGCTGTGAAGTCAGGTAACTTTCTTACCCAATCTCTTTAGCGTGCTTATGTCATTCATTAGTGACACAGTTAGACTCATTGGTTACAGTCTGCATTTCACCTTGGTTTCCTCCACATCCTAGTTGAATCTTATTTTAATTTGCATGCAGTAAAAAAAAAAACACTCTTTTTGGTGATAGTTCATGGATTTTGATAAATGCATAGAGTCATGTATCTCCACCACAGTACCAAAGGGACCAATTCTATCACTCCCAAAATGTCCTCATATGCCCCTTTGTCACCAACTCCCCCTCCCTCCTGGTAAACACTGCTCTGTTTCTCTGTCCTTATAGCTTTTCCTTTTCCAGAATGTCATATAAACAAAATCATACAATAGAACTTTTGGGTTCTAGCTTCTTTCACTTACCAAAATAACACTTGACCCCTGCCTGTAATCCCAGCACTTTGGGAGGCCGAGGCAGGCGGATCATGAGGTCAGGAGATCAAGACCATCCTGGCTAACATGGTGAAACCCCGTCTCTACTAAAAATACAAAAAAATTAGCCAGGTGTGGTGGTGTGCGCCTGTAGTACCAGCTACTCGGGAGGCTGAGGCAGGAGAATGGCGTGAATCCAGGAGGCAGAGCTTCCAGTGAGCCGAGATGGCGCCACTGCACTCCATCCTGGGCGACAGCGCGAGACTCCGTCTCAAAAAAAAAAAAAAATTGAGTTTCTGGATATAAGAACTTTGTCAGTTCTTATAAGTTCGTCCAACTTATTTCATGAATCAAGAGTTTATTCCCTTTTATTGATAAGTAGTGTTTTTATTAATGAGTAGTGCTTTATTGATGAGTATGGAAGCAAAACTGTTTACCCATTCCTTGTTGAAGGCTATCTGTGTTATTTCCTGTTTTGGGTTTTATACATAAAGCTGCAGTAAACATTTGCCTACAGATTTTTGTGTGAAAAGGTGTTGAGAACTGTGAAGGGCCTGAGATTTTACCTTTCTTGCAAACTAATGTGGATGCCGGCAGAACACCAAGGCTTTTGGGTCAGAGACAAATGACTTTATTACCCACAGCAAAAGCAGTAACCAGAGCATCAGCATTTTCTTGTACTAGCTCCCTGAGCCCCAATTTCCGCAGGGTGAAACAATGAGGACCAGGCGACTCTTGCTCATGCATTAGGTTGTGTTAAAGGAGGGGGCCCTGAACTTAAGAAAACCAAATCTTCTATAATGGACTGTGAGCATGCTGGTCCTTCGCTCCAGAGTTAGGTATTATCTTTATATTGGACAATAAGCATGCCTACTCTTTGCTTTGAAGACAGACAGTATTTCTGTTTTCCAAGGCTGTTCCCTATATATACATCTTGAAAAGATAAACCAGAGCAGACAGCACGTCTGTTGCAAGATATGTAGAAATACATGAGACCCATGGGAAATGGTTTCCAACAATAAGTTTTCACTTCATTTGAATATAAATAAATATCTAGAAGTGAGATTGCTGGCCAGTATGCTAAGTGTATGTTTAACTTTATAAGAAACTGCCAAACTGTTTCCCAATGTGGCTGTACCGTTTTGCATTCCCGTCAGTGATATATGAGAGTTACCATTACTTTACATCTTCTCCAGCTTTTGATGTTGTCAGGTTGTTTTATTTTAGACATTCTAATATGGCTGAAAGATGTCTCGTAGTATCCTATTGTACTTTTAATTGCATTTACTTAACACTCGTCTTTTCATGCTTATTAGGCATCTGTATGTATGTCTTCTTTGGTGAAATATCTGTTCAGATATTTTGCCCATTTTTTAATTGAGTTGTTTGTTTTCTTAAGATTGAGTTTCTTCAGGCTGGGCGCGGATATGGATAATAGCTGGAGTCAGGCCAGGCACGGTGGCTCACGCCTGTAATCCCAGCACTTTGTGAGGCCGAGGCAGGCAGATCATGAGGTCAGGAGTTCAAGACCAGCCTGGCCAACATGGTGAAACCCCGTCTCTACTAAAACTACAAAAAATAAGCCAGGCGTGGTGGCAGGTGCCTATAGTCCCAGCTACTCAGGAGGCTGAGGCAAGAGAATGGCATGAACCCAGGAGGCTGGAGATTGCAGTGAGCTGAGACGACGCCACTGCACTCCAGCCTAGGTGATACAGCAAGACTCCATCTCAAAAAAAAAAAAAAAAAAAGACTGACTTTCTTCATGTATTCTGCACATAAACTTTATCAGACTTACAATTTGCAAGTATTTTCTCCCAATCTATGGCTTTTCATTCCCTTAATAGGGTTTTTCACTGTGTATAAGTTTTTAATTTTGATAAAGTCGAAGTTGCCAAGTTTTCTTTACGGATTGTGCTTTTAGACCCATAGCTAAACACATTGCAGTCATGCAGGTTTTCTCATGTTTTCATCCTCAAATGTAATGGTTTTACATTCTGTGTTTAAGAATAGGGTTCATTTTGAGTTCATTTTTGTATAAGGTGTGAGGCAGGATCCAGCACTGTTTGTCTAAGTAACTATTCCTCTCTCCGTGGAATTACTATTGCTTCTTGTCAAAAATCATTTGACTATATCCGTGTGGGTCTATTTTTGTTTCATTGAACTATTAATAGGTGTCTGTTCTTTCACCAACATCACATTGTCTTTATTATTGTGACTTTACACTGAGTCTTGAAATCAGCCAACCTGAATCCTCTAGCTTTGTATTTCCTTCCAAATTTTTTTGGCTGTTATATAGTTCCTTTGACCTGCCTTGTACATTTCAGAATCAGTTGTTGAAATCTACAAAACAGTACACTAGGATTTTGATTAAGATTCCCTTAAGTCTATAGATCAGATTCAAGAGAATTGACGTCTAACACTGTGTACCTCTAAATTTATTTGGGTCTTTTTTGTTACTATTGTAAATAGTACTTTTTAAATTATAAATTTTAATTCTTTATTACAATTGATTTTTGTATACTGACCTTATTTCTTTTGACCTTGCTAATCTTACTTACCTGCTCTAGGAACTTTGTTGTAGATTACTTGGGATTTCCAATGATGTCATGTATGAATAGAGATGATTTTATTTTTTCCTATCCAACCCGTATAGTGTTTATTTCTTTCTCTTGCCTTAATGCACTGGCTAAGACTTTCAGTATGATGTTTAACAGGAGTGGTGAGAGAGAACATACTTGCCTTGGTCCTGATATTAGAGGGGAAACATTCAATCTTTCACTATTAAATACTTTGCTAGCTGTGAGGTTTTTTGTTTTTTTTGTAGATGTGCTTTATCTTGTTAACCAATTTCCCTTCTATTCTTGGTTTTTTGAGGATTGTTACCATAAACAAATATTGGATTTTGTAAATGTGTTTTCTGCATCTGTTGAGCTTTTGATTTTGATGAAGCCAAGTTGCCAAGTTGTACTTGGCAGATCTGTTGTCTGTTAATATGGTGCACTACGTTGATTTGTTTTTGAATATTAAATTGGCTTTGCATTCTGGGATAATCTCCACTTGTTCAAGATGTATTATAGATTGAATATATTCTGCATTAAATTTGTTAACCTATCTTGTTGAGGTTTTTTTGTCTATATTCATGAGGAATATTGGTTTGCAGATTCTTTTCTTAGAAATTGTTGTCTAATTTTGGTATCAGGAAATGCTGACCTCATAATATGGGTTAGAAAATATTCCATATTCTTTTTTTCTAAAAAAGGTTGTACAGAATTGATATGATTTTTCCTTAACTGTTTGGTAGAATTTACCAATGAAACCATCTGGGCCTCTTTTTTTGTTAGAAGTTTTAAAACTATGAATTCAATTTCTTTAACAGATTTAGGACTATTCAGATTATCTGTACCTCTGTGAGTTAGTTTTGGTCATTTGTTTCTTAGAAGGAAGCAGCCCATTTCTTCCATAGGGTTGAATTTATGAGCATAGAATTGCTCACAGCATTCCCTTATCATTTCCTTAATGTTTGTGGGATCTGTAGTGATGTTTGATATTGGTAATTTTTGTCTACTGCCTTTTTTTCTTGGTTAGTTTGAAGAGCTTTTTTTATTTTTCTTTTAATTTTGTTAATTTTTTCAAGAAACCAACTTTTTGTTTCTTTGATTTTCTAATTTTTAACAAATGTTTTAAATTGTGTTGATTCCTGCTATCTTTATTATTTTTCTCCTCCTACTTGCTTTGTTTTTTTAAATTAAATCTCCATTTCTTAGATCTAAGAATTTAATGATATAAATGCCACCCCCAGCTACTGCTTTAGCTGTTCCCACAAATTACGTTTTATAACTATTTTTGTTCAGTTCGAGATGTCATTTCTAAAGACTTGGCCTAATCTTAGATCCTGAAGATGTTTTCCCCGTGTCCTTTTTTCTAGAAGTTTTATAATTTTGTTTGACATTTAAGTCTATGATCTGTTTGGAATTAACGTTTGCATAAGGTGTGAGATCTAGGTTGAGGTTTATTTATTTATTTATTTATTTATTTTGAGATGGAGTTTCGCTCTTGTCGCCCAGGCTGGACTGCAGTGGCATGATCTCGGCTCACTGCAACCTCCACCTCCCAGGTTCAAGCGATTCTCCTGCCTCAGCCTCCAGAGTAGCTAGGCCTACAGGCATGTACCACCATGCCTGGCTAATTTTTGTGTTTTTAGTAGAGACGGGGTTTCTCCATGTTGGCCAGGATGTTCTCGATTTCCTGACTTTGTGATCTGCCCGCCTTGGCCTCCCAAAGTGCTGGGATTACAGGCGTGAGCCACCACACCCGGCCGGTTTATTTATTTTTCGCCTATGAATGTGCAATTCTTGTGACACCATTTATTGAAAAGGCTATTCCTCCTCTATTGAATTGTTTTTGCTCATTTGCCAAAAATCAGTTGAATATGTCTGCAGGTCTTTGTATGGGTTCCCTGTTCTGTTCTATTGTTATATGTGTTAATGTCTCCATTAGGACCACACTTTCTTGATAGCTATAGCTGTATAGTGAGCTTTAAGATCAAGAACAGCTACTCCTACTTTACATTTCTTTTTTTGAATTGTTTTGGCTATTCTTGGGCCTTTATTTTCCATACAAAAATTGAAAACAAACTTCTTTATGCCTATTGAAAACCTTGCTGACATTTGGATAGAAATTGCATTAAACCTATAGATCTAATTAGGAAGAATTGGCATCTTTATTGTGTTAATTCATCTATTCCATGAATACAGTATGTCTCTCTGAGTATTTAGGTCTTTGATTTATTTCATCAGAATTTTATAATTTCAGCATGCAGCTCTTGTACCTGTTTAAGTATATACTAAGTATTGTAATTTTTTGGAGCAATTGTAAGTGGTATTGCACTTTTTATTTTGGTTTTCACCTATTTGTTGTCAGTGTGTAGAAACGCAGTTGGTTTTCATGTGTGGACTTTGCATCTTTTGACCTTAGTAGGCTTACGTACTATTTCGCTTTTTGTTTTTTGTGTATGGTAAGCCCTCCATATCTGCAAGTTCTGTGTCTGTGGATTCAACCAACTATGGATTGAAAATATTTGGGAAAAATAAATGGTAAAAATCATAACAATACAACAATAAAATATAATACAAAACTTAAAAGATATAACAACTACTTATGTAGAATTTACATTTTGTTAGATATCATAGGTAATCTGGAGATTATTTAAAGTATACATGAGGATTGTATAGGTTATGTGCAAATACTATGCCATTTTATACGATACTTGAGCATCCTCAGATTTTGGTGTCCATGGGGTTGGGAGTGGATCCTGGAACCAGTCCCCCACAGATACTAAGGGACAACTGTAGTTCTCAGGATTTTCTATGTAGATAATTGGGTAGTCTGCAAATAGACAGTAGTATTTGTTTGTTTGTTTTTTCCAACCTCTATGACTTATTCCTTTGCCTTATTGCAGCGGATAGAACTTCCAGTACTACATTGAATAGGTATGTTGAGAGCAGACATACTTGCCTTTTTCCCAATCATAAAGGGCAAGAATTCAGTCTTCTCCCATTAAGTATGATGTTAGCTGCAAGCTTTTTGTACATGCTCTTTATGAGATTGAGAAAGTTTCATTCTATTCCTAATGTACTGAATTTTTATACTGAATGAAGGTTGCATTTGCCAAATCCTTTTCTGTGCAAATTGATATGCTCATATGATTTTTTTTCCAAATTTTGAACCAACTCTGAATACATAGAATGCCACTTGGTCATGATGTATTATTCATTTTATACTTTGTTGGATTAAATTTGCTAATATTTGTTGAGAACTTTTGTGTCCAGGTTCATGAGAGATGTTGGTCTGTAGGCTTTTTGTGTGTGTGCTGTCTTTGTCTGCTTTGCGTATCAGTGTAATACTGGCCTCATAGAGTGAGTTGGGAAGTATTCCCTCCCCTTCTATCTTCTGGAGTGGATTGTGTAAAACTTGTGTTAATTCTCCTTTGAATGTTTGATAAAATTCTCTAGTGCGGCCAGGCACGGTAGGTCACATCTGTAATCCCAGCACTTTGGGAGGCCAAGGCAGGCAGGATCACCTGAAGTCAGGAGTTCAAGACCAGCCAGGCCAACATGGGAAAACCCCGTCTCTACTTAACATACAAAAACTAGCCGGGCATGGTGACAGATGCCTGTAATCCCAGCTACTTGGGAGGCTGGGGCAGGAGAATCACTTGAACCCAGAAGCAGAGGCTGCAGTGAGCTGAGATGGCGTCACTGCACTCCAGCCTGGGTGACAGAGAGAGACTCTGCCTCAATAAATAAATAAATTAATGAATTAATTCTCTAGTGCAACCATATGGACACAGATACTTCTTTTCAGGGGCTTTTTAATTACAAATTCAATTTCTTTAATAACCATAGAACTATTCAGGTTGTCAGTTTCATCTTGGTAGAGTTTTGGTAGTTTGTGGTTTTTGAAAAAGTGTTCATTTTTTTCTAAACTGTAGAATTTATGAGCATAAAGTTTTTCATAATATTCTCTTATTGTCCTGTCAGTGACTGCAAGAGATGTTGTAATAGGCCCTGTTTTGTACTTGATGTTGGTAATATGTGTCTTTTTACCTTGCAAATCTTGCTAGAAGTTTGTCAATTTTATTGATTCTTTTTAACAACCAGCCTTTTGTTTTATCAATTTTCTCTATTGTTTTACTATTTGAATTTTATTAATTTCTGTTCTTTATTATTTACTTCTTTCTGCCTGCTTTGAGTTTATTTTGCTCTTGAGTTTATTTTTCTAGGTTCTTGAGGTAGGAACATAAATTATAGTTTTGGCATATTTTTATTTTATTGTAAGTAAGCTTTTAGTACCATAAATTTTCCTGCCAGAATTATGTTGGTACATCCCACAAATTTTAAACAAAACAGCTTAATTTTCATTCAGTACTATTTAATTTTTAATTTTCTTTGTGATTTAACTTTTGGGCCATGAATTATTCAAAGCATGTTTTAAAATTTCCAAGTGTTTGTGGAAATTTTCATGTTGTCTTTCTGTTATTAATTTCTATTTTGATTCCACTATAGTCAGAGGGCATACTCTGTATGATTTCAAATCTTTTAAATTTGTTAAATGTTGTTCTGTGACTCAAGATATGGTCTATTTATGCACATTTTCAATGTTTGTTTGAAAAGCATATGCAGTCTTTTGTTGGGTGGAGTATTCTATAAATCTCAATTAGATCTGGTTAGTTGATGGTATTGTTCAATTCCTCTCCGTCCTTGCTGATTGGTTAGTTGTTCTGTCAATCATTAAGAGCGGGATATTGGGCAACACTCAGTCTCCACCCAAACTCTACCATGTTGAGTTCTGTGGGTCATGTCTGCTGCCTCAGCCTCCAGGGCCTTGCAGGAACTCAGCCCGTCAGTGTTGCTACTCCAAGCTCAGGTCTTGCCATGGGCCACTCTGGCAGCAATCCAATCTACCAGGAAATATGGGCACAAACATCACCTTTGCTGAAGACAGGCACCACCACTGGGTGTATTGTGGTGGTCATTGATGCAGTAGTGGATATCCAGTTTGATGAGGGACTACCATCTATTTTAAATGCCCAGCAAGTACAAGGCAGGGAGACCAGGCTGGTTTTTGTGGTGACCCAGCATTTGGGTGAGAGCACAGTAAGGATTATGCTATGAATGGTACAGAAGGCTTGTTTAGAGGCCAGAAAGTCCTGGATTCTGGTGCACCAATCGAAAGTCCTGTTGGTCCTGAGACTTTGAGCAGAATCATGAACATCATTGGAGAGCCTATTGATGAAAGCGGTCCCATCAAAATGAAACAGTTTGCTCCCATTTATGTTGAGGCTCCTGAGTTCATGGAAATTAGCGTTGAGCAAGAAATTCTGGTGGCTAGTATCAAAGTTGTGGATTTCCTCACTCCCTAGCCAAGAGTGGCAAAATTGGGCTTTTTAGTGGTGTTGGAGTTGACAAGATTGTACCCATCATGGAGTTAATCAATAATGTTGCCAAAGCCCATGGTGCTTAATCTGGGTTTGCTGGTGTTTTTGAGAGGACCTGTAAGGGCAATGACTTATATTATGAAATGACTGAGTCTGGTGTTGTCAACTTAAAAAATGTTACCTCCAAGGTAATGCTGATGTAAGGTCAGATGAATGAACCACATGCTACTCATGCCCAGGTAGCTCTGACTGGACTGACTGTGGCTGAATACTTCAGAGACCAAGAAGTTCAAGATGTACTCCTGTTTATTGATAATATCTTTCACTTCACCCATGCTGGCTCAAGGGTGTCTGCCTTATTGGGCAGAATCCCTTCTGCTGTGGGCTATCAGCCTACCCTGGCCACTGACATGGTGGGTATGATGTGGGGAAAGAATTGCCACTACCAAGAGGAGATCTATCACCTCTGTACAGGCTATGTACCTGCTGATGACTCGACTGCCTCTGCTACTTCCTTTGCTCATTTGGATGCCACCACTGTGCTGCCCCATGCTGTCACTGAGCTGGGCATCTATCTACATGTGGATCCTCTGGACTCCATCTCTCACATCATGGATCCCAACATTGTTGGCAATGAGCATAATGATGTTGCCCGTGGGGTGCAAAAGATTCTGCATGGCTACAAATCCCTCCATACGTTATTGTCATAATCCATATTGGGTATGGATTAACTTTCTGAGGAAGACAAGTTGACTGTGTCTTGAATGTGGATAATACAACGTTTCTTGTCTCAGCCATTCCAGGCTGCTGAGGTCATCACAGGTCATATGGGGAAGTCAGTACTCCTGAAGGAGACCATTAAAGGATTTCAGCAGATTTTGATAGGTGAACATGACCATCTCTCAGAACGGGCCTTCAGTGATGGAACCCATTGAAGAAGGTTTGGCAGAAGCTGATACGCTGGCTGAAGAGCACTTATTGTGAGGGGTCTTTTTGGCAAACTAAGCACTCATCTGCTGTACTGTCCCTCTCCTTCCCCTAATCCAAACAGCTTCAGGTTTCGGTGTAAGCCACATGAGAACCTTGATTGAAAACATGTTCTATCTGAAGAGTATTTAAGGTTTCCAATACAATGTACACCCCTCAGAAAAAAAAGAATGGTGTACTGAAGACCCCAACCATAAGACTCTACCTATTTTATCTATTACAACTCTATTATAAAGTAGATAAAAATAGATTTATCTATTTTTCTTTTCATCTCCATCAAATTTTGCTTCATGTGTTTTGAAGCTCTGTTGTTTGATGTATACACATTTAGGGTCATTGTCTTCTTGGTGGATAGAGAATTTTATCATCCTAATGTCCCTTTTTGTCCTTAGTAAATTTTCTTTGTGTTAAAGTCTACTTTATATAATATTAATATACTTATTTTTGCTTTTTAAAATTAAATATTTGCGTAATACGTTTTTTCCATCCTTTTACCTTTAACCTATCTACGTTGTTATGCCTGAAGTGAGTTTCCTGTAGACAGCATAAATCGGGTCATGTTTTTGTTCACTCTTCAATCTCTGTCATGTAATTGGTATATGTAGGTGATTTATATGTAAAGTAATTATTCATATTTAAGGATTAAGTGTCTCATTTTATTTATTTATTATTTTTGTGTGTCTCCTCTGTTTCTCATTTTTCTCTTTTGTCTTGCCTTCCTATGGGTTATTTGAGCATATTTTGGTGTTTCATTTTGATTTATTTACACTGTTTTTGAGTGTATTGCTTTGTATACTTTTCTTAATAGTTCTATGTATTTCCTTATACATATATGTAACTTATCACAGCCTATTGTGATGTAACTTATCACAGCCTATTGGTGGTTTGCTACTTCAAGTTAAGTGTAGCAACCTTACTTCTATTTAGGTCCCTTTACACTCACCATTTAAAATATATAATTGTCTGAAGTATTTCCTTTGCATGCATTATATGCCATCTTAGATGGTGCTAAACTTTTGCTTCAATCATAAAATGTAACTAAAGAAATCCATGGTGTTAAGGATTATCTATTATGCTTACTTTTATATTTACTCATTCCATTGTTCTTTTTTCTGAAAGTCCAGGCTTTTTTCTTTTCTCGTTCTCTTTCTATATGGAAAGCTTTCATGAATGCTTCTTTAAGGGTAGGTCTCCCTGTAATAAATTCACATAGTTTTCCTTCTCCTTCAACCCTGGAGGATATTTTCCCCAGATAGATGATTCATGGCTGGCAGTTATTTTCTCTCAGCACTTGAAAATGTGGCGCCTCTTCCTCTGGTCTCTATAGTTTCAGATGAGAAACTGCTGTCATTTGAATTGGTGCTCTTTTATAGGTAACGTGTTATTTCTCTTCAGCTTTTTTAGGATTTTTCTTTGTTTTTAGTTTCAGAAATTTAAATACAATGTGTCTTGGTGTGGCTTTCTTTGGTTTTATCCTGTTTGGGATTTGCTTAGCTTCTTGAATTGTAGTTTCTGTATCTTTAACCAAATTTGTTTTTTTGTTTGTTTGTTTGTTTGTTTTTGAGATGGAGTCTTGTACTGTCGCCCAGGCTAGAGTGTGGTGGCGCGATCTCGGCTCACTGCAAGCTCCACCTCCCAGGTTCATGCCATTCTCCTGCCTCAGCCTCCTGAGTAGCTGGGACTACAGGCACCCACCACCACGCCAGGCTAATTTTTTGTATTTTTAGTAGAGACAGTGTTTCACCATGTTAGCCAGGATGCTCTCGATCTCCTGACCTCATGATCTGCTCGCCTCAGCCTCCCAAAGTGCTGGGATTACAGGCGTGAGCCACCGCGCCCAGGCAAAATTTGGGGTTTTTTTCAGTCATTACTTTTTAAATGCTTTTTAAGCCCCATACTCTTTCCCCTCTTTTTTCTGAAACTCTAGTGGTATGAATAGTATTAGCTCTTCCTCATTGTTCCAGAGATTTCTGAGGCTCTGTTGGTATTGGCATCAGTGGGTTGCTTTTCTCATTCGAATGTGATATTTCTGGTTCTTGGTATAATGAGTGATTTTTAAATTATATCTTAGACCATTCGGTTATCATGTTAGAAGACTTTATTTCCACTTATGTCTGTTTATTCGGCGCAGTCGCTGTGTTTGGGTGTAGCATGTTTGCTCTGGCTTACTTCTGTGGGCTTTCGTTCCAGTGGCAGTCTCGTTCCCTGAGCCATCTTGTGCTGCTGGGGCCCCTCAATTCCTGTTTGGTGCTGTCTGCAGGGGTGGAAGGCATGTCCCTGGGCTGCCTGCTGTTGCTGGGTGACCTTCTGGGATGGGGAGCAGACCACAGATTAAAAATACAGGAAATATAAGCCCTTAGCCTAGTAAGTACTCAATAGTTGTTGTTTTATGATTAACATTACTCCCATCGTTTTCCTGGCCCCTCTCCTCCTATGGGCTTTACAGTTATGGAATTACTTGCTGAATCCTGAACAAGAAAGGAGTCTGGAGCGTGCAGCATCCTTCTGTGGTTTCCTGCCTATCCTACTCATCCTTTAAGAGTCTTCCCTGCTGTCTCCCCTAGAAGATGTATTTAGCAACTCACTCAGCTAGAGTAAGATGCATCCTACGCTGGGCATGAACTTTTACAGCTTTTGGCACAGTGTTAGGTCGTCATATTCTAGGCATCCAACACCATCCTATGAACCCCCTTCAAGGCACAGAATTTTGTCTGGTTTTGTAGGTTATGTCTCAGATCTATCAAAATGTCTGGCACGTGGTACTTATGTGCTTACTAAGTATCTATTGAAATGAAAGGGAGTAAAGCTGATGAAGGAGCCTTAGGTGAGAGCAGCTGGATGGGTCAGGTCATGGGGTTCCCCATCATGGCTGAGTCTGAGAAAGTCTTAATGGGAGAGTGCCCATGGTATATGGTGAGGCCTGAGATGCCTTGGGTGGGGTGGGGGCTGGATGTGTTCTGGATCTTTGTCATTCCTTAGGCTGTCAGTCTCTGCTCCCTTCTTATCCTGATTCTTGGGATGGGGGCAGAGTCTGTTCACCTGTGGAAGTTGAAGGGTCTGGCCTCGCTTTAGCTAGGGTGTGGGTAATGTGACCCAGGCACCGTCAGTCAGAATAACCTCCTAGGCTTTGACTTGAGAGATTGTGACTCCAGATGGCAGGTCCAGCAGAGACAAACTTGGCAGTAGTGGCAGATGCACACCGATGCAGCTCCTGGGGTGGCAGTGGCAGTGAGCTCTGGTCCATCTCTTGTCAATACTCCCAGTGCCAGCGAGGAAAGCCACAGCATCCAGCGCTCTGCAGTGGAACTGCAGCGGGGCCCCCACCAGGCAGCCCTGCAGCAGGATTGGGGGTCTCGTTCCTGATGAGAGGTCCCAACCCAGGTTATCCTGTCCATTGGTGATGCTGTGAGCCATCCCAATGTCCTTTATCATAAATTCCTTCCTGTTTGAATCAACCACAGTTGGTTTTCTTGCTTACAACTGAAGCTGGAGTGATACAACGGAACTGAGATGAGGGGGATGTTGAAGGAGGCTTTTGGACAGTTCAAAGTCCTGTATCTCTACTGATGGTCCCTTGGTAAGGATCATTTTTGCATATTAAGGAGAGTACATTCCATAAATTAATATGTATCTAAAAATCCATTCCTTTCTATATTGATGAAGTATTCAAGAGATTTTCTAAGTGTTTACTACGATTTGAGAGATTGCTAAAAACAGAACTTGTCAGGTAATGTTAGATATGCCCACATGTACATTGTTAGATTGCTAAGGATACCACACTCACGTTTACCAAATATTGGGTATCATGAATAAATCCTGGTTTGAAACCATTATGATGCCACAGTGTATTTAGGCTGCATGTTTAAGCTCTGTTGACAGACGAGTGAGCAGTAACTGAGTTAGCATCTCATGTAGAAACACAAAAAAATAAAATTGCATTAAGAGCTCTGTCAAGACAGGAAATCCACAGTCCTGACTTCTAGCAGTCCTTGGACTGCCCGGAAAGAGACTTTTAGGCATACCCTGCGATATGTTTCTTGGAATCACTGGGGTTAAACTATTATCTCAATGTAATTATTTATCTTTCATCTCATAGGTACTTTTTCTTCTTTTTTGGAAGCAGAAAATAAATACTTGTTTGTGAATTCTTTTTTGGGATTCAAGTGTGTCCTTGGTGTCTCTTTTTTCCGTAGATTGGAAGCTCCACAAACACCCTGAGTGCCCTGAAAACTGCTTTTGCTGATAAAGAAACACAGGCAATCTACCTTCTGACCGATGGGAGACCTGATCAGGTACTTACCAGAGCTGGGAACAAAGAGGGCCTCACTGATGCTCTGAAAGCAAATGCTGGAAATGGGTCTGGGGGACCTTTTCAGCTGCCACCAAAAATCTGTGGACATATACTTCCTTGGCTTAGGGACTCAGATCTGAGGTGAGAAAATACACTGAAAGATTCTTTTGTCTCTGGAAACTCTGAGGAGAATTTATGAGACAGTGAATGTTGCCTGGTGAGTGTGACACACACCCCTAGCCTGGAGACCAGCCCCACAAAAGGAGACGTCTGCTGTCCACTGAAGACTGGTTTGCATTTTATTACAAATGAAAAGTGAGGAGATTCTTTTTGATTTTTTTTCCTCTAGAGACTCTGAATCTAACATGTCACTGCATAATGTCCTTGGCTTTACCTCTAAGGCTTAGTACTCATTTAAACAAAAACATGCCTTTCTAGCGAAATGTCCTTTGTTTTGTTTAGCCCGACTGGAAAATATTTGAAAAGCTGTAGAGGAGTCTGTTCATCTTCTTTTGAGCTTTGTGAATGAAAGAGGAGTACTCCAGGCATTAAATAAATAGAAGGATTTTCAGGCCAGCGTAATGTAAATTAACAGCTAAAGTGAATTAGTGTCAACTCGCGTCCTTCCTTGTGAGATGGTTTGCATATGCAGACTGCTAGGCAAATATTCTAAAATATCCTGTGGCAAAAAGTTCAGGGCTTAAAGAGAGTAAGCATCTGGATTTTACTGCAGCTTTAGATTTATGACAGAACGGGAGTGTGTAAAGTGAAAATTTATTTAAAATTTTTTTTCCTATCAACTTACTGTGTTTTCTCTTTGGAAGCAGTTCATCGTGTCTCTCTTCTGTTCCATGTGTGGTGCCAGGGTCTGAGGCTATAAAGATGAGTAACAGCTCATCCCTGCCTTTGGGAAGTTTGTGCTTTGGGGAATGTGCTAGATGTATACAGTTTAATACAACACGGGAACAGGGTTGCCTGTGCTATGTCTAGGGGCACAGAGTGATGGATTTTGCTGTACAGATGGAGGGAAGGTCAGGGCAGGTTCCAGCGAGGCGGGGACATTTGAGCTGTGTCTGGAAAGACAAGAAGGAATTTTTGGAACAGAAGACACTGTTGATGTCCTGGGCAGAAGGGACACAGAGGTGTGGAAATATGTGGGGGGCTCAGAGAAAAAAGCTGAGGACAGGGGCAACGGAAGAAGATCAGGGTGGAGGTGAAAAACGTTGGGTTGAGGAAGACTGTGGAAGTCCTCGAATGCCATATTAGAAGGGTGGTGTCACCACAGAGAGGAACTCTCGGAGGAGCCGCCCACCCTACCCATCTGCATCTCAGAAACATGCCTCAGTTGTGCCAAGGAAAGGCTGGCGCTGCCATGGCCTGCTGCTGGGTCCTTGATGAAAGCTGGGAAGGACCTAGCCTTGGGTGGGAGCAGCAGGAATGGGAGGAGGGGACTGCCTCCAGACGTGAGCCGCAGGAAGCAGCATCAACAGGACCTCATGGCCAGTTTGGAAACAGTGAGTGAGAGGTGAGGAGAAGGTAGGAGCAAGGCAGAAAGGAGTCAGGATGACTGATTCCTGGTTTACAATGATTTTGATATTAACGGATTGAAATGCAGATTTCAAGAAGAGGCAAGTAGGCTTGGGGGTGGCTGGTGGAGGAAGCTGTGTTTGCGAACCTCTAGGGAGTGCATGGGTGTCTAGAAGTCCCTAGAAATATGGAGCTGGAGTTAGGGGACAGTGTGGGCTGAAGATTCCGACTTGAGAGACATCTAGGCAAGTCAAGGTGTATTTTTCTTTTTAATATACTCTTACTGATTTTTAAAATTGTTTACACTATGGACAACTTGGAAAACACAGATAAGCATTAAAAAGGAGAAAATGTGGTTGGGTGGGGAGGCCCACTCCTGTAATCTCAACACTTTGGTAGGCTGAGGCAGGAGGATTGCTTGAGCCCAGGAGTTCAAGACCAGCCTGGACAACATATTGAGACCCTGTCTCTACAAAAAACTTTAAAATTAGCTCAGTGTGGTGGTGTGCACCTGTAGTCCTAGCTACTCAGAAGGCTGAAGTAGGGGGATCATTTGAAACCAGGAGTTCAAGGATGCAGTGAGCTATGATCGTGCTACTGCACTCCAGCCTGGGCAACAGAGCGAGTCCCTGTCTCTAAGAAAAAAACAAAAAAAAAAGCAAAACACAAAAAAAACAAAAAAAAGAGGAAAAAATTTGAATCACTCATAATTGAATTTTGTGGGTTTTTTTCCCATCTAACATATCACATGCATTGTTCCAAGTCATCAAAAATTCTTCAGGAGCATCCTTCTCAATGACTGCATCACATTCTGTTATATGAATTTAATAAAACTTGTACCTTAAAGCTATTTTTGTTTAAATTTTGAATAGTAATGTGTTCTAATGCATTCTTTTCTACCTTCGTAGAAAAGCATAGGTAGAGAAAATTCTCCCTCTCACCCCTTTCACCAGCTAGGAGGCAACTGATGGAACTAGTTTTTTTGTATCTCCTTTCAGAGATGGTTTCTGTTATACAGCAAAAATGTATTCATATATATTTCATCTTTTTTAAAAAAACAACTGTTAGCCTATTATACACATGATTCTGCACCTTTATTCGTCAAACAGTATACCTTGGAGATGGCTTCATATCATTTCATAAAGAGCGTCCTCATTCTCTTCTAGGTTCCATCACATGGCTATCCCATCACTTATTTAGCTAGTCCCCTGCAGATACGCAGTCGGATTGTTTTTGAGCTTTCTGATTTACACAATCTTGCCAAAGGAACTCTGTGCATATATTGGTTTGCCTGTGAGTGAGTATATCTGTACGTGTAAATTCTGAGAAGTGGACTCAGCTGCAAGGTCCATGTTTTGATTGATACTGCCGAATAGCAGCCCCCAAAGAGGATGTCACAAGCAACATTCCCGCAAGCAGGGTATTGACAAGAATTCTTGATCTACAGTCCAGTACGGACTTCTGAGGCTCTGGAATCTCCCAATAATATGTATAAAAATACACTCAAAATTTTTGTTTTCTTGAGAGAAGATCGATATATTTTACCAGATTCTGAAGGTCTACTCAAAGATGGAGAATCAAGGATATGGATAATAGCTGGAGTTAGGCCAGGCGCGGTGGCTCATGCCTGTAATCCCAGCACTTTGGAAGGCCGAGGTGAGTTGGATCACAAGGTCAGGAGATCAAGACCATCCCGGCTAACACGGTGAAACCCCGTCTCTACTAAAAATACAAAAATTAGCTGGGCCTGGTGGCGTGCGCCTGTAGTCCCAGCTGCTGGGGAGGCTGAGGCAGAAGAATGGTGTGAACCCGGGAGTTGAAGCTTGCAGTGAGCCGAGATCGCGCCACTGCACTCTAGCCCGGGCGACAGAGCGAGACTCCATCTAAAAAAAAAAACAAAAAACAAAAAACAAAAAAGATGGAGTCAGAAATGTGCAAATTACCCCAAACATAATTTCGAAACTCTTTTTTTCTTTTCTTTGAGACAGAGTCTGGCTCTGTCGCCCAGGCTAGAGTGTAGTGGCGCAATCTCGGCTCACTGCAAGCTCCACCTCCCGGGTTCACGCCATTCTCCTGCCTCAGCCTCCCCAGCAGCTGGGACTACAGGCTCACGCCGCCACACCCGGCTAATTTTTGTATTTTTGGTAAAGACGGGGTTTCACCGTGTTAGCCAGAATGGTCTTGATCTCCTGACCTTGTGATCTGCCCACCTCGGCCTCTCAAAGTGCTGGGATTAAAGGTGTGAGCCACCGCGCCCAGCCAATTTAGAAACTCTTGAGGACTTCCGAATTCAACACCTGCAAAAAGACTGCCCTTTCGACACACGTGGTCTATTTTTTTTTCATTATTCCTTGGATTCTCTCAAAAAGGCAAATTGATATTTGATATTCATGTTCTATGTAGAAGATATGGAGATGTACCACTCAATTTCCATTTTTTGCTTTTGAATTTTCACTGGCTTTATAGGAACTGAATGTGTAAGGCCCGTGTTATTATTCCAAATATTCAGCAGAATTTTCTTTGTGGAAGAATAGACACAGATGCTGTTCTGGATCAGTTACATGGACACTAGCTTCCTGCCTGATTATTAAATGTCCGAGGGAGCATTATAAGGTGACACAGTCTTTAAAATTAAGCAGGTCAAAAAATTAAGTGGGTTCTAGAAATATTAGTCTTCGTTAAAAGGGAATCATATACACATTGGATAAGTGTCCTTTGGTGGGCATCCATAGTGTAAGCTGGCAGGGTCTTTGCTGGGAACAGCCCCATGCAGCTTTGGCTGCGGTCATTTTGGGAATTCTTTAAAGTTATGGGCTGGTCTGGACTGGAATCAAGAAAATGGACATGATAAAGGCATGTGCACCATCCTAAATAAAACTAATGGCTAAAGCCTTAGCATAGGGTATGTGAGGGCAGGAGGTTGGGGAAGGTGCAGGGTGATCAACCTGCACATGCACAAACAGACCTCCTTCCCGGCAGGGAGGAGATGGAATCTCGGCCTTTCTTGCCACTCCAGCTGATGTGTGTGGAGGAAGGCTGCACAGCTGATGTGTGTGGAGCCCTGGCTGCACAGCTGTTTAGACTCAGAGCAGAGGGAATGGGGAAAGTGGCTCAGGTGTGCTGCTTGGCCTTATCCTAGGCTGACAGCAGCTCCTGGCAAATAAAATGTACTCAACAAATATTTGTGGAATGCCTTCCAGGGAACATCATCTCATTTACTCCTCACAGCAGCCGTTTAAGGAGGGAGTATCAGTTCTGAGCCACAGATGAGGAAACTCACATTAGACAGGACATGCCCTAGGCCATTCAGATGGGCAGTGCTGGATGAGCTTCAAGCCCAAGTCTCTCGCTCTGGAGCTGTTTCCTTCATTCCATACAGCTGAAGACAGCATGAGTGGGAGAGACTGTCATGTGTATCATTGTAAGCACCCGCCCCGCACCCAGTCTCAGGTGGTCCCTTCATGCTAAACTGGCATGATGTTCAAGTGCCCCAGGATGGTGCTGGGGAGCTGGGCAGAGGGTGGGGGTTCCCCTCAATGGCAGAGGGAGCTCCATCCCTGCAATGGGAAACAGCCACTCCTGTCCTCCTGCCCCCTCCCTGCTGAGGAGTCCTTTTGCTGGTTTGTATCCTCAGAGCTTTGAAGAGCACAATCAGAAAGTTGAAGCAAACCTCTCACCACCGCAGACTGACTAACCGTACCCCTTTCTGTCACTCATTCCAGCAGCTTCTCTGGGCTGTGGAGTGTGGGCCCACTCCCTGTCTAGCTCCTGTGTACAGTGAAGAAGCCTCTCTCAGCTCTGGGGCTCCTTAATCCATTTCTCACAGACCCTGCCTGCTTTCTTCAGTTTCTAAGATGAATGCCCAGCACATGGGAAGACCTTTAATAAACATCTCTTCCTTCACTCTCTGTGGGAAGCGGTTGACCATAGCATGTTGGAAGCTGGAAATTGCTCTTTTGTAGCCCAGCACTTTAAATGCATGGACTGTAAGTTCAGGCACACCTAAAGTTGAGTGACTTGGTTGGCCGAATCTTTCTCCTAGCTTCTTTGTCCCACCCAACTGAGAGACCTCAGAGCCAAGGCCCATGTCTTGTGGATCATTGTACTCTCACCATCTGGCAGTCTTTTCTTTATTTACTGAATTGAATCGACATGTTTTTAAGAAGCCACTCACCACTGTATACAGAATTACTATTTGAGTATCTGTAGTAAATACTAAGGATTTTCATATTCTTTTCTTTCTCTTCTCTTTCCATCTCCCTTCCCCCATCCCCAAAACTTATCGTTTCAGCCACCTGAAACAGTTATAGACCAGGTCAAACGTTTTCAGGAAATTCCTATTTATACCATCTCCTTCAATTACAATGATGAGATTGCAAACAGGTTTTTGAAAGAGGTTGCTGCTTTGACTGGAGGAGAGTTCCATTTTTATAATTTTGGTTGCAAGGATCCCACTCCCCCAGAGGCTGTTCAGGTAAGAGCTTGGTGGGCTAAGAAGGGAGTGTTCATTTGTTTGAGCATTACAGGCTGGCGGTCCCTGGGTAATACCTTCGTTGGGAAAATAGCAACCATAGAGATAACTAAGTCAAAAAAATGAGTCGCTTAACAATGAGTGTACCAGTGTTTCTCAGAATGTAGCCCAAGGACCACCTGAGCTAGGGCACCTGAGCAGATTCCTGCATCCCATTTCAGAGATGCTAAAGCAGGTTGTAGGCATAGAGGCCCAGGAATTATAAATTAATATATATATTTTGTTTTTCTTCTAAACTTTTTATTACAGAAAGTTTCAAATATTACACAAAATAGAAGCATATATAGACCTCCATGTACCTATAATTTAAATTCAACAATTATCAATATTTTGACAAACTTTAGGAATCTGTGTTTTTAACAGGGATACCCAGGGAGCTATATGTGAAGTTTGTTAATCACTGCTATACACAGATATTTGTAGAAAATGAAACAATGTCAGATGTAGGTGGTTAGTTGCTTGCTGACCTCTCAGACTATATAACCATTTGACCACCTGATAAAGCAATTTATTCTAATAGGCTAATGGGAGAAAGCAAATAAAATTCTGTTCTCTCATCCTCCAGACTTGGCCTGTGCATATGCATTTCAAGGATGCCCTTCTAGGGTGTGTGTTTTTTGTTTTATGTTCTGAGGAGTGACTTTAAATCCAGATTCAGTGGGTAGCAGGACAAGTCAGAATACTGATCAGTGCTTCATGTGAGTGAACTACCTGAGACTAGGGAATGAATCATCCAAAAAACATTGGAGGGACCAGTGCTTTAAGCTCACAGAGGGCTGGGAAGAGTGCTCCCACTAGTGAGGATTGGAAACTTCATAATCCTTTGGGCACTGGGTAAAGTACACAGGAGGGTCTTGCCTCGGTAGTGGGAGCAACCAAACACTCTGCTTCCACCTAGGAAATCTTAAATGCAAGGCCTGAAAGGATCAAACTGTTTCCAACTAACTTAACTGCATCCCAGAACAAACCCCAAGAATAATTACAAGAAAACAAAAATATTCACCACTTAACAAAGTAAACTCAGCAATGCCTAGCACACAACCGAATATTACTAGGCATGCGAAAAAGTAGGAAAATACAGACCCATAATGAGGAGGAAAAACAAACTGAAGACTTAAAATGTACCCAGAACTCAATGTTACTATTAGAGCATTAAAACTGTTCTTGTAACTGTGGGGGAGACATGAAAGGTACAAGTAAGACACAAATTAAACTAGCAATGAAAAATATATAGAATGGGATGAACAGCAGATCAGACATTGCGTAACACAAAACTAGTGAATTGGAAGGCAGCAATAGAAACTATCCAAAATGTAACACAGAAGAAAGAGAATTCAAATAAAAAAAACAAAAACAAAAACAAAGAAACAAACCAAAACAAAAAACAGAGCATCAATGAGTCGTGGAAAAATCCGATCAGTCTAATAAACACATAACTGAAGCAACAGTGGCCAAAAATTTTCCAAATTGGATTATGGCTATAAACACACAGATCCAAAAGAACCTCAATGAATCCCAAGCACGAGAAACATGAAGAAAACCAGACTAAGGCAGAATCAAACTTTCCAGAAGCAATGACAAAGAGAACATCTTAAAATAATAGAAAGAAGACACATTGTGCACAGAGGAACAGTAGTAAAGATGACAGCAGATGTCTCATCAGAAATAATGCAAGTGAGGAGACAGTGGAGAAACATGTTTAAAATACTGAGAGACTGTCCACATAGAGCCTATGCGGACTGAAAATATCTTTCAAAGCAGGATATAAAATAGACTTTTTAAGATATATAAAAACGGTCAGGTGCAGTGGCTCACACCTGTAATCCTAGCACTTTGGGAGGTTGAGGTGGGCAGATTGCTTGAGCTCAGGAATTCAAGACCAGCCTGAGCGACACGGCAAGACCCCACCTCTACAAAAAATATAAAAAGTAGCTGGGCATGGTGGTTTGCACCTGTAGTTCTAGCTACTTTGGGGGGCTAAAGCGGGAGGATCACTTGAACCCGGGAGGCAGAGGCTGCAGTGAGCCGAGATCACACCACTGTACTCCAGCCTGGGTGACAGAGTGAGAACCTGTCTCATAAAAAAAAAAAAAAAAAAAAAAGATACGAAAAAACTAAAAGAATTCATCACCAACAAGCCTGCGGTACCAGAAACATTAAAGGGGAGTACTTTAGACAGAAGGAAAACCTTACCAGATAGAAATATGAGTCTATGCTAAGGAATAAAAAGCATTGGTAAAGATGATGCTAACTGCATAGGTAAATATGTAAAAAAAAATTCTTATTGCACAATTATAAGAAAAAGTGCAGGATAGACTTCCAGTTCCAGCAAAGATAGAGTAGTGCCATCCCTTGTAGGTCCACCATCTCAAAACCAGAAAGCCCTGGTTATATCTCCAAAAGAGGACAAAGGACTCATTGTCCCATCATTCTTCAACCATTGTGGAAGACAGTGTGGCGATTCCTCAAGAATCTAGAACCAGAAATACCATTTGACCCAGCAATCCCATTACTCGGTATATACCCAAAGGAATTTAAATCATTCTACTATAAAGACACATGCACACATATGTTTATTGCGGCACAATAAACAATATGCAAACAATTCACAATAGCAAAGACATGGAACCAACCCAAATGCCCATCAATGATAGACTGGATAAAGAAAATGTGGTACATATACACCATGGAATACTATGCAGCCATAAAAAGGAATGAGATCGTGTCCTTTTCAGGGACATGGATGAAGCTGGAAGCCATCATCCTCAGCAAACTAATACAGGAACAGAAAACCACACACCGCATGTTCTCACTTATAAGTGGGAGCCGAACAATGAGAACACATGGACACAGGGAGGGGAACATCACACACCTGGGGCCTGTCGGGGGCGGGGCAGAGGGAGGGAGAGCATCAGGACAAATAGCTAATGCATGTGGGGCTTAATACCTAGGTGACAGGTTGATAGGTGCTGCAAACCACTGTGGCATATGTTTACCTATGTAACAAACCTGCGTGTTCTGCACATATATCCTGGAACTTAAAGTAAAAAAAAAAAAATGACACTCATTGTCGTGTCATTCTCCAAGTTCTGAGGTCCCTTGGCAATGAGTCCTTGGGACTTTATTTCTATTCGTATATCCCAGACAGGGCACTGCAGAAGCCTCTCCAACCTGGGATCTCCAACAAGCACTGACAAAGAAAGCTCCACGAAAAGCCTGTTCCCCACCACCCCTGCCCGAGCCAAATGACTGGGAAGAGCACGGCTTAATAACAGAAAACCTTTTTGGCAATATCTGTCCTGCTCCAGTCATATACCATGGAAAAAACTGCATCCCCTCCCCTGGGATTTCAGTGGTGCCAAACAGGGAGTTAATCTTTCACCCACTCTCTTGCTTCATGGAAGCAAGTGACTGTGCTCTGATCCCCCTGCCGAGTGGAATAGTAGAGCTGACCAGGGAGCTAAACTTCCATCCCTACGTGGTGGAAGCAGGCAGCAATGCTCTGATTTATTTCCCTGCTGAGGCTGTGTCAGTGAGGCTTAGTGGAAAGCTCATTCTCCTTCTGGAAGCAGGTGGTGCTTACATTCTCCTACTAGAGTAATATCAGAGGGACTGAGTGGGAAGCTGATCTCTCATCCCTGAGTGGGCAGGAGCAGCAGTGCTCTGAGTCCCTCACCAGGGTAGCGTCCATGGTGCCCAGTGTCGAGCCAACCCTCCACTCCTCTCAGGCAGCACCACAACCTAACCAGGCAGTGTGAGGCCAGTCTAGTCACTGTTGTGCTTCACCAGAGTCCTCATGTCAGCAGGACTCAGCACGAAGCTGAGCCTCTACAAAGACCCATTATCAATGAAAGTGAAAAAAGAAGCAAGCTGGGGAAAGGCCACGCTCTGCTTTCCCCCATCCGTGGTGTTAGTAATGGGAAGCCTCACCTCCACACTCACACAACAGCATGAGACCAAAGGAGAAAGTGTGAAACAGGACTAGCCCCCACGGTGGTCCTCCCCATAATGTCAGCAGGGCCCAGTGGAGGACTGAGGCTCCACTTCCGTTCAGCATCGACGAGACTGAAGGAGGTAGTGCTAGGTGGGCTACTCATACCCTATCAACTTCCTACCCTTAAGAGAAAACTGTCCCACAAAAGAAAACTGTCCCACAGAAAGACAGTTGAACTCTTAATCCCACCACTCTGACAGCTCACCTTGACAAAAATAGCTGGGAGAGCTCACCAGATACATAGTTATGCCCAAGTGAAAGTGAAATTGATCTGTAACAGTCCCCACACATATAAGAAGTACACCAGAGGAGGATGTTTACTTGGATAGGTGGGCAGAGCTTGCTAAAGGGACACAGCTGCCAGTGGCCCATCTGGGAAGCCTCGTTGTCTCTGCAGGCCTGAGACTCTCCTCTCCTTCAGAGACACATCAGAGTGCGTTGGAAGAACAGGCAGGAGAGGCCCAGCTAGAACTAGTGGCCCCTTGCAGAAGATTCTTTGTCCCTGTGGGCCAAGGGCTCTCCTACCCTACCCAGTGACACAGGAACACCTGGAGGACAGCAGGGGAGGTACCAAGAGACACCTGGAAGCCTGACGGAGGGAAACGCCTCCTGTCTCTTCAGGCAGCACCAGCAAGGACCAGTGGGGTCCAGAATGGCACCAGATTCGCAAAGAAGACCAAGATAATACCAAAAGCTTCTGAACATCAAACTGCCGTTGGAGCAAAGACCCACAGAAGTAGGACAAATCTCACATGCTAAATTTAAGCAGGGCAACTACCAAGTAAAATAAAAGATTTTAAATAGGACCCAGAATCTTCTCACACAATAGGAAATACCTAGGATCCAGTAAAAAAAGTGCCCATCACACAAAGAGCCAAGAAAGCCCCAATTTGAATGAGAAATGACAAACAAATGATGCCAACACTGAGATGAATCATATGTTGGAATGACCTGCAAGGATTTTAAAGAAGCTGTCATAAAAATGCTTCAACAATCTATTACAAATCCTCTTGAAACAAATGAACAAATAGGCAATCTCAGAATATAAGTAGGAATTATAAAAAAAATTCCAAGTGGAACTTTGAGAACTGAAAAATACAAGAGCAGAAATTTTTAAAACCTCAGTAGATAGGTTCAATAGTGAAGTGGAGATGACAGGATAATGTCAGTGAACTTAAGGTCAGAACAACAAAATTCAGTCACTCTAAACAACAGAGAGAAAATAGACCAAAAAAAAAAAAAAAGGTAGAGCCACGAGGACCTGTGAGACAATGACAAAATATCCAGCATTAGTATCATCGGAGTCCACCAAAGAGACAAGAAGGAAAAATGGGACTGAAAAAAAAGTGACAAAATAATAGCTGAAAACTTCCCAAAGTTGGTGAAATATACAAATATACAGATTCAAGAATCTGAGTAAACTCCAAACAGGATAAGCCCAAAGAAATCCAGGCCAAGACATGTCATAGTTAAACGTTTGAAAATTAAAGACAAAGAAAAAAATGAGAAAAATGACACCAATTCAATTGCAGATTTGACAGCAGACTTCCTGTTCAAGACCAAAGAAGCCAGGGGGAAAATGGCACGATAGTTTTCAAGTATGAAAGGAAAGAACCATTAACCATGAATTTTATTATTTTACTTTTATTTTATTTTATTTTAGTTTTAGAGACAAGGGTTTTACTCCATCACCCAGGCTGGAGTGCAGTGACACAATCTTGGCTCACTGAAGCCTTAAACTGTTGGGCTCCTGTGATTCTCCTGCCTCAGCCTTCCAAGTAGCTAGGACTACAGGCGTGTGCCACCATGCGTGGCTAATTTTTTTATTTGTAGAGATAGGGTCACACTATGTCGCCCAGGCTGGTCTTGAACTCCTGGCCTCAAGCAGTCCTCCTGCCTCAGCCTCTCAAAGTGCTGAGATTACAGGTATTAGCAACCCCAAACTTTATATTTCACAAAACTATCCTTCAAGGATGAAGGGGAAATAAAAATATTCTCAGATAAATAAAAACTAAAAGAACTTATTGTTAGAAAACTTATTTTCATTGATTGTTTACAGGAGGGTTTTCAAGCTAAAGGAAATTATAAAAGAAATAATTGGAGCATCAGAAAGAAAAGAAGAGATTATAAAAGAAATAATTGGAGCATCAGAAAGAAATTATAAAAGAAATAATTGGAGCACCAGAAAGAAAAGAAGAAAGAGCAGAAATATGGGGAGATATAATAGATCTATCCTTTTCTTCATGAGATTTACAAATCATATTTTTAATGATTGAAACAAAAGTTGTAACATCACCTAACACTGAAGACAATAATATTTAAAGCTGGAGAAGGTAAAGGGACCTGAATGGAAGTGATGTTTACATATTTTCATTGAAGGAGTAAAATGTTGATGCTGGGACTGTTATAAGTCACATATATATGCTGTCATACTGACAAGATTCATTACAAAAGCAATACAAAGGGCTACGTTCAAAAACTCTGTAAATAAATCAAAATAGAATTGTAAGAAAAAAAAAGTTTAAATAACCTGAAGGAAGGCAAGGAAAGACAAACAGAGGAATGAGAAAACAAACCATAAAATACTGGAAGTAAGTGCTAACATGTCAATAATACTTTTTAAATTAATGGTCTAATCACACCAATCAAAAGACAGATACTGGCAGTGTGAATTAAAAAAAAAAAAAGAACACAACCAAACTATGTGCTGCTTTTGAGAATCTCACTTTAATTCTACATAGGTAGGTTCAACTAAAAGGATTTTTTGAAATACATCATGCAAAAATCCTCAACAAAATATTAGTAAAATGAATCCAGCAATGTATTAAAAATTATACACTATGATCAAGGGGGACTTACTCCATATATACAAGAATATTTGTTCTTTTTTTTTACCCAGGCTGGAGCGCAGTGGTGCAATCTTGGCTCACTGCAATCTCCACCTCTATGGTTCAAGCAATTCTTCTGCCTCAGCCTCCCAAGTAGCTGGGATTATGTAGGCACTGGCCACCATGCCCAGCTAATTTGTATTTTTAATAGAGACGGGGTTTCCCCATGTTGGCCAGGCTGATCTCGAACTCCTGACTTCATGTGATCCACCTGCCTTGGCTTCCCAATGTGCTGGGGTTACAGGCATGAGCCGCCCCACCTGGCTACTTGTTTTTGTATATTGGAAATATTTGTTCATTTGTTTCAAGAAATTTGTAATTGATTGTTTCAACATTAGAAAATCTATTAGTATAATCCAGCATATCAACAGGCTAAAGAAGAAAAATCATATGGTTTTATCAATTGATGCAGAAAAAGCCTTGACCAAATTCCACACCATTCATAATAAAAACTCTCAGCAAAATAGAAATAGAAGAGAACTTCCTCAACTTAATAAGAACATCAATACCTACAGCTAAAGTCATACTTAGTAGTGAAAGGCTGAATGATTTCCCCTTAAGATTAGAAGAGTCAAAGACATCTATTCTCACCGCTGTGATTCAACATACTACTGGAAGTTCTAACCATGGGAACAAGGCAAGAAAAGAAATAAAAGGCATACAGATTGAGAAGGAAGAAATAAAACTTTTTATGTGCAGGTAATGTATTATCTACATAGAAAACCCCAGGAGATCTACAAAAAAAAAAAAAACTGGAACTTTTACGAGATTTCAGCAAAGTCACAAAATTAATACACACACTTCAATCATATTTTGATAAAGTAACAGTGAGCATGTGGAAGTGAAAATTAAATACCCAATACCACTTACAATTGAGTTTCAAATAAGATGAAATATTTATGCACCTAAAAAAGTATGTACAGCAGTTTTATGTTGAAAATTACAAAATGCTGAAGATATCAAAGAAGATCTAAATAAATGGAAAGATATGTCCTGTTCACGGATTGAACGACTTAACATATTAGAGACGTCAGTTCTCCCCAGCTTGATCTATAGGTTTATCAAAATTTCTATAAAAACCCCAGAAAAGTTTTTTACAGACATAGTTAAGCCTATCTGAAATTTATATGACAAGTCACAGGCTCTAAAAATGTTTAAACAATCTTGAAAAAGAAAAATAAAATGGGAAGAATCATTATACCTAGTATTAAGGCTTACTATGTAGCTGCATTCATCAAGATGTATTTGCTCTGGTGGAGAAACAGACACGTAGACCAATGGAACAGTTATAGAAATACACCCACACAACATGCTCGACTGATTTTTGACAAAGATGCAAAAGCAATCCAGCGGAGGAAGGATAGCCATCTCAATAAATGGTTGGAGCAATTGGATATCCAAAGGCAAAATAATAAACCCCAACCTAAACCTCATACCTCATGGACATCTTAACTCAAAATGGAGTGTGGACTTAAATCTAAAACATAAAACTGTAAAACTTCTAGAAAGAAATGTGGGAAAAATTATGGGGATGTTGGGCTACCAAAGGATTTTTAGTCTTGATTCCAAAAGCATTATCCATAAAAGGAAGGATTAATAGATTGGACCTCATCAAAATTAAAAGCTTTCACTCTGTGGGAGACCCTGTTAAGAACATAAAAAGATGAGCTGCAGACTTAGAGAAAGTATCTGCAAATGACATGTCAGACAAAGGTCTTAGTATCTAGAATATATGAAGAACTCTTAAAACTTAACAGTAGAAAACAAACCATCTAATCAGAAAATAGGCAAAATGTATGCACAGACATTTCACTGAAGAGAATCTACAGATGGCAAAGAAGCACATGAAAAGAGGGTCAACATCGTAAAATTCAACATCCCTTCAGGTTAAAAACTCTCCATAAACTAGGTACTGATGGAACATATCTTAAAATAATAAGAGCCATTTATGACAAACCCATAGCCAATATCATACTGAATGGGCAAAAGCCAGAAGCATTCCCTTTGAAAACCAGCACAAGATAAGGATGCCCTCTCTCACCACTCCTATTCAACATAGTATTGGATTTCTGGCCAGGGCAATCGGGCAAGAGAAAGAAATAAAGGGTGTTCAAATAGGAAGAGAAGAAGTCAAATTGTCTCTGTTTGCAGATGACATCATTGTATATTTAGAAAACCCCATCGTCTCAGCCCAAAAACTCCTTCAGCTGATAAGCAACTTTAGCAAAGTCTCAGAATATAAATTCAATGTGCAAAAATCACAAGCATTCCTGTACTCCAACAACAGACAAGCAGAGAGCCAAATCATGAATGAACTCCCATTCACAATTGCTATAAAGAGAATAAAATGCCTAGGAATACAGCTTACAAGGGACGTGAAGGACCTTAACATCACAAACCACATGGTCCAATCATTCTACTCCTAGATATTTATTCAGGAGGAATGAAAGCCGACGTCCATGCAAAGACTTGTATGCAAATGTGTGTAGCTTTATTTATAACAGCCCAAACCTGAAAACAACATCAACAGGTGAATGGATAAATAAATTGTGGTATTTAATAAATAGTATACAATAGAATACAGCTCAGCAATAAGAAATGAATGAAGTATTGATTCATGCTACAACATGGGTGAATCTTAAAATAATTATATAAATGAAGAAAGTCAGGAAAAAAGAGTAATTTCTGTGTGATTCCATTTGTATAAAATTCTAGAAAACTGAAACTAATGTGTAGTGACAGAAAGCCAATGAGTAGTTCCTGGAGAATTGAGGGAGAGGGCTTGTAGGAGGGTGTGCAGATTTACAATGGGGCACAAGGAAATTTGGAGGGTGACGAATATGTTCATTATTTTGACTGTAAGAATGATTTTGCAGGTGGGAATGTCAAACTTTTCAAATGGTGCATTTTACAGATGTTCAGCTTGTTGTATGTGAATTACACATCAATAAAGCTGGCTAAAAATGGGATAATATAAGAACAACATAAAATTCTTTAGATTCTTCTTTTCCTGATACAGTTGGCTTTCTGTTAGAAATGTTTGACATTTTCTGGCCGTGTGCTGTAGTCCCAGGTACTTGGGAGGCCAAGATGAGAGGATCACTTGAGCCCAGGAGCTCAAGACCAGCGTGGGCAACATAGTGAACCTCTTGTCTCTAAAAAGAAAAGAAACATGTTTGGAATTTGAGCTCTTTTTATCTAGTCTTATAGCATATTCACTTCTCATTTTGGCAGAATGAAGATCTGACTCTTTTAGTTAAGGAAATGGAACAGGGTCACAGTGATCTGGAGAAGATGCAAGACCTTTATTCTGAGTCCTTGATCATGGACTGGTGGTACAATGCAGAAAAGGATGGAGACAGCAAGTGAGCACCTCTGCCCGCCTGTCTCCCTGCGCTGAGGCCTCTTGAGAGCTGGGCTTGCCCCCTGGGCCCTTGTCCTTTCTGAAATGCTCTGTGAAATTTCTTTTAGTGAAAAGAATCACGTAGTGTGATTAAGTTAGGATTTTTTTAAGCAAAGAGAATTAACAATTTAATAACAATTTAATTTAATTGTGGGCTTGAGGAGGCCACATATTCCCCTTTATGTTCTCCACGCTGTGTGGACGGGCCCCCAGACCCAAGCAATGAGAGGGCGGAGAGGAGCACTGTGTGGGGAAGGAGCTCTGACTCAGGGATCAGGAGGCCGAGGCCTGGACTTCCCTCTATGTGACTGTGGCGAGGCCCGAACTTCTCTCCACGCCTCTCCATTGCGTGGGTCTCTGTTTCCTCATCTTTAAAATGGTGGCCGTGGTGGTGGGTTTGGGACAGATGACTTCTCCTGTCTGCCCCCATCCTATATTCTTATATGTTTCTAATTTGTGGTTTTTAAACAAAATCAAAACCACCGCCAAACACTCAGGAAATTGGTCAAATCTTATTAAAATGATTTAATATTTTCCAGATATTCAAGTATCACAGCCTACCCTGCCAGGAGATGTCTTTTTTATTTCAAAGAATGATAGAAAATTGGGGGAAAAAAAGAAAATACATTTATTAATGAGAATTTATTGTTCAACAAAATGCACTGTCTTCCTGTTAGCAAATTAAGCATTTGTATGGGCTTAAGGTAGGGCATGACTGTGGAATCAGTAAAAAGAGGTAAATGTTATAATGGCCATCTTACAATAAGATTTTATGGCATTATTTTTTAAGTATTTGGGAAAGCACAGATACAGCTTCTAAATTTCAAAAATTTGAACAAATAAACTAAGAATCAAGTAAATGAGAAGCCATTTATTGAGTACAAACCATGCAGTAAGAGAATCGGGGTGCACAGATGAATGTCAGTCTGGTTCCTTCTGCTGTGGGGGGCACAGTGCGGGCACAGACCCACAGAGGGCCATGGAACCCGGGGCAGGTGCTCCACGGAGGCGTCGAGGGGCAGTGGTGCAGGAGGGAGGGCACACGTCACAGTGTTGGAGCAGAAATTGCTCTGGAAGTTTTCCTTTGTATGGCTGCTGTCTTCAGCGCTTCAGAGAAGGTCATATCTGGGAAAACATGCAAGCGTTTCTGGGATCGCTCCATTCTCCAGAATGGTTCCCTGGGATCTGGTGCTGGCATGGGAGGTCCAAGGCAGGAGTTCCTTTCTCTAGCTTTTATAAGTGCTTGCTGGTAGACACTGATTAGAGAATGGGTTTCTGCAGTGCTTACTTGTTTATAACCGGCTTTCACTCCTACGAATCCTCCCATCAGCCCCATGTAGTCACTATATAGGTGTGCAGGTGACGTTTCCTGCAGTTGATGGATGAGGAAAGTGAAGAAGTTTAGAGAGGATTGAGTGACTTGACTGAGGTCACAGAGCCAGGAGGGACCAGACCTGTGAAGTGAGCTGTATCTTCTGACTCCAAGGCTGGGCCCCTCTCCACTCTTCTGCATCAGTCAGGGATAAATGACTATTTTTATATTAACCCAGATGGGGGAAGGCTTACTTTTTAAAGTTTGCAGTGTTCAACATGAATGTATTGACTTAACTCTGCCTTCTTGATGGAAATTTTCTTTTCTCTCTCTTTTTTTGCTCGACTTTTTATCTAAATCAAAACAGGCATCAAAAGGAAATCTGTTCTATGATTTCAACCCCAGAAAAGTGTGCAAAGCCTCAATCTGATGTCGATTCAACACAAACTTCATCTCTGAATATGTTGAAGGGACCATGGGGCCTTTCAGATCAAAAGGTTCAGAAAAAGAAAGTCCTTCACGCAGGTATCAGTGAACAAAATGGCTTGACTCTTTGCTGGTTTCTCTTCAAGGCAAGAAGATAGAATAAAACTAAACCCACATAATATTTTTAAGAAGCACTAAACTTGTGGGTTTTTTAAATTAAAATTTTTATTAAAATAATTGTACATTCACATGATCTTATATATACCTACGCTTCATCCTGTTTCCCCAATGGTAACATCTTGCAAAATAATAGTCCAATATTAAAACCAGGATATTGATATTGATGCAATCCACAGGTCTTATTCAAATCGTCCAGTTTTACTTGTACCCGTGTGAGTGTGTGTGTGTATGTGTGTGTGTGTGTCTGACAGTGTGTGTTTAGGTCTACACGGTTTGATCACGTGTATAGGTTTGTGTTTCCACCACTACAGTCAAGATACAGAAGAGTCCCATCACCTAGGGAATCCTTCATGCTGCCCTTTTATAACCACACCCACCTCCCTTGCACACCCTTCCTACAGCTAAAATCAAACTAAAAGGTGAAAGACTGAATTATTTCCCCCTAAAATTGGGGGAAAGGATGCCTACTCTTACCACCCTTATTCAGCATAGCACGGGAAGTTCTAGCCACTGTAACAAGGCAAGAAGAAAAAATAAAGCCAGAAAGATTGGAAAGGAAGAAATAAAACTGTCCCTATTTGCAGATATTGTATTGTCTATGTAGAAAACAGCAAGGGATGTACCAAAAATACAAGTCCTAGAGCTACTGAGTTCAGCAAGGTCTCTGGCTACGGGACGCACAAAACCAATTGCATTTTGATATACTAACAGTGAACATACAGCAACCTATATTAAAGTCATTCATAATTGCTCCAAATAAAATAAAATAATTAGGTGAACATGTAACGAAGTATGTGCAGAATCTGTTTGCTGAAAATTATAAAATTCTGCTGTAAGACACTAAAGAAGATCTAAATAAATTGAGACACCATGTTCATAGGTTGAATGAATTGGTGTGATAGATGACAATTCTCAGCTCATTTATCTATAGGTTTAATGAAATTCCTAATAGAATCCCAAAAATGTTTTTATAAACATATACAAGCATATTCTAAAATATATGCAGAAACATCAGGTTCTACAATAGCTAAAATAATTTTGAAAAAGAGACTAAAGTTGGAGAAATCACTGTACTGGACATTAAGGCTTACCACATAACCACATTAATCAAGACGGTGTGGTATTAGCAGAGGGATAGGTGGAATAGGACCTAGATTTAATCCACACAAATATACCCAAATGATTTGACAAAGGTGCAAAATTAACTCAATGGAGGGAGTATAGCCCTTTCAACAAAGATGCTGAAGCAATATCTACAGTCAAAAAAGGAAAAGAAACTTGACCTTAACCTCACATGTACCGTGGATTTAAATGTAAAACAGAAAACTATAACACTTCTAGAAAAAAATTAAAGAAAACCTCTATCCAGTTAAGGAAGTTCCACACATTTCTAGCTTTCTGAGAGTTTTTATCATGAATGGATGCTGGATTTTATCAAATGCTTTTTCTGTGTCAACTGATATAGGCTTTTTCTTCTTTAGTCTATTGAAATGGTGGATGACATCAATTGATTTTCAAATGTGGAAGCAGCCTTGTATATCTTGGAATATTTCCCACTTAGTCTCAGTGTATAATTATTTTAATACATTGCTGGATTCCGTTTGCTAGTATTTTGTTGAGGATTTTGGTATCAAAGTTCATGAAAGCTATTGATCTATAGTTCTTTTAATTTTTCTTTTTTAACACTGACTTCATCCAGCTTTGGTATCAAGCTAATAGTGTCCTCACCAAGTGGGTTGGAAAATTGTCCCTCCTCTTCTATTCCTGGGAGAAATTCATGTAATTCTTCTTTGAATGTTTGGTAGAGTTATCATGGAGCCATTTCGGCCTAGGGATTTCTTTTCCAGATTTTTCATGATGAATGCAATTTCTGTAATGGTTTTAAGGATATTGTCCATTTCAGCTTGGTCGAGTTTTGGCACTTTGTGGTTTTTCAGTAATTGGTCTATTGTTTCTAATTTATCAGATTTATGAGGGCAAAGTTGTTTATTATATCCCTTTGTTAGCTTTTTAATGGCTGCAAGATCTTTAGCAATGAACTCTTGATATTAGTGCTTTGATCTGTCTTCTCTCTTTTTGCCTTTTTTCTATCTAGCTAGAGGCTTTCTTGCTTTTCTTTCTATTTGTTCATTTGTTTCCAGAGAATGTATAATTAATTGTTGAAGCACTTTTATGGGTAGCCTCTTTAAAATCCTTGTCAGATAATTCCAGCTCCTGATTCTTCTTGGTGTTGGCATCATGCATTTGCTTTTTCTGATTGAAGGTGTGATTGTTTTTCTAGTTACTGATATGATGGGTGATTTTTGATAGTATCTTGGACATTTTGTCTATTATGTTAGGAACTCTGCATCTCATTTAAGTATTTTATTTTATGAAGTAGTCACCCTGTTTAAATTTAGCATGTGGGCCTTGACCTACTTTTGTGGGCTGTGGTTCTGATGGCGATTTAATTTTCACAGGCTCTGTGGTATTGTTAATATTTTGGTGCTTGTTTTTATGGTGTTTCTGGGGCTCCTACTGGTCCCTGCTGGTGCTACCTGAGGTGGCAGCAGGGATCCCCTCAGACCAGGATGTTAGATGTCTCTGAGGGGAGAGTTGCAGCAGCTTCCCCCAGTGTTGTCTCTGAGGTGTCCCCACATTGCTGGCAGGGAGGAGGGCCTTGAACCCACAGGGACCAAGAGGCGTCCCGGAAAGGGCCGCTAACTGGAGATTGGCCCTCTTGCTCCTGCTATCTCTGTACAAGGGAGCAGCATCGTACATGGGAACAAACAGCCTTCCCACACTGGCCACTTGTGTGGCTGCATCCCTTTTTCCAGTCCTGCCTGCCTGTTCCAGTGAACCTGAGTTTTGCCAGAGTTGCTACTTGTCTTAAACATTTTAATGGCCAATTGTCACTGCCACCATTTCACTTAGATTTGGGTTGCTCGGTATTGGGAGACAATCATGTGCTGAGTTTCTATTTTGTTTCCATTGGTGATGTAGAGGAGTGGTGAAATGCCATGACTGATCCTACAGAGTCCGGGGAGGGGCTAAATGTTTGATTCCACTGCTAGATAAATGTTTCATTCCGTATTTGTGGCCTTTGGGAATGGTATAGTTTTTATGTTTGGAGACTTGGGGAGCTAAATTTCATTTTCATTTGGCTCACGTAAATCTGATTGTTTTGCCTGGTAATGTTGGTCAAGGTGGGCTGCCAGTGTGGACACTGGCAGGAGCTCAGCTCTCTGATTTGGATTGTTTATCTCTTTTTCTCACAGACATAGCTTCTAAGGAAATTTAGCTTTCTTAGTTCCTGGGTACAGAGACAATCAAGGCAGGGCTTACCCTTTTGTTGCCTAGAAAAACAATGATTACCGTATAGCACACTCCTTCTCTATGCATGGAGACCACTGGTGTTAATTTTCTGTGTGAAAGCTACCCATTTGCAGATTACTAGCTAATCTTCACTCTAACTATCTAATTTCTTGTAGGAGAGGGTAAGTCCTCTCAGTGAAAACACAGACACATTTCATTCACGAATGCTGACATAAAGCCTTGGAACTAGGTACTTCTAAAGCCTCCAAATTATGAAGTACAGACTACATTACAATTAGTGTGGTTTATGTTATCAAATATAAAAAGTAATCAAGATGACTTGGCACAGGCTCATTGTCCTCTAAAGCACACAGATTCAAGGTCAATATTTGCTAAGTTGTCATTTGCCTGTAGAAGGGACACATCACAGGGTAGAAAATAACATAAGCAAAGATCTGGACAGCAATTGTGGTGGGCAGAATTTCTAGAATGGCTTACCAAAGATGTCCTGCCCTGAACCCTGCAATCTTTGAATATGATGACACGTCACTCTCATGACCAGGTTATGCTGACCTAGACAGAGTTATCTAGGTGAGTCCAGTGTAACTGTGGGAACTGTGAAAAGCAGGGGCTATTTCCAGCTGGTGGCAGAAGAGAAAGTCAGACAGATTTGAACCACAAGAGGAATTCAATGTGCTATTACTGTCTTGAAGATGGAAGAGTCGTGTGAGAAGTAATACAGATGCCTTAAGCAGCTGAGAGAGGCCGCTGGGCTACAGTCAGCAAGGAAATGGGGCCTCAGTCCTACAATTGCAAGGAGCTGGGTTCTGCCAGCAGCCTGAATGAGTGTGGAAGCTGACTTCTCTCCAGGAGGGGTCCAGCTGAAATTCAGATAAAGGGAGCAGGGCATCCTGGCAGCATTCAGTTTGTGGCAGCACCATCCTCAGAGGGTTGGGAAACAAAGGTTGCATTCTTACTTTAAGGAGCTGATAAAATAGTTATATCTAATGAAGTATCTCCTTCCATCCCCAATTCCTTTAACTCTTCCCTCTGTGATACCAACAGAATCAACCAAAACCAGCCTGCTCAGAAGCCAGATGTCCTCCCTCAGGAGCTCAGCTTGCAGTGAAAGGAAGGATGGCCTCTCCAATGCCAGCAGCCGGAGGACTGCTCTAAGTGACAAAGGCAAGCCAGAAAGCATCTCTGTGGCCAACCAGCCTCCCTTTCCACAGTGTATCTGTTCCAGAAAGAGCTGCGTGTAGATATGTTGGGGAAATCATATTTTAAATGGGCCCAGATTGCTTCCTATTCAAAGGAATCCCTTGTAAGTCAGGTCTGCCTGCTTTATGACCTGGATTTTCTGAGAGCTGGCCTTGTGCTTATGGTGCCTGGGTGTTTAATACACACGTGGCTCACATAACTATGGTCATGCTGCTGCCCCTCCATGGTTTGATTTTGAAACTGTCATATTTCATAGTTGATTTTTTTTCTTCCCTTTCTTCAATGGATGATGCTATCAGATGAGCCCCTCTCTGGTCCAAATTGTCAGCCTTTTGGGGACTGCATATGAGGAAAATGTGATTTTCCCACTCAATTTTTATTACTATTGATAAAATTATTAATCTTAAAGTAATAAGTTTTGAAACGTTTGATGCCTGTAACATTTTTCTTTTATTTCAAATGGTTGATACATTTAAAATCCCAGTTAAACACACACATATACACACAATCCCCTAGGGAGTAGGAAGTGGCTGAGTAGCAAATGTGCCCCTGTGGCTACACAGTCATAGTTTAATTTAGAACTCTGTTTTCTTCATTGCTGATCTGTCTGATATCTTTTCCTCACTTTTTTTTTTTTTTTGAGGTAGAGTCTCACTTTGTTACCTAGGCTGGAGTGCAGTGGCGTGATCTCGGCTCACTGCAACCTCTGCCTCCACGGTTCAAGTAATTCTCCTGCCTCAGCCTCCCGAGTAGCTGGGATTACAGGCAGCCGCCAACAGGCCAAGCTAATTTTTGTATTTTTAGTAGAGACAGGGTTCCACCATATTGGTCAGGCTAGTCTCAAACTCCTGACCTCAAGTGAGCCACCCGCCTTGGCCTCCCAAAGTGCTGGGATTTTGGCCGGGCACAGTGGCTCCCTTTCAATTAACCTGCCATATTTCCTAAGTTGTCTACATGCACATTCCTTAAAGGGCTTATCAAATGATGATTGGGATATGATTTCTTAGCTAGTTAACTAGCTCACACCCAAACACGCCTCCTTCTGAATGCTGCTCATTCAACAAATATCCCTTTTCATTTATAAATACACATTTATATAAGGATATATGTAAAACCCCAAATATTAATTTGAAAATTTGAACTTACAACTAAACAGGACCTAACAGGTTTTTTGGTTTTCTACAGAAAGCTGAAGAACCACTAAACAATCTATCAGAAATTAAAATGTTGATCAAGGCTCTCATATAATTTGGGGGAGTCCAAAAGGTCAATATTGAACAATCATTGGTTAATGGTATTTTTATTGCACACTTTTTAGAGGTGTGTTTTCTGAATGAAAGAATGAATATGTCTCATTGTCTCAAAACAGTGGTAGTGCCGTATTTACCCATGCATTGGTCTGTAGTGTAAATTGCAAAGGAATCTTGCCTGAGAGCCCGCTCTGACAAATCAGGATATGTTCTCTGAAATGTGGTCCATTTATTAGCTCTCAGTCACAGCTGGACTGAGACAAGCGTGATCCCTTTGCATTTTATGTAAAACCCATATGTGAGGAAAATATACAACTGCCACTTCCCCTTCCACAGAAATGAGCATCTTGCTGGCTGAGGAGTGGCTGGATGACAAATCGTCAGAAAAGGTGACGCGAGAAGGAAGCCAGGTTTATGACCACGAGTGAGTTCTTTAATTTGACAAAGACAGTTCTGTTATGCTTCTGTTGGTTAACCATCAAGTTGTAAATTTTAAAACACCACCTCCTTGTGTTCTTAGTTCTTCAGATGTGTCTTCAGAAAACTGGCTGAAGACCTATGGCTTGGTCGCCAAGAAACTCACCCTCATGGATGCCTTGTCAGTGGCAGCAGTCCCGCACAGCTCCACCTATGTTCCCGTCCTGGACAAGCATGTCGTGTCTAAGGTCTTTGATGAGGTAAACTGATTGTCTATACGTCCCTACTTGAGGCCATTTTCATTTTCTGCTCAAATAAAAAGTAGTCCAATTTCTTGTGTGGTTGTAACAGAAATGTATTTTAGCCACTGGGGGAAAAAGTATTTGTAAAGGCAGTAAAAGGGAGAGAGAGAGGCTTTTAAGAATTTGGGCGCGGTGGCGCATGCCTGTAACCCCAGCACTTGGGAAGGCTGTGGTGGGTGGATCCCTTGAATCCAGGAGTTTGAGACCAGCCTGGGCAACATCGTGAAACCCTGTTTCTACAAAAAATACAAAAATTAGCCAGGCATGGTGGCATGCACCTGTAGCCCCAGCTACTTGAGCCACTGAGGTGGGAGAATCGCTTGAGCCTGAGACATCGAGGCTGCAGTGAGCGGTGATTGCGTCACCGCATTCCAGCCTGGGTGACAAAGCGAGATCTTGTCTCAAAAACAACGAAAATAAGAATTCTCTTTTTAAGCTGAGAGAAACTGATCTTGGTTGGGTTGGCACTTCGTGGTTCGTTGCTAACGGATAGAAGTGTGGGGCTGCAGAAATGATTGAAAACTCTAGGTCAGAGTCATGAGTGAACATCAAATATCCCTTTATGAAAGGAAAGGGAGGACTTGCGAGAGATTATGTCCTTCTTTTGCTTACCTTCTCTTCCTAAATTGAGTGGCATCTTTTGTAGCTAAAGGAAAAAGTTAAGAGAGCAAACAAGCAAGCCACATGTTAGCAAAAGAACCACCAGATTGTCCTAGGCCGGTCCCGAGAGGAGAAAAACAGCTTCCAATGGGAGGGCGTGGTAGGGTTAAATGTGGAGGAAGGCCAAGGAAGTACTGAAAACTTAACACTGAATTTGGCAACAAGGAGGTGCTCATCTTTACAAGAATAATTCCAGTGGAACGGCATTACTGCAGTGGGATGAAGAACACCAAAAACATGAGAACATGAAGACGGAACCTCAGTGCTTCCAGGCAAATACAACAGCAACTAACGATTTAAATAGAAACATTTCAGTCTTTGCAGTCACTGAATGGAAACAATATCCTTAAAAGACCTGTCTCATGCTGAAATCTTTGCAGAGGAAATGATACAATGCTTGGGGATGCTTGGGGTTTGCTTTATTGTAATTGGGGTGGTGGAGTAGTGGGCGGGGGAGAGTAGATGAAATAGATAGACCACACGTTGATCATTGTAGCATTTGGATAAGACTTAGTGAGAAGGGTCGTTTTACTCTTCTTTCTGCTTTTTTGTGTATTTGAAATTTTCCATAAAAAGAAGTTGAAAAGATCAAAGGCAGGAGAAAGTTTTTTTAAAAATGAAAAGACCTTTTCTAACTGGCCTTGAAATAGCTGAGATTTGATGTATTGGGAGAAGCAGATGAATTGGTGAATTTTATTCTATTAGCACATTTTAAAAATTATCACCCATGGAGGCTCACCTGCCTGCTGGTTTGGGATGACCAGTGACTCTCCCTCCGGAGGCTGTGTGTGTGTTCTCCTCTAGGCTGGTTCCTGGCTACTTTGCCTCAAGGTGAGTGCTCCTGTCCCTGGCTGTTTCCTTGTGATTGGCAGATTTGATTTATACCTAATTAGTCAGATGTCAACTCACCACTTGAACTTGACTTCTTCTAGAAGCAACAGGGAGAAACTGAACCCTAATTTATTTCTTGTAGGAGGTTTGGGGACAGCTCCTTCATATTCTCTGCAGTTATATTACTATTCTTGAGTTTTATTTGGGACGAAATATATTTAGTGAACTCTACTTAGAAATAGAATTTTCTTGGGCTTATTATGCCTCCTTCTAAATGTCCCAACAACTTGAGGTAGAGTGAAAAGTAAATTTCTTGAAAAAAATATGGTAGGATAGGGAAGCAGAAGCATAAAATCCAAGGAAGAAACAATAAAGGAAAGATTTATAGGCTGAGTAGGTAAAAATGTTATTTTGCTTAAAAACATGTAAATAAAATGAAGACAAATCTCAGAAAAATACCTGCAACATACATGACAGACAAAAAGGGCCATAGGAGTGATATCTTACGTGTGTGTATCAGTATAAAGCACCGTGTTTGTATGAATCAGTGTTCAGTATGCAAACACACATGCACATACATCCATACCATAAGGGAATGAGAAAATGACAAATACTGGAGTGGAAATTTTAGGGAAAAAAAGGAAAAAAGTCAAACTCATATACAAAAATATTTAACTTTACTGGTAACCAAATATATGCCTTAAAAAATGCAAATTGATAATCAATTAGACACCACCTCCCCCATCAAATTGGTAAGGTTAAAAATCACCGATAAACAGTAATGGCAATGACAGGGTGGGATGGACACTTATATCCTGCTAGTGAGAGTATAAATTGGTGCATCCTTAGTGTAAAATGTTCAGAAGCCTTAAGAACTTATATTTACCCCAGCGAATTCATATATTACTAGGAATCTATGTAAGGAAATAATTAGAGATACTGAAGTATATGTGCAGAGAATAATTACTACAGCCTTTAGCCAACAATGGAAAACAACACAAATTCATATAATGGCATGTCATACATTCATCAGATATCACATTTCTAAAGAATAAGTTTCACACGATGAAAAGTCCTCGTGCTAAATGAAATATCGTGCTAAATGAAATATCATGCTAAATGAAAAAAATCAGAATATATAGTGTGTTAGAAACTTGGTTGTTCATGTGACTGATTTAGGCATGGTGGTACTTTCCCCTTCCCTCCCTTTTTTCTTTTACCAAAATGTTAACAGTTTAGCTGGGTGGTGAGATTGTTGGGAGATGTTTTTTTTTTTTAAATTTATGTAGCTTTTAATTTTTATTGTAGTACTTTTAACTCTGAACATTATTAATTATACACTGAGAAAAATGTTAAGAAAAACAGACCTGGCCAGGTGCGGTGGCTCACACCTATAATTCCAGCACTTCAGGAGGCCGAGGCAGCGGATCATTAGGTCAGGAGATCGAGACCATCCTGGCCAACATGGTGAAACTCCGTCTGTACTAAAAATACAAAAAAATTAGCCAGGTGTGGTGGCGTGTGCCTGTAGTCGCAGCTACTCGGGAGGCTGAGGCAGGAGAATTGCTTGAATTCGGGAGGCAGAGGTTGCAGTGAGCTGAGATCACGCTACTGCACCCCAGCCTGGCAACAGAGCGAGACTTCATCTAAAAAAAAAAAAAGAAAGAAAGTGAAACAGACCTGAAAGCAAATGACAAAATGATGTAAATGTAATGGGAACTTAATTTTTAATTAACTGCTTTATTTTTATCTGATAAGTAATATATGAATAATTCTCAGTATATGAGATTTAAGCCATACTTAAGTCTTCAGAGGAGGCTTCTCTCACCACTACGCCTATCCATGAAGGAAACACGTTGAATAGTTTGGTGAATTTCCTTCCAATCCTTTTTCTACATATGCATATGTAAGTATGTGCACACATAACGTATTTATACAGAGACACATAAGAACTTTAATAAACATGAATAAGACAATACCATATACATTTACTATTTTAAAAACTATTTTAAACATTTTGTCTTAGAGCCCTTTCCATACAGGTAGATGGTCTCATGCCTATAGTTGCAAGGTTCTTCCCCATTATTAATGGATATTTACATTGTGTTCTTCCTTCCCCTCTTACAAACATTCCTGTAACAGGTATCTTTGCACGTAGATTTTTGGGCACATGTATAAGTCTGGCTTTGGAAGAAATTCCCTCAAGTCAGATGGCTGGACCCAAAGGGTATGTGCATTTTAAATTTTGATAATTCAAATCATCCCCCAAATTCACTGTACATTTTCACTAGCATGTATCCCCACAGACAGAGTAAAGTAGTACTCTCTTCCTAAGAAGAACTCTGTGTAATACTTGATAATCATTGGTCCTTGGTGTGTAGAAATGCTTTGAAAACCCTGAAAGTAGGATGCAGACATAAGATCTTTATTCAGCCTATTCTTTCCTCATTGGTTCATATGCTGAAGAAGCAAACTTAATATTCAGTCCAACAGTTAGAAATTTTTTTCTCTGAGATGTATGTGATATATCCATACTCTGTGAATAATAATATGCCTACTCTGAGGTTGTTATGGAATTAAAAGAAGTAATGCATACAGTGTAAAGTACTTAGCAGGCACTTAAAATGTTGACTTTTATTATAAAAATATTCAACAAATTTATGCCTATTGTATATGCCTGTGTTGGGCTCTAGAATACAGTGCCAAACAGGAAAGCCAACATTCCTACCCAAGCACAACCGACAGTCTCAGGAGGAAGTAGCAATGAAAATGAGAGAAGTTCTAGTTAAATGTGACGAGTGGGAAGTGCTGAGTGAAGATGCAGGAGATGTCCCTCACCTGGCTTCAGTGGCCACAGAAGGCTTGCCTTAGCTAGTGGCATCGGAGTTCAGACCCAGGGGAAGAGAAGGAGTTATGAAGGTGGAGAGATGGGAAGAGAGCCCCAGGCAGTGGGGGAGCTTGGGGAATCCTAAGGAACAGAGAATGTTTGTCATTCCAGAGAAGTTTAGTGTGAGTGGAGAAGGTGATAAAGCTGGTGAAGGAAGGGCCTTGATTGAATTAAGGATTTTGAACTTCATCCTGAGGGGAATGGAGGGGTTGTTAGCAGAGGAGAAATTAATTTGGGGTTTGAGCTGGCACACAGAGAATAGTTGGAGAGGCGGGCAGTCAGGAGGCAGTTGGGGAGATGGGGGCAGTCAGGAGGCAGGGCTGGGTGGCTGGAACCAGTAGGCTGTGTGGCTGAAACACTGCGGATGTACCCAAAGCTCTTTATAAAGTCAAGTCAACGATGTGGGGCTGAGAGAGAGAAAAATGCCAAGAGTGATTCTCCAGACTCCAGCCTGGAATATCAAGCAGGGGAAAAATAAAGAATGAGTAGTGAGGGTCTTGTTCTTCAGGGGGGCATCCTAGTCGTCTGCCTCTAGAACACAAAGCCCAGGGGAGGGGATGAACAGTTCTCAAGCACATCCCATGGGCACTTGTGCTTGGTGCCTTCTGTGGCATTGTGAGTTCTCAAGACAGCCTGCACGTAGGTAGGCACTGCACAGCACACTTGCCCTCCCTTATTCATAGTAAGAATCACTCTGATGACAGGCATATACTGCAGTGATCTCCAGTCTCACATCCAAAGCACTTTTGTATCTTTGATTCCCTAATATTTTCTCTGACTGGAAGACACCCTCAGCTATAAATGGAAAGAATAACAAAATAATAATCTCAAATATCTCCCACCTCATGGGATGTATACCTTTTTGATGTTTGGACTTTTATGAAAAAGCAGACAAAAAGTAGAATGGAGTTGAAAAGGAAACACACTAGAGTCTTACTTCACTGAGAATCTTAATTGCGTCCTCCTCCTGTGTTCTGTGCACGGCCACATCTGTCTGCATAGAGTTGTAAAGCAGTGTCTGGCTTTGTCCCCAGCTCTTTGTTTCATTCATCACTTATGTATGGGCTCTTTCTTCTTCTGGAACACAATGCTGTTTTGGTTTTCAGTGTTTCCCGGACCAGCCTCAAATCGGTCACCTTGGAAATGAGGTATTGAGCAAAGAGGTTGCCCTAGCAACTCTTCATTACAAGATGCAAAATGGACTCGATAATTTTATCTTAGCTCTTTCAAAAAGATTAACTCTTCCCCAAGTCATATACACAATAAAACTGATTTAGCTATGTAATGAACCTAGAATTTAAAGCTCTTTATTTGCTGGTTGATTTGAAAAGCATTGAAATAATTTGGGAAAATTGGTCTGCACCACTGGAGAGTCTACATCATCACCCATCATCATTGTCGTTATCATAATGTCTTTTACAGCATCCCATCAAGGCTTCCTGTGTTGTCCGTCCTTCTCCGGGTTCTGCACATAGCTTTGTGGCCAGATAGCCTGGATTGGTGCTCCAGCTCTGTCATTTACTCCTGAAGGACCATGGCAAGCTCCCTAATCTAGTATGCAGTGCACCCTCATCATATACTAGGTTCTGAGTAAAGCATTTGCTATCATCAAATATCTCATCTAAAACTTAGAGTGACCTGTGAGGTGGCTATTCAGCTCACCATTTAGCTGACAAGGAATATTTGGTGCAGAGAGGCTAGGGGTGCTGTCAAGTCATGACATTTTGTTGCTTTTAAATATAATAGCAATGAACACAAAACTGTACACTGATAGAAAAGCTTTTTAATTAAAAATTTAAAACAGTTATCACAAAACCTACATATGTATATATTCAATGTATAGAAAGATTAGAAAATGTAGATAAGTGAAAAAGAAAGAAGCAATAGTTATCATCCACCTCATCATCTCATGGTTATCTGGCCAGATCTTCTTACTTTCTGTATATAGATATCCAGACCCTTTGTTCTTTGTTTTTGTTTTTATCATAATTAAATGAAACTGAACATCCTGTTTTGTACCTGCATTTTTCAACCACCTATCCATGAACATTGTTCCATGCTGGCATATACTTATCTACTATACCAGTTTAAATGCTCAGCCTTTTAATTGAAATATATTAATTTAAACTTAAATTGAGAATAGAGTTTTATTTTCTACAAGTTTAGATTGAAAAACTGTGAGATGTAATTTTTTTTTTCTTGAGATGGAGTCTTGCTCTGTTGCCCAGGCTGGAGTGCAATGGTGTGATCTCTGTTCACTGCAACCTCTGTCTCCCGGGTTCAAGCAATTCTCCTGCCTCAGCCTCCCGAGTAGCTGTGATTACAGGCACGCACCACCATGCCTGACTAATTTTTTTGTATTTTTAGTAGAGATGGGGTTTCACCATATTGGCCAAGCTGGTCTTGAACTCTTGACCTTGTGATCCACCTGCCTCGCTCTTCCAAAGTGCTGGGATTACAGGCAAGAGCCACCATGTAATTTACACTTAGTAACATACTCTCATGGGTTTATGAATGATCTTACTGACATGCGATTTGGCCAGCTGTTTTGTGGCCCTGCTTTCATTTTGTTCTATGGAGCCTGCAGGTGTTTCAGTTTGAAAGGCAGACATTTAAGTTTTGGCACTTGGCCATTTGCACAACTGTAATATCTATAAAGCTGTTGCACCTACATTCAAAGATTCCCTGTGTGGGATTTACACAGCTATTACATTTCCATTACACACATCCAATCAGAACCTCTCCTTGGCCAATCTGGTAGGAAGCTCTGGGATATTTACTGGAAGAACTGATTTAGTTGAAAAACAGTGAAGTTGGAGAATTCAGTCAGAGTTGAACAATAGATAATCACCAGTTTCACACTAGTTTCTCAATTTCAAAATGTTTTGTGATTGCTTTTAAACACAGCTAGAATGTTGTCAGGTGGAATTCGACCTGTTCTACTTTAACAATCAATAGCTGTGGGCACAGTTCTGTATTCTGTGTTCTTAATTTAGCATATGTTATGAACATTTTTCCTTACAATAGCCATTTTGGGATGAATTTTAGTGATTACACTAACATTCAGTAATATAAATTACTACAGTTTAATTATTCCTCCCAATTGGGGGCAGTTTACTTGGAATTTTGAAGAATCCTCATTTTCCTGTATCTCTTTGCTATCCCTTAGAACAGTTAACAGTAAAAACAAAAAACATCAAAAAACGTTGCTAAATGGTATTTCAATTTCAATTTCAATTCTTTTATCATTTGTGAATAGTTTTCTTATGTAAGCTAAATATATCTCTTAAGCTGTTTTTCACATTATTCATATGTTTAGGAAACACCTCTTAAATAGCACAGTTACATTTCATCCCATGTCTCAACTACCAAGAATTCAAATTTGGTGGAATCCAAACAATTATGTTTTATAATACGATAAACTTAAAAAAAGTTTTGAATCTCAGCCGTTAATTTATATATAGTTTTAGTGTTTTATTTATTTAATAAATGATTATTTGGGACATGTTTTGTTCTAGAAACTAGTAATTTCAAAGGGGAATAAAGGATTATAAAGTTTTATGAAGAGGAAAGACACACAACAAAACTGCAATTAAATACATTTGTCTATAAAGGAATTGAATAAGAAATTATGTAGAGTAGTCAGTGCCTGGCAGAGAGTAAGGATAAATAGTATTATCACTATTGATAATCACTATTGAGTACAGTGGTTGCTTACAGAGTATTTCATCTCACAGTGGGGAGAATTCTAACAGAATCAGCCCAAACTGGCCTGTTCATGCATCCCAGCAATTCCTTCTGCCCTTTATGGTCAGTGACTGTCTCTCTGCACCCTCCATCCCCATCTCGATCACTACCTCTACCTCTCTACTAGTCACAACCTTGTCACATATGGTGTAATTATTCATATCAATTTGATAAGGCTTCTAGGTTAACCTCAAGAGAATTGAATTAAAGTAGGTAATACCTTAAGCCTCCCTTAAATCAAATATTATCCAGAAGAGTCCCTCGTTAGCCAGTTATGCTTGATTTGCATTATAACAGTAACAAGTAAATATTTCCCAAGGTGCCAAGACCAGGTGGTTTTATTCCCTCTCAAACAGAGCTCTCAATGTCTTCATTAACCTCAGCTCCCTCCCCACTTGCTTTCTTACAGAAGCCGGGGGTGCCATGATTCTGCCCCCCAAGTCCTTATGAGAATGCCCCTTATGACCTCATAGTCACACTAAATTTGACATCATAAAGAAAACATTTCCTGTGATCTCCACGCAGCCACCATGTTGTAAAAACTAAGATGTCAGACTCGAAGTGTGGGGTATGACTTTATCTTTCCCTGGATCTGCATGTGGAGAGGACGGAGAGTGGGTGCACACAAGCCAAATCTGAGCTACTATCACACTGAAGCACACAATGGCCACGAAAGGCATGAGGTTGAAATCCACAAAAGAGGGAAGTAGAACACTAAGCAGTGGGTTTTTCTTAAATACATTAAGTCAGGAGACAAGCTGATCATGATGAAATGTTATAATGTTGCTTAGTGGTATTGATTCACAATTGTGCCATACTGGGCAAATTTGGAAAGCTATTTACAGACTTCTAACGGGGTATTTTTTCCAGGGAAAGAAAAACCCAAGGGACTTTCATTTTGTTGAGACTGATCCTTTTTTTCTTCTAAAAGTTTATGTGACATATAGCTCTATTTCGAGAGATGATTTTATTTTTTTAAAATTTCTACAAGCTTCATTCTGTTTTCAAAGTTCAGTCCTCCCACCTTTCAGCCCACTGTCTGGTTCCTTCTCTTTGACAAGAATTGTTTAGAAGCCACATGCTGAATTCATGTGGTTGTTAAGTAGCAAGATTGGACTGTTCAGTTTCTTAACTTTCTTTCTCTTCAGTTTTCTAAATCTTTGCCTATTATTTGTTTGTTTTAGTCTTTGGTGGTTTAATTACCGAATTAAATATATGTAGTTTTTAAAAAATGAAACAATACAGTAAAAAGTAAAAGTCCTATCTACCTTCTTCACTTGTCTTGAAATCTCAATTTTTAGAAGTAACCACTATTGATAGTTTTAAACCTAATTTTTAAATTTTTCCATTATTTTAAAAATAAAGCATTTCAGATAAAGTTGCAGCCACCTGTGCAACTCCTTTTTGTTCCACTTTCCATTCCTCCTTCTCCAGAGATAAACCCTAGCATGAGTTTTCATATACATTTTAATTTTTATTTATTTATTTATTTATTTTTGAGATGGAGTCCCACTCTGTTGCCCAGGCTGGAGTGCAGTGGTGCAATCTCGGCTCACTGCAACCTCCAACTCCCGAGTTCAAGCGATTCTCTTGCCTCAGCCTCCCAGGCAGCTGGGATTACAGGCACATGCCACCATGCCTGGCTCATTTTTTTTTGTATTTTTAGTAGAGACAGGGTTTCACCATGTTGGCCAGGCTGATCTCAAACTCCTGACCTCAGGTGATCTGCCCGCCTCGGCCTCCCAGAGTGCTGGGATTACAAGGGTGAGCCACCCCACCCAGCCTATTTTAATATTCCTAATACAAAAGCACTAAAACATCGTCCTACAGGTTTAAAACTTTATAGAAATGGTATTACACTGGAAGCACCATTATGAAACTTACTATTTGTTTTAATACTATGTTTTTGAGATTTTATCTATCTTGATTTATTTTTCCTGCTCTATTTTTCCACTAAGTGCAATACCATTTTTTGTAAATACGAATATATTTGAACTTTTTTTAACCTCTTATTTTTTATGCTTTCTGTTAAATGTCATTTTTAAATGATCACTGCTTGTATTTCTATTCCTTTAGTGATTGTTTTAAAAGTTTTAATGTAATGACAATTTTTTTTTTGAGACAGAGCCTCGCACTGTCGCCCAGGCTGCAGTGTAGTGGTGTGATCTCGGCTCACTGAAACCTCCACCTCCTGGGTTTAAGTGATTCTCCTGCCTCAGCCTCCCGAGTAGCTTGGATTACAGGCACCCGCCACCTCCCCCAGCTAATTTTTGTATTTTTAGTAGAGACGGGGTTTCACCATGTTGGCCAGGCTGGTCTTGATCTCCTGACCTCAAGTGATCCACCCGCCTCAGCCTCCCAAAGTGCTGGGATTACAGGTGTGAGCCACCATGCCCAGCCAACAATTTTTTTTAACTAAGTCTCAAGGTATTTTGTATTTTTATTCTCCTCCCAAACACAATGGGGGATTTTAGTACCTTTTAATTAGTCATTAAAAACCTTTCCCCCAAAAATCTTGTCACTGTGATTTAGAGTTTCACTTTTGCCTTTAGGACATGTAATCTTTTTTGACTTTCAAGAGTTAATTAAATTTTTTAACAGTTTCAGCTGTATATCTCTTTATATCTAAAAAGCATCTTTAGTTTTCTCTTGGCTGTTGAGTGATAGTTTAGCTGGATATAAAAGTCTCTGTTAACTGTAAATTCCCCTTAGCAAATAAAGATATTATTTTCACATATCTATTATCTGATATATATACTACTCCTTTATACAGTCTGTTTTGTTTGAGTTGCTTTTAAGATTTTCTTTTAGATTCAGTATGCTGCAGTCTTATGATGATGTGTCTATGTGTGGATTTGTTTTTAGTCTTTTGTTGTGGGCTGATTTTTGATCTGAGGACTTATTTCTTTCATTAAACTCTAGAAAACTCAGCTATTATGATTATGGTTTTAAATGCTGATTATCTAACCATCTTTCTATTCTATTCTTTTAAAATGTCTATTAATATATATTGAAGTTTCTCAATCATCATCTAGTTATCTATATTATTTTTGTCTCTCTGTGCTATATTCTGAGGAAAGTCTGCAGTACTATCTATCACCCAGTTCACCAGTTCTTTTTTAAAAATTTTGTGTAGCCTAGAATTTATTCTATTAAGATTATTTTTTGTTTGAATTACAATGTCTTTTCTTCCAAGATAAATTTTTTTCTGGTTTTTTTTCCCATCCATTTCTTCTTAAGACACTTTAGTAAATTTTTGTACTTTTATATGGCTGTAACATCTTTGAACAACCTAATAATAAATAAACAATTTTAATCATAATTAATTTAAAGTCATTGTTAGATGGCTCATAAATTTAATTTATTATCATGTGAATTGACATTCTGATTGTTAATTTGCTCAGCTATGATTTTGGCATTTTTTGGTGTATACTTGGGAATTCTAGTATGTTGGCTCATTTTCACAAGATTCTTTAAAAATCTGCCTTTTCTCTTTCTCCTTCTATTTGGCAGTTGCCTAAATCCATCCCCTTGATCCATCCCCCAACCCTCATGGGCTTTTATAGCTCTTGTTCCATGGTGATGTTGTAGATATCACAGATTCAAAGAGTGCCTTGATTTAGGTCTTGCGAGGCTACATCAGTGTCCTCTCTCCCTAAGCAGGACCTTCTTTCAGGGGTGAGAGACCCTCATACCAATGCTGACGTCAGGCATTGAGCCTGACATAGGCCTTTGTTTTTCAGAACACTCCTAGTCCCACTAGCTTTCCAGGAGTTGAACTCCCTCTGCCTTGCCATCTTTGGACACACAGCTTAACAAGCCTACAGCTTCAACAACACTCATATGTTTACATTTCTGCTCAGCTTTTTGTCTCTAAAAACCTATCAGCGTGTGTCCCTTTCTCTCTGTCTCTCTTTCTCTTTCTTTTTCTTTCTTTCTTTCTTTCTTTCTTTCTTTCTTTCTTTCTTTCTTTCTTTCTTTCTTTCTCTCTTTCCTTTCTTTCTTCTTTCTTTCTCTCCTTCCTTCCTTCCTTCCCTCTTTGTATTATTTTCTTAAACATAGCAACAACAATAACATTATTGTATCATTTTGGAGGCAAGAGGAAACATAAAAGCATAAACTATGTCACCTCAATTAAAATTAAAAATTTACCTCTTAAAAATAATTTCCCACATTTCTAAAATGCCTACATGCTCCTTATGGGTGGAATCATTTTTGAAACAATGACAGTATAGCTTGGCATTTTCCTGTTAGGCTTTTTTGCATTTTTGTTTAAATATTAATATATGGAATATACCTTTTTGGGAACATGCGTTTATTCCTTTATCAACAAACATTTGTTGAGGGCACACTGTGTGCCAGGTACTATTCTAAGTGATAGGAATACAGTAGTGAATAGCACAACATTTCTTGTCTTATGGAACTTACATTCTGATAGAGAGAGGTAGGTAATATGCAAATAGGTAAACATAAAGTTACAGTTACTATCAAGATTAAAGAAGAATTTGGAAAAAAAGATTGAAGGAGGGTTTCAATTCTAGAGAAGATGAGGTAAGCGTCTGTTACCCTGTTTGTGCCTTTGAATACAACTGTAAGTCTTGGATAGAATACATGGAGAAGCTAACAGTGAACTTTGAAATTGAAAGGGTCCCCCCAAAATTGGGGAAGGAGACCAGAATTTGAAGTTCCACCAAACCAATACATTTACCATCTTTTCCCCCCGGAGCTGCTTGGCATGAAATCAAAGATATCCCAAAACCCAGAAGTAAGTACCAGGCACAGAGAGAAAGAACTCAAAAAGAAGCCTCATTTATTGATCACTAAGCATTCTTTCACACGTGTAAGAATCTCTTATCCGAGATCACACCATTGCACTCCAGCCTGGGCTACAAGAGTAAAACTCCATCTCAAAAACAAACAAACAAACAAAAAAAGGATAAGAGAAATCGTCAAAATATGGTAACTATAATCAAATATTCTCAAAAGAAAATCAAATGTAAAATAAATATATGAAAAAGGTGTTTAACTCAAATAGCAATTTACAAAGAAGCAACAATGAGATCTATTTCTTATTGCCCACTCTTACCAATTTGACAGAGACTTCTGAAGATAATTCGCAATTCTAATTAAGGTTTTCTGAAACAGTTTTGGCGGTGGTTGTTTTTTGGTGTGTGTGTGTGCATGTGTGTATGTGGTGGTAGTGATTTCTAAAATATATAGTTTTAAACATTGAACAGTAAAGGTTAGCAATGATATCTCTTTTTTCTCTGTGATTTACTGTGTTTTCTAATGTTCTACATTTATTGTATATTGACTTTATAGTCAGAGAAAACATGTTATACAACTATGTAGATGTATTTTCGAAGGCACGCATTAACCTATCAAGTGACACTTTCCTTTCCTTTGCCATTGACATGCAGGTGTTCCCTCTGGCACATGTGTGCAACGACACAAATAAGATGACATTAATTAACCCCCAAGGAGCCAAACTCAATATCTACAAGCGAAAAGTGGAACAGGCAATTCAATCCTATGAAAAGTGAGTATTACTCTTGGCTGCTCTTTAATGGATGTGGAATTTATTTTATGGAGAAGGAGACTTCTCTTGTTTTAGCTTAGCTTTTTTTTTTTTTTAATGAAGCAGCTATTTAAAAATTGTTCAGGCTGGGTGTGGTAGTTCATGCCTGTAATCCCAGCACTTTGGGAGACTGAGGCAGGAGGACAGCTTGAGGCCAGGAGTTTAAGACCAGACTGGGCAACAATAGGAAGACCTTGTCTCTACAAATAATTTAAAGAATAATATCACAACAAGGTGATTGCAATCAACAATAATTTATTGTACATTTAAAAATAATTAGAAGAGTATAGTTGGAGTATTTGTAACACAAAGAAAGGATAGATGCTTGAGGTGATGGATACCCCATTTACCCTGATGTTATTATACATCATATGCCTGTATCAAAATATTTCATGTAACCTACAAATATATACACCTACTGTGTACCCACAAAAATAAAAATAAAATTCTGTGATGAAAAATAAATAAATAAATACAGGCTGGGTGTGGTGGTGCGTGCCTGTAGTCCCAGCTACTTGGGAGGCTGAGAAGGGAGTTACTTGAGCTCAGGAGTTGGAGGCTGCAGTGAACTGTGATTGCACCACTGCACTCCAGCCTGGGTGATAGAGTGAGACCTCGTCTAAAAAAAATTGCTCATAAGGAATATAAACAACAGTGGCAGCAGCTATTGTAGGGGCTTCCTACATGCTAGGCACTGCATCAAGTACTTTACCTGAATATCTTCAACAAGGTTTTAAAGAAACTATCTTCCCTTTCCAATATCCATAAAAATCTCATGTTTCCATGAGATCTGTAAAGTTTTCCTTTTAGCAGAATGCATCTGATTGTTTTGGCATCTAACATTCTATAAAGTGACTAATAAAACTCGACAGTAATGAGATAATGGAAATAACGGCTTTTGTTAATTTTAAAATTACTTTTATCAAGTTCAAGATGATGATCACACACCCTTGTATCCTTGCTGAGACAGGAGACTCTGCTCACAGGCTGGTCCTTGTCCATGCTGTAATCACCTCCCTCCCCGGTCCCCAGCCCTTAATTAATCCTGGGTGCACAAACTTAATTAAACTCTGAGCATTTGGCTTCTGCAGGCCAGCCTGTCCTCGGTTCTGGGAACTGTGCAGTTGAGTTGTCATTTGCCACCATGCGGGTGGGTGAAATAAAGTTCAGGAAAGTTAACTATTGGCCCAGGCCAGCGTATGTTGGTCTGCTGTCATTTTGCAATGTGTCTAGCATGTGCTCAGTCAAACAAATATAAGGCCTGATCCTGCCCCACGAAGGATCATTCCAACGGCAGACCTTGCTCCACTGTGTCCAACCCAGGCCTCTCCAAACCCCCTTTAACGTGAGCCTCCATCGTTGCCCTCACCCGAGAGTGGAGGCCGCCTTACGAGGCTCCTCAGCAGCCTCTGTGGGCTCCTCAGTATTTCTGAATCTTTACCTGAGAGGAAAGAAGAACCAAGGATGAGCATTTCTTTGGGAAGCAGGATGAGCTATTCAAGGCTCACCCTTCCCCGTGGGTCGGAGACTTCCAGACAGGCCTTGCCTCCCAGCTCGGCTCCTCTCCGGTTATGCTGCTGTCCCCAGCTGGGTCTTTCATCGCTTCTCACCTCAGCACCAATGATCCTTCTCAGAGAGACCTCTCGGGAGCTCCTCTCAGCGCCCACCCTTCGTGTGGCCCTCAGAGCACTCACAGCTTCTGCAGGGGCGGTGGCTTGGTGACCATCTCTGCCCTCTAGGATGTCAGCTCCCAAGGCCAGGGCTCAGCCAGCCTTGCTTCCTCCTGCATACCCTATTCCTAGCAGGCGTCTGTGTGTATATGACTATTCAAATTTAATTCAAATTTTATATAATTCCATTCTTCAAATTCAGTCATTCAAAATGCCATATAACAATACCATTCACATTCTAATGTAGTTTGCTTGAATAATTCAAATATTTGAGTCCTATAATTACCCGGCCTGTGAAAGCCTGATGCAGGGCCACGAGCTAGATAGAGCTTCGTGGTCAGATGGTTCGCGGGGGTTTCCTGCTTGGTTCTGACACCAGCTCTGTTCCAGTGTGTGACAGTCGTGAGCCTCAGATTCCTTGTTCACAGAATCTATCTCACAGGTCTGTTGTGAGGATTATGTAAATGATATGTAAAGAGGAACTGATGTTCATTACTTCCCCCTTTCACTCCTGACTCTGCTGACCCTAAAATAACCATAGGTGCATGGAGTGAAATCGTCATCTGGTTCTTCCCACTGCATTGACCTTTTCCCAAGGATTTCAGGAAAGGACAGGGAGCCCCTTCCCAGGCAAAAGAGAGGCCTCCTTTCTTAGCAGCAAAACCAAAACAAACATAGTAAGTCATTTGTCCTCCTTCTTACTTTCAGTGAGTGAATCTGGAAAAGCCTTTTAGTACCCTCTAGAGAAATATTGTCACTATATTGTTATTAATTATATTAACATCAAGTTATTAATAACAATTTTAACATGATTGGTATTATTTAATAATTAAGTTACTGATTGAATTGTTATTATTTGGTATCACTAATTTGATGTTTGTATCAAGTAAATTATTTAACATTGTTATTTAATATTAATAGTAACATGAATATTATACGGAACCAAATTTCCTGATCATTTGCATTCAATTGTGTTTAAGAGTGTTGTTGGTATAAATGTCAATTTCTTTTTCCATTTTGCTTCATTTTTCTCAAGATAGTCAGAATATGAAAAGTAATTAATGACACATTTACCACCCCCATCCCCTATATAACATTTCTAAGGAGTTTTCCAACAAAGATAAGCGAGATGTAACTTTAAAAACAACCTTTGTGTAATCATAAATCCATATGTTTAAGGATGACCAGGCAAATGGAAAGCTCACAGTCCTTTGGTCAAAATAATGACATAAACTTGTTATTGGGGTCACACTTAGTGCCCATGCATGGGAGTCCTTTTGTCTCATTTTAAGAACCGAGGCAGCAATTTTGGCTTTGTGTGTCTGAGTATAAGCTTTGAGTGGATATTGCCAGGGCTGGCTGGATTCTGGAGTGATTTTTCTGTTGCTTACTTTCATTGAAAGTCTAAGGTCAAGGTCACAGCTCTCAGATCACAGAAGCAGTATCCGTTCTAGCCTGGCTTGGGGACCATGCTTAGAAACCTCTCCTTACCATCTGCAATTTGCTGGGCCGGCTGCTTCTTGGCCTTCTGAAGTGTCACTAGTTACAAGTTGCTTTGCAAATGAGTCAACTCTTGGCACAAGCTGATGTGAGAATTAGAGATACAGAAAGTTGGTGAATGCAATCCCTTAGCCAAATTTCTCTCTCCTACAAAAAACAATGAGGGAAACTTTGTTAGAAAAATCCCTGAATCATGGGGCTGGACCAGCCGCAGAGAGGCCCTCAGGTCCAGTGCCGGGCCTGAATCCCACAGGGACTCCCTCATCCCACTTGGCTTTCCTGCGGTGGCCTCCCTGGACAGTAGAGCTGTTGAAGTATTTTAGTGAAGATGGAAAATAGGGGAATAACAAAGGCTATGAAAATGTGCTCCTGGAAAAATATTTTCTAAAGAAGTGAATTAAAATTAGAGACCTGTGCTAGCAAACTGGACCCACATTTACCAATGATTACTCAGTGTTTCTAAGCCTTGCTTTTCAGAACCTGGAGGGAATAAACATTGAGCTATTCGTGATCACTTTATGTATGCATCTCACTTAATCCTCTCAAGGATTCCAAGGGCAGGTGGTGTTAGCCTTGTCTTATCAATGAGAAAACAGTTTCCAAAAGCTACGTAGCACAGGATCACACAGCAGCAAAGTGAGGACACCAAGGTTTGAACCCAGAGCCCTTACCACACTCCCAGCCTCCACACTACACTGCCTCCACTCTCTACATTTACATTTAAGGGGATTGTGAATGGGTTTTTTGTTCGTTTGCTTGTTTGTTTTTCAGAGAAGCACAAAGATACCTAAAATGCGTACTATAAATCCTTTTAACAAATCTTGGAAGCCTTAATCATTATTACCTGAATCACATGATTCAAGAAAGCCAATTTCCAAATAGGCCTCAAAGAACCAAACATCTCAAGTGAGACAGAAGCACTGAGCTGACTTATTTCCCTCTTCCCGACTCTTTTTCTATCACTTAGAGCACATTTACCTGGATCAGACACAATTTATGTGCTGTGTACACACTAGCTCAAGTCCTCATGGCGACACTAGGAGTGGAGCGGTACTACTATCCCCACTTTACCGAAAAGTTGGGCACTGGCCCAAAGCCTCACGGCAAGAAGGAGAAGAAGCCGACTGAGCTTTGGGCCCTGGAGTTGTGGCTCCGGAGTCTACCCTCTTCAGAGGCCCTGTCTGCAGACACCCTTTCTGTGTTCTTACCAGGCTCATGATGGGAGGGCAGGGCAGGAGAATGCAGCCACCCGAAATGTGTCCTCTGAGCCCTGTCCAGCTGATGCTGGGTCCAGTGGTTAGAAGAATGCCTCCTGAAGAGCAGTAGCATTCTCCTACCTCATTGTATGGAAGCAGTGTTTTTTGTTTTTGTTTTTTGTTTTTTTTTGAGATGGAGTCTCGCTCTGTCACCCAGGCTGGAGTGCAGTGGCGTGATCTCGGCTCACTGCAACCTCCACCTCCTGGGTTCAAGCTATTCTCCTGCCTCAGCCTCCTGAGTAGCTGGGAGTACAGTCGCCCGCCACCACGCCCGGCTGATATTTTTTTTTTTTTTTTTTTTTTTTTTTTTAGTACAGACAGGGTTTCACCATGCTGGCCAGGCTGGTCTCGAACTCCTGACCTCAGGTGATCCGCCCGCCTCGGCCTCCCAAAGTGCTAGGATTACAGGCGTGAGCCACTGCACCCGGCTGGAAGCAGTGTTTTTTAATGGAACATCAGCTCACAACCCTGGAGCCAGTGTTCTCTGCCCTGCAGCTCAGAAAGCCTGCTTTTGGGTAATGATGTCCTGACATGATGACACAGAACTGGGCTGGGAACTCTGAAGAAGCAACACTGATTAGTAGCCAAAAGAGCAGCTATAGCTACCCTGTAGGAACCACTAGCTTCAACCTCCTTCTTTGCTCTTGGGTCAACAGCTTCCCTCTGAAAACGCGATCAGTCTCAGCACCGCCAGCCAGCAGCTGTGGGTGAGCAAGGTGCTTCATCCAGCTGCCCCTCCTAGCAGCCTCGTTTGGAAAACAAGGCAGCCAGCCTGCTTGATCTCTAAAGTGTGTCCCAATCCTATTATTTATGACCCTGTTAAACTCTTTTGATCTGAGAATCCAGGCAGAAGAGTGTCTACAGAAAGCGAACTAAAGAGCACAGTTATGTTCCCGTAAGAAGAAAAATGGTGGGTGTTTAGAAACGACTTAAAACAGAGATAATGAAGACCAGTTTGTCAACTGCCTTTACTCAGTCTGAGTTTTACCTGGCTGAGCTGGGAACTGAGCCCTCCTTTAATATTTGACGCAATTGCCACAAAACCACGAGGCTGCTGCAGTGATGCTGAGGTGACACATCCAGTGTCTTTAAGCACATGACAGTGGCCTGGCTCAGTGGAGATGATGCTTAGATGGGCTCCCACTGCGGTGCCTGGGGTTAACCTTTTGCCATGAAATGAAGTACTGCTACAAAATTATTGTTGACTTTTTTTTTTTAACAGGCGCTTGAATAAAATTGTTTGGCGAGCATTATCTCAAGAGGAAAAAGAAAAGTAAGCCATTCCATTCCCTCCTCACTTTTTTTTTTTGGTGAAATTCACGTAACCTAAAATTAACCATTTTAAAGTGTACAATGCAGAGGTATTTAAAATATTCAAAATGTTCTGCAAACCACTACCTTTTTCTAGTTTCAAAACTTTTTCATTACCCCAGAAAATCACTTTGTAACCATAAATTAATCACTCCCCATTCCTGTCTCCCCCTTTTCTGGGTTACCACCAGTTTGCTTCCTGTCTCTATGATTTTGGCTACTCTGGATATGTCATATGAAGGGAATCATACAGCATGTGACCTTTTGTGTCTGGCAGCTTTTCTTAGTTAATGTAAAAACCTCATGTTTTTAAGGTTCACCCAGGTATCAGTACTACATGTGTATATATACACCACGTTTGTCTGTCCATTCTTCCACTGACGGGCATTTGGGTTGCTTCCGCTTTTTCGCTATCATGAACTATGTTGCTATATGCATTTGTGTAGAAGTTTCTTTGTGGACATATGTTTTCATTTCTCTTGGGTATATACCTAGCAGTGGATTTGCTTGTCACATGGTAATTCTATGCTTAACTTTTTGAGGAACCACCAAACTGTTTTTCCACAGTGGCTATGCCATTTTTAGAACATATCTATTTATTTTTATTGACCCATAATAATTGTACATATTTTGGGGTACATGTGATATTTTGATACTTGCACACATGTAATGATCAAATCAGGATGTTTAGACTATCTATCACCTCAAACATTTATTATCCCTTTGTGTTGGGAACATTTCAAGTTGTCTCTTTTAGCTATTTTGAAATATACAGTAAATTATTGTTAACTATGGTCTCCCTACTGTGTTGTCAAGTGTTAGAACTTTTTCCTTCTACCTAACTGTATGTTTGTGTCCAATAGTCAAACCTCTCTTCATCTCCCCCACCTCCACACACACTCTTCCCTGCCTCTGGTAACTATGATTCTATTTTCTGCCTCCATAAGATCAACTTTTTTTTGTTTTTAGCTCCTACAGATGGGTGAGAACTATTTGTCTTTCTGTGCCGGGCTTATCTCACTTAATATCATGACCTCCAAATGATATTAAGTGCTGCAAATGATATTAAGTTGCTGCAAATGATAGGATTTTGTTCCTTTTTTTGGCTGAATAGTATTCCATTGTGTATATATACCACATTTTCTTTATCCATCCATCCGTTGATGGATACTTAGTTTGTTTGATTCCATATCTTGCTGCAATAAACATGAGGGTGCAGGTGTCCCTATGATACATATTGATTTACTATCTTTGGATAAATATCCAGTAGTGAGATTGCTGGATCATGTGGTAGGTTCTCATTGCTCCACATCCTCATGAACACTTGACATTTTCCTTTTCTTTTTTTTTTTAAGTCATTCTCATGGGTGTGAAAGGCTATTCTGCTGTGGTTTTGATACACATTTTCTTAATGACCAATGATGTTAAACATCTTTTCATGTGCTTGTTGTCCATTTGTATATCTTCTTTGGAGAAATGTTTATTCAAGTTCTTTGTCCATTTTCCAATTGGGTTGTGTTTTTGTTGTATAACTTCTGAGGATTAAGTCATTATCAGATATCTGATTTGTCAGTATTTTCTCCCATGCTATGGGTTATCTTTTCGTATTCTTCATAATGTCCTTGGAGGTCCAAAAGTTTTTAAGTTTTAGGAAGTGAATTCTTCTTTTTTTTTCTTTTGTTTGTGTTTTTGGTGTCAAATCTAAGAATCCATTGCCAAATACAAAATCATGAGCATTTATCCTTTTGTTTTCTTCTAATATGTTTACAGTTTTAGGTCTTACATTTGGACTTTTGATCCATTTTTGAGGGACTTTTTGTATCTGGTGTGAAGTAGGGTTCCAACTTCATTCTTTTTCATGTAAATATCCAGTTTATCCAGCACTATTTGTTTAAGAGACTATTCTTTCCCTTTGAATGGTCTTGGCACCCTTGTCAAAAATCATCTGACCATAAATGTTTGGGTTTATTTCTGGACTCTCTATTCTATTCCACTGGTCTATATATGACTATATTTATGCAAGTTGACACTGTTTTAATTATTGTAGATTTGTATTCAGTTTTGAAATTAGGAAATATGAGTCCTTCAACTTTGTTCTTCTATTTCAAAATTGTTTGGGCTATTCAGGGCCCCTTGAAGTTTTGTATACATTTGAGGATTGGCTTTTCTATTTCTGAAAAAAAAATTGGAATTTTTGTAGGGATTATATTTAATCTAAAGATTGCTTTGAAGAGTATTACCATTTTAACAATATTGTTTTCCAATCAATGAACATAGAATGTCTTTCCATTTATTTAGTGGATCTTTAATTCCTTCAGCAATGTTATATAGTTTTCAGTATACCTGCCTTTCACATCCTCTGTTATTTTGTTCTTTTGGGTGCTATTATAAATGGGATTGTTTTCTTAACTTCATTTTCAGATTGTTCATTGCTGGTACATAAAAACACAGCTGAATTTTGTATTTTGACTTTGTACCTTGCAACTTTGCTGAATTTATTGGTACTAGTGGCTTTGTGGGGAATCTATGGGGTTTTCTATATATAGAAACATATCATCTGCAAGTAGAAATAATTTTACTTCTTTCTTTCTAATTTGGATGCCTTTTATTTCTTTTTCTTACCTAATTGATCTAGCTAGTACTTCCAGAACAACATTGAATAGCAGTGGTGAAAGGGGACGTTCTTGTCTTGTTCCTGATCCCAGTGAGAAAGAAAGGAAGTTCCCTATATTCCTAGTTTCCTGATTGTTTTTATCATGAAAAGTGTGTGTTAAATTTTGTCAAGTGCTTTTTTCTGTATCTATTGAAATGATCATGGATTTTTCCCTTTGCTCTACTAATGTGATGTATTAAATCATGTGATTTTCTTGGGTTGAACCACTCCTGCATTTCTGGCATAAATCCTACTTAGTCATGGTGTATAATCCTTTTAATGTCCTTTTGGATTTGATTTGCTAGTGTTTTATTAAGAATATTTATGTCCATATTTATAAAGAAAATGGTCTGTAGTTTTCTTTGACATGTTTGTCTGGCCTTGGTATCAGGGTAATTCTCTTCTTGCTGACTGTTAAGAAGTATTCCCTCATCCATTTTTTGGAAGAGTTTGAGCAGTATTGTTGTTAATTATTTGTTTGGTAGAATTCACCAGTGAAGGCATCTGCTTCTTAATTTCCCTTTGTTGGGGGATTTTTTATTTCTTATGCAAAGTATTTAATTGTTATATAGGCTGTTGAGTTTATCTATTTCTTCTTGAGTCATTTTGGTAATCTGTTTCTAGGAATTTGTGCATTTCATCTAGATTATCTATTTTTGGCATAGAACTATTCATAGTATTCTCTATAATTATTTTTATTTTTGTAAGCTGAATTAGTAATGTGCCTGCTTTCACTTCTGATAGTAGTAATTATGTGTTTTTTCCTTTTAGTCAATCTAGCTGAAGATTTGTCAACTTTGTTGATATTCTCAAGGAACAAACTTTTCATTTTGTTGATTCTCTCAATTGTTTTTCTATTCTGTAATTTGTTTATAAGTGCTCTCCTCTTTATTATTTCCTTCCTCTGCTGGCTTTGGGTTTAGTTTTCCCTCCTTTTTCTAGGTCCTTAAGGTGTAAATTTAGGTTGTTGATTTGAGAGCTATCTTTTAATGAGGAATTTACAGTCATAAAACTTCTTCTGAGCACTGGCTTTGCTGCACCCATAAATTTGGGTGTGTTGTGTTTTCATTTTCATTTATCTCATATTGCTTTCTAATTTCTCTAGTAATTTCTTCTTTGCCCTATTGGTTGTTTGAATGTGGTATTTAATTTCTATGCATTTTCCATTTTTCCAGTTTTCCCTTCATTGTTGCTCTAGCTTTATTCCATTGTGGGTGGGAAATATACTTTGTGTGATTTTTGACCATTTAAATATCTTGAGAATTGCTATGGTTAACATATGGTCTATCCCAGAAAATGTTACATGTGCACTTAATGTATATTCTGATGTTGCTGGATGGGGTGTTTTGGATATGTTTGTTAAGTCTAGTTCATTTATAGTGTTTTCTAGTCCTCTATTTTCTTATAAATTTTCTGTCTAGATGTTTTATCCATTATCTAAAGTGAGGCGTTGAAGTCTCCAACTATTTTTACACAGTTGGCCCCTCCATGTATTTGGGATCTGCATCCATGATTCAGCCAACCATGCATAAAAAATATTAAAAAAAAGAAAAATAATGGTACAACAATAAAAATGCAAGTAAAAATAAGTATAGCATAACAACTATGCAGCATTTACATTGTATTTGGCATTATAAATAATCTAGAAATGATTTAAAGTGTACAGAAAGATGTGTGTAGGTTATATGCAAATATGACACTATTTTATTTAAGAGGCTTGAGCGTCTGTGGATTTTGGCTTCCATAGGGGGTGCTAGAACCAATCCCCCATGGATACCAAGGCATAACTATACATAACTGTCTATGCCTCCCTATGATTCTGTCAATATATGCTTCACACATTTTAGGAATCAGTATGCATGTATGTTTCTAATTTTTATATCTGCTTGATGATTTGAGACTTTTAGCAATATAAGATGTTACCTTTTGTCTCTTGTAACAATTTATAACAAATCTATTTTGCTGGTAATATTATAGCCACTCCAACTCTCTTTGGTTACTATTTCCATGGAATATCTTTTTTCATCCTTTCGCTTTTAACCTATTTGTGTCTTTAGGTCTAAAGTGAATCTCTTTTTAAGCACCATATATTTGGATCATTATTTACCTCATTCTGCCAGTCTTTCTGTTTTAATTGGTGAGTTTAATCTCTGACATTTAAAGTGATTACCAATAATGAAGAATTTACTTCTGCCATTGTGCTATTTGTTTTGCATGTCAAAAGTTTTGTTCCTCAATTTGTCCAATATTTGTTTCTTTTATTTTTGATTTGTTCTAATGGGTCGTTGTGATCGCTCTTTATTTCCTTTTCTGTATACTTTTTAGTTATTTTCTTAGTGGTTACCATGGGAATTATAGTTAACCTCCTAAATTTATAACAATCTTGTTTGAATTGATATGAAGTTAGTTTTAGTAGCCAACATTAACTGTTCCTATTCAGCTTCAACCTCTTTCATATAGTTATTGTCACAAATTATATCATTTACATTGTGTGCCCATTAACACTGATTTGTAATTATTATTTTACGCATTTGCCTCTTAAAGAGTAAAGAAAACAACAAAAGGAATTACATACCAAACATACAAGAATACTAGTGTTTGTATTTACCTGTGTAGTTATCTTTACTAGTACTATTTATTTCTTCATATGGCTTAGAATTATCTTCCAGTATCCTTTCACTTGAACATGAAGAGCTCTTTATAGCATTCCTTTTAGGACAGGTCTACTAGTAACAAACTCTCTTACCTTTTATTTATCTGGAAATGTCTTAATCTTGTCTTCATTTTTGAAGAGTAGTGTTACTAGATAGAGAATTCTTGACTGACATATTTTTTTTCAGGACATTAAATATATCAACATGTTGCCTTCTGGCTTCCATAGTTGATGATGTGAAATCAACTGTTCATCTTATGGAAGAGTCCTTATTTATGACAAGTCACTTTTGTCTTGTTCCTTTCAAGATTCTCTCTTTGCCCTTCAATAGTTTAATTATAATGTGTGTTGGTGTGACTCTTCTTTGTGTTTATCCTGCTGGAAGTTTTCTGAGCTTCATGAATCCTTCTCCACATCCTTGGCAACACTTCTTATTTTCTATTTTGTTTTGTTTTTGTAGTGACCATCCTAATGGATATGAAGGATATCTCATAGTGGTTTTGATTTGCATTTCTCTAATTATTTTTTTACATGATTCCTGGACATTTGTATATCTTCTTTGGAGAAATGTCTAGTCAAGCCCTTTATCCATTTTGAAACTGGGTTATGTTGTTGTTATTGTTGAGTTGTAGGAGTTGTTTATATATTCTGGACATTAACCCATTCTCAGGTTTATGATTTGCATACACTTTCTCCCATTTTTTAGGTTGCTGTTTCACTCTGTTGATGTGCAGCTATTTTCTTTGATGCACAAAAGTTTTTAAGTATAATATAGTCCCATTTGTCTATTTTTGCTTTTGCTGCCTACACTTTTGGTGTCATATCCAAAAAAGCTTGCCAAATTCAGTATAATGAAGCTTTATCCCTGTTTTCTTCTAGGAGTTGTATAGGCTTGGATATTTAATCTGTTTGAGTTAGTTTTTATATATGTTTTAAACCAAGAGTCCAACTTCATTCTTTTGCATATGGATAACCAGTTTCCCCAGAATCACTTCTTGGAGAGACTGTCGTTTTTCCTTTGTGTAGTCTTGGCACCCTTGTCAAAAATCACTTGACAAGATCACATGAGAGCTTATTTATGGACTCTTTATTCTGTTCCAGTATTCAATATGTCTGTCTTTAGGCCAGTACCACTGCTTTGATTACACTACAGTGTTTTGATTATTGTAGCTTTGTAATGTGTTTTGATATCTGGAAGTATGAGGCCTCCAACTCTGTTCTTCTTTCTCAAGATTGTTTTGGCTATTCAGGATCTGTTGAAATTCCATATAAATTTTAGGATCTTTTTGTACTTATACAAAAAATACCATTGGGATTTTGATAGGGATTGCATAGAATTGTACATCACTTTAGGTAGTATGGACATTTTAACAATTAAGTCTTTCAATCCATGAACACAAAATGTCTTTTTTATTTATTTGTGTCTTCTTTAATTTCTTTCAGCAATGTTTTGTAGTTTTCAGTGTACAAGTCTCTCACTTCCTTAAAATTATTCCTAATTTGTTCTTTTTGGTGCTATTGTAGATGGGATTATTCTCTTAATTCCTTACCTGATTGTTCATTGTTAGTGTATAGAAATGCAACTTATTTTGTGTATTGATTTTATATCCTTTAAGTTTGCTGAATTTATTAGTTCTAACAGTATTTGTGGAATCTTTAGGGTTTTCTACATGGAAAATCATGTCCTCTACAAACAGATAATTTTACTTCTTTTCTAATTTGGATATTGCTCCTTTCTTTTTCTTGCCTAATTTCTCTAAGACTTCCAGTACTATGTTGAATAAAGGGAGAAGAGTGGACATTGTTGCCTTATTCCTAATCTTAGAGGGAAAGCTTCCAATCTTTCATTATTAAGTACAATAGTAGCTGTAGGCTTCCTTATGTTGATATAGTTTCTTAGTATTCCTAGTTTGCTGAGTGTTTTTATCATGAAAGGATGTTGACTTTTGTCAAATGATTTTTCTGCATCACTTGAGATAATCATGTGGGTTTTGTCCTTCATTTTGTTAATGTGGTATATTACATTAATTTTCATATGTTGAACCATCCTTGCATTCCAGGAATGAAGCCCATTTTTTTCATGGTGATTATCTTTTTAACATGCTGTTTAATTCAGTTTGCTACTGTTTTGTTGAGGATTTTTGCATCACTGTTCACCAGGGACATTGGTCTGTAGTTTCTTTTTCCTTGTAGTATCTCTGTCTGGTTATGATATCAGCGTAATTTCTGTCTCATAAAATGAGTTAGGAGCATTTCTCCCTTTTCAATCTTTTGAAAGAGGTTTGAAGAGAATTGTTATTAATTATTTCATTGTTTGGCAGAATTCTCCAGTTAAGCCATGTGGTACTGGGCTTTTATTTGTTAGGAGGTTTTTGATTATTGATTTGATCTCCTTACTAGTTATAGATCTATTCAGTTTTTTAATTTATTCATGATTCAGTCTTAGTAGGCGGTATGTTTCTAGGAATTTATCCATTTCTTCTTGGTTATGCAATTTGTCGGTGTAATATTGCTCTTAGTAGTCTCATAATCCTTTTAATTTCTGTGTCATCAGTTGTAATGTTTCCCCTTTTGTTTCTGATTTTAGTTATTTGAGTCTTCTCTCTTTTTTCTTGGCTAGTCTAGCTAAGAATTTGTCAATTTTGTAGGTCTTTTCAAAAAAAAACAAATCTTGCTTTCATTGATTTTTTTTCTATTGTTTTTCTATACTCTATTTCTAATCTTTATTATTTTCTTCCCTCTGCTAACTTGGGCTTTCATTTGTTCTTTTCCTAGTTCCTTGAAAAGTAAAGTTAAATTGTTAATTTGGGACCTTCCTCCTTTTAAAATGTGTTTACCACTATAAACTTCCTTCTCAGTACTGCTTTCACTGCATCTCATACATTTCGATATGTTGTATTTTTCCTTCATTTATCTCAAGATATCTTCTAATTTCCCTTGTGATTTATTCTTTGACACATTGGTTGTTTAAGAATATGTGACTTAATTTTTATATTTTTGTGGATTTTCCAGTTTTCCTTTTGTTATTATTTCTAGGTTCATTTCATTTTGTTCAGAAAAAATACTTTGCTTTCAACTTTCTTTTTTTAAATATTTGTTTTGTGGCCTAACATTCAGTCTATTCTGGAGAATATTCCATGTGTACTTGAGAAGAATGTGTATTCTGCTGTTGTTTGGTGGAGGGTTCTCCACATGTTGGTTAGGCCCAGTTGATTGGTGGTGTTCAAGTCCTTTGTTTCATTATTGATATTCTGTGTAGTTGTTCTGTCCATTATTGAAAGCAGAGCATGAAGTCTCCTGCTAATACTGGGTTGCTGTCTATTTCTTCAGTTCTGTCAAAGCTTGTTTTATGTATCTGAGAGCTCTGATGCTAGGTGCACATATAATTGTTATATCCTCTTAGTGGATTTGGGTAGTATGGACATTTTAACAATTAAGTCTTTCAATCCATGAACACAAAATGTCTTTTTTATTAAGTCATAAGTTGATATAACAACTTATGACTTAAAATCTATTTTTTTATTTTTTATTTTTATTATTATACTTTAAGTTTTAGGGTACACGTGCACATTGTACAGGTTAGTTACATATGTATACATGTGCCATGCTGGTGCGCTGCACCCACTAACTCATCATCTAGCATTAGGTGTATCTCCCAATGCTATCCCTCCCGCCTCCCCCCACCCCACAACAGTCCCCAGAGTGCGATGTTCCCCTTCCTGTGTCCATGTGTTCTCATTGTTCAATTCCCACCTGTGAGTGAGAATATGCGGTGTTTGGTTTTTTGTTCTTGCGATAGTTTACTGAGAATGATGATTTCCAATTTCATCCATGTCCCTACAAAGGACATGAACTCATCCTTTTTTATGGCTGCATAGTATTCCATGGTGTATATGTGCCACATTTTCTTAATCCAGTCTATCATTGATGGACATTTGGGTTGGTTCCAAGTCTTTGCTATTGTGAATAATGCCTCAATAAACATACGTGTGCGTGTGTCTTTATAGCAGCATGATTTATAGACCTTTGGGTATATACCCAGTAATGGGATGGCTGGGTCAAATGGTATTTCCAGTTCTAGATCCCTGAGGAATCGCCACACTGACTTCCACAATGGTTGAACTAGTTTACAGTCCCACCAACAGTGTAAAAGTGTTCCTATTTCTCCACATCCTCTCCAGCACCTGTTGTTTCCTGACTTTTTAATGATTGCCGTTCTAACTGGTGTGAGATGGTATCTCATTGTGGTTTTGATTTGCATTTCTCTGATGGCCAGTGATGATGAGCATTTTTTCATGTGTTTTTTGGCTGCATAAATGTCTTCTTTTGAGAAGTGTCTGTTCATGTCCTTCGCCCACTTTTTGATGGGGTTGTTTGTTTTTTTCTTGTAAATTTGTTTGAGTTCATTGTAGATTCTGGATATTAGCCCTTTGTCAGATGAGTAGGTTGCGAAAATTTTCTCCCATTTTGTAGGTTGCCTGTTCACTCTGATGGTAGTTTCTTTTGCTGTGCAGAAGCTCTTTAGTTTAATTAGATCCCATTTGTCAATTTTTTCTTTTGTTGCCATTGCTTTTGGTGTTTTAGACATGAAGTCCTTGCCCATGCCTATGTCCTGAATGGTAATGCCTAGGTTTTCTTCTAGGGTTTTTATGGTTTTAGGTCTAACGTTTAAGTCTTTAATCCATCTTGAATTAATTTTTGTATAAGGTGTAAGGAAGGGATCCAGTTTCAGCTTTCTACATATGGCTTAGCCAGTTTTCCCAGCACCATTTATTAAATAGGGAATCCTTTCCCCATTGCTTGTTTTTCTCAGGTTTGTCAAAGATCAGATAGTTGTAGATATGTGGCGTTATTTCTGAGGGCTCTGTTCTGTTCCATTGATCTATATCTCTGTTTTGGTACGAGTACCATGCTGTTTTGGTTACTGTAGCCTTGCAGTATAGTTTGAAGTCAGGTAGTGTGATGCCTCCAGCTTTGTTCTTTTGGCTTAGGATTGACTTGGCGATGCGGGCTCTTTTTTGGTTCCATATGAACTTTAAAGTAGTTTTTTCCAATTCTGTGAAGAAAGGCATTGGTAGCTTGATGGGGATGGCATTGAATCTGTAAATTACCTTGGGCAGTATGGCCATTTTCACGATATTGATTCTTCCTACCCATGAGCATGGAATGTTCTTCCATTTGTTTGTATCCTCTTTTATTTCCTTGAGCAGTGGTTTGTAGTTCTCCTTGAAGAGGTCCTTCACATCCCTTGTAAGTTGGATTCCTAGGTATTTTATTCTCTTTGAAGCAATTGTGAATGGGAGTTCACTCATGATTTGGCTCTCTGTTTGTCTGTTATTGGTGTATAAGAATGCTTGTGGTTTTTGTACATTGATTTTGTATCCTGAGACTTTGCTGAAGTTGCTTATCAGCTTAAGGAGATTTTGGGCTGAGACAATGGGGTTTTCTAGATATACAATCATGTCGTCTGCAAACAGGGACAATTTGACTTCCTCTTTTCCTAATTGAATACCCTTTATTTTTTTCTCCTACCTGATTGCCCTGGCCAGAACTTCCAACACTATGTTGAATAGGAGTGGTGAGAGAGGGCATCCCTGTCTTGTGCCAGTTTTCAAAGGGAATGCTTCCAGTTTTTGCCCATTCAGTATGATATTGGCTGTGGGTTTGTCATAGATAGCTCTTATTATTTTGAGATACGTCCCATCAATACCTAATTTATTGAGAGTTTTTAGCATGAAGGGTTGTTGAATTTTGTCAAAGGCTTTTTCTGCATCTATTGAGATAATCATGTGGTTTTTTGTCTTTGGCTCTGTTTATATGCTGGATTACATTTATTGATTTGCATATATTGAACCAGCCTTGCATCTCACTCAAAACCGCTCAACTACATGGAAACTGAACAACCTGCTCCCGAATGACTACTGGGTACATAACAAAATGAAGGCAGAAATAAAGATGTTCTTTGAAACCAACGAGAACAAAGACACAACATACCAGAATCTCTGGGACGCATTCATAGCAGTGTGTAGAGGGAAATTTATAGCACTAAATGCCCACAAGAGAGAGCAGGAAAGATCCAAAATTGACACCCTAACATCACAATTAAAAGAACTAGAAAAGCAAGAGCAAACACATTCAAAAGCTAGCAGAAGGCAAGAAATAACTAAAATCAGAGCAGAACTGAAGGAAATAGAGACACAAAAAACCCTTCAAAAAATTAATGGATCCAGGAGCTGGTTTTTTGAAAGGATCAATAAAATTGATAGACTACTAGCAAGACTAATAAAGAAAAAAAGAGAGAAGAATCAAATAGATGCAATAAAAAATGGTAAGGGGGATATCACCACCAATCCCACAGAAATACAAACTACCATCAGAGAATACTACAAACACCTCTACGCAAATAAACTAGAAAATCTAGAAGAAATGGATAAATTCCTAGACACATACACTCTCCCAAGACTAAACCAGGAAGAAATTGAATCTCTGAGTAGACCAATAACAGGATCTGAAATTGTGGCAATAATCAATAGCTTACCAACCAAAAAGAGTCCAGGACCAGATGGATTCACAGCCGAATTCTACCAGAGGTACAAGGAGGAACTGGTACCATTCCTTCTGAAACTATTCCAATCAATAGAAAAAGAGGGAATCCTCCCTAACTCATTTTATGAGGCCAGCATCATTCTGATACCAAAGCCAGGCAGAGACACAACAAAAAAAGAGAATTTTAGACCAATATCCTTGATGAACATTGATGCAAAAATCCTCAATAAAATACTGGCAAAATGAATCCAGCAGCACATCAAAAAGCTTATCCACCATGATCAAGTGGGCTTCAACCCTGGGATGCAAGGCTGGTTCAATATATGCAAATCAATAAAATCTATTCTTTAAGTTCACTGATTCTTTCTTCTGCTTAATCACATCTGCTGTTGAACCCCTCTAGTGAATTTTTCAATTCACTTATTGTATTCTTCAGCTCTAGAATTTCTATTTGGTTCTTTTTTATAGTTTCTGTCTCTTTGTTGATATTCTCATTTTGTTCATGCATCACTTTTCTGAGTTGTATTTGTTGTCTCTGTTTTCTTTTAGCTCATTGAGCATCATTAACATTGTTGTTTTGAATTATTTTTCAGGTAATTAATATATCTCCATTCCTTTTTTTTTTTTTGCTTTGTAATTAGTATATTAAGGAGACTATATATTTCAAGAATTGCTTAAATTCTGATACCCAGATTTAAGCATGTGAACATATGAGACTCTTAAACATACAATTAAAGCTATTCATCATAATTTGCTATACTACCAACATTACTTTGGAGCGTAAGTCAAATGGTTTAAAGTAATCCTGTAACATACCTAAAGAACACCTTCCTATATTATGCATGCAAATTCTCCACGTAAAGGTCTTTTCACTTTAATTTCTATGTTACCCAGCTCTGAAGTCACTACTCAGGCTTATCATGGTCCACAGACAAGAAGGGGGGCAAATGACCAGGACTGGTCAAGAATATATCTCCATTTCTTTGGGACCAATTTCTAAAGATTTATTTTGCTCATTTGATTGGGCCATTTCCTCATATCTTTGTGTGCTTTTCCCTACATTTTTTATGCCTTATGATATTTAGTTGATAATATGACATTTGAAAAAACAGCTATCTCATCCGATTTTCACAAACTGGCCTCTTACAGGTGAAGGGCTTCACCAATTATCCCAGCTAGAGATTTGGGGGACTCTCTGAAACCTTTTCTGGGGATGTGTCTTCTCTGGGCTTGTGTGTGTAATTTCCCAGTGAAAAAGATTTGCCCGTTTCTTTCAGGAGCCTGTAATATCTTGTTCCCCCTGGTGTCTCTCTGAAGTACTGCAGTATCTCCAATGCTGTAACAAGCTGTGACACTCATTTCTGTTCTCAGAGGTCCCAACCTGACCTGCAAAATATGCCACTGTTCTCATCAGCATTCTGAATCAGGCAAGACGGAAACCTATTTCTTCAGAAGTCCCCCAAAACACAAGAATTTTGAATGTGCATTCCACTCTCTTCTCCAAAGGAGGAGCCAGGATTGGGGAGCTTTCTTCCAATTGCATCACATTGTTTTGGGGAGGAGGGGAGGTTAGGGCAGGCAAAATGCAACAAGCTTTCTTACTCTCCTTCATGCAGCTTTTCTTGGGTTTGTACTTGTCTGAGGTGCCACAACCTCTTCATTTGTTTCTGGAATTCTCGCAAAGGCGATTTGGTTCATATATTGTTAAGTCAGTGTCTCTGTAGGGGAATGAGGGCCTGGGTTTTTATTCCACCATCTTGCTGACATCATTCCAATAAGAATGTTTTGCTGTCTTCTGGGTACGAGTTTGTTTGTGGATGGAGTCCTGTGATTGTGCTGAGTTTAGACTGTTCTCTTCCAAAATCCAACATCTAAATAAATAAGTGATGCTTTCAGCAATAAGAGTGATAATCATGAATTGTTTTCTTTCTCCCTACCCATTCCATTCTAGCAGTGTCTGACTCAGAAGCAGCTCAGACTGGAAACAGAATCCAGGACCTGGGCCATCACACCACACTAGCTTCCCCTGGAGTCCCACCGCCTGCTTATCAGCCATAGAAAGTTTGGCTTCTGTTCTTTATGTATCAAAACAGCAAAGCCAAATAGTTTAGACTTATTTAGGCTTGCAAAGAGGAAAGAAGATAAAAATAGCTAAAATGAGCTAGTATAAGAATTACTGCACTGAGGCAAATATTTGGGTTTGTTTTGCTTTGCTTTGTTTTTCAGAGTCACTGCTAGGCATACTTGTGTGAAATCTCTTTGAAGCCCATGTTTGGTTCTGCCAGATGTCAGGCTCCAAATACGGAGAAAAAAAAATGCTGAAAATTTTATGTGTATCATACTTCTTTAAAATCAGATAACCTAATGAGGTAATAGGGAAAAGTGCCTACCATAATTCACAGAGATGGTTATTTCTAACCTTTGCAAGCTACCAAAGTCCTGATAGAGCAGAGGGCATGGCTATGATGCTGTCATCTGACACCTGACACTAGCTTCAACAGATGTTTCTCAGGGGAGAATTTCTTAGGAAACCATCTTACCATATTTTTTTATTATAGTCATTTTCTTTGCTTTTTGTTTCTTCCTCTGTTTGTTTGTTTGTTTCTTTGTTTTTTAGGTTAGATGCAAACAAACCAATACAGTACTTGGAAAACAAAACAGTTTTAAACCAGGCTTTAGAACGGTTGAATTGGCCCATTTCACTGAAAGAGCTGTCGATGCTGGAAAGTGAAATCCTAGCTGGGAAAATGTACATCCAGCAGGCCATGGAACTCCAGGAGGCTGCCAAGAAGAATTATGCAAACAAGGCCCCGGGAGAGGTGGGTGCCCTGGAGGTCTCTGTCTTTCCTCCCTCTCTGCCTATCCCAAGTCATTGCCATTCCTACATTGGCTTCCTTCTCTGTCTCCCACTCCCCGCCACACTGATTTCTAAAAGTGTTAGAGCCAATCCAGTTAAGGTCTCAGTACTTTTTTTCATCATAAAGGAAATGCCATTCGATTGTACTATGGACTTATTTTTAAAACAATACGTCTTTTAATTGAAAAAAAAAAGCTAAATAGAAGTATAATGTAGTGATTAAAAGCCTGGACTTTCACAGGAGCCAGACCAAGAACTAGCCGCAGATCTACCATCTAACCTGTGTGTGATTTTGGTTACTCAGTCTCTTTAAACCTCAGTTTTCTTACTTGTAAAATAAGAGTATTAATAGTATCCATCTCATAGGGTTGTTATAAAGAGAAATGAACATGTGAAGTGCTTAGTATTGAAAGCTCCCCATAAGTGTTAGCAATTTTTTTTAATAATCATTAATAAGGCAAACCTTCTAGAAAGAAAAATAATTTATAATCCGGTTGCCTTATTGCTACCACTTGGGAGCCTTTCCTTTTAGTTTTTTTTCTCCTCAAATGTTTTCTACATAGGTGCAATCAGAGTGTCCATAATTATTGTATATTCTGCTTTTAAATTTAGCATTATTTCATAGACTTTCTCTGTGTTTTTATTGAATTGTCAGATTCATATGGGTGATGGTTACATAATATTCCATGGTGTGAGTATACCCTGGTTTATTTGATTCTTCACTAAATGTTAAACATTTATAGTTATTTTCCAGTTTTCTGCTTTCTCACATAATATTTGCATGACTACTGTGGTGCACAGTTGAATTATTTTGTTAAGATACAGCCTTAGAAGTAGTATTTCTGGATCAAAGAGTATAAACATTTGGAGTCTATAAATACACATGGCCAGTGTGAAACCTACTCTCTGACTATACATGGGTGTGTGTGGACGGTGCTTTGTTTGAATGTGTCCCCCAGAGTTCATGTGTTGGAAACTTGATCTCCCTTGCAGCAGTGTTGGAGGTGGGACATTTAAGAGGTGTGTGTGGGAAAAACAGTTCTCTCAACCGGTGCTCTCGCACCACAACAGCAATCATCAACAGGGAAGAAGGCTTCTGTGACCAAAGGTGTGGGGGATTTCCCCACACATACCAAGCGGCAGACACCGGTTGGTTCTCCTCCAATTCAACTCTGACACTACCTACCTAGAGATGACATCAGATCCCACAGGTTGAGGGCTCAGTCCCCAAGACTGGCCCTCCCAACACATCAGTCACAAGTCTGGGCCTCCAGAACTTCTGACTGACCCGCTTCAAGTTGGGGTTCCCACAACTCCCTCTTTGAGTTTGATTAATTTGCGTGAGTGGCACACAGAACTCTGGGAAACACCAACGTTTAGCAGTTTATTATAAAGGATATTACAAAGGATACAGATGAAGAGATGCATCATGTGAGCGATGCAGGAAGGGTGCAGAGCCTCCTTTCCCTGAGTGCTCTCCCTGGGTGGGCCACCCTCCAGGAGCCTCCATGTGTTCAGCTGTCAGTAAGCTCTCCAAACCCTGTCCTTTTGGGTTCTTATGGAGGCCTCATTACTTAGGGATGATCGATTAAAGCATCGGCTCTAGTGATCAACTTACCTTCAGCCCCTCTCCCCTCCTGGAGGTTGGGGGTTGGCGCTGAAAGTCTTAACTCTCTAATCCTGCCTTGGTCTTTCCGGTGACCAGCCCCACCCTGAACCTACCCAACAAAGACACACAAAGAACAGTACTTCAGAGACCCCAAGGATGTTAGGAGTTATGAGCCAGGAATCATGGAAGAAAAGAAATGTATATCTATATGCCATATAAATATATATATGCCATGTAAATATATATATGCCATAATACCACAAGCTGGCTAGACCATGAGGGCTCTGGTCATAAATGGACCAATGCCATTATCACAGGAGTGGATTCCTTATTAAAGGAATTCCTTTTTAAAGAGCTTGGATCTCTGTTGTACACTCTTTCTATCCCATGTGATGCCTTTTGCCAGGTTATGGGCAGCAAGATGGCCCTCACCAGGTGCTGGCCCCTTAATCTTGGACCTCCCAGCTTCTAGAACAGTGAGCCAGTAAGTTTCTGTCTATTATAAATTACCCAGTTGGTGGTATTCTCACAGCAGCACAAAACGAACTAAGAGAGATCTGGAATAGTTCATCCAAAATCTTACTAAATCCTAGATAATTTTCAGATGTTCACCACATTATAGTCTAAAAATCATTCCCAAAGATCTGACCTTTCAGGTTCATCATCTTTGGTTCAGTCTTTGCCAAGTGATACTGGTTTAGCCTGGCTTAAAATTCTCTTTTTGATGCTCTAGATTCTTGTGTTTTGTTTCATTTTGTTTTGTTTGTTCTCTTTCATTTTATTCTTTCTTCTGCAAATCACATTTTTTCTTCAGTGTCAAAAGCTATGTCTTTTGTGCAGAATGTAAAATTTTTATCACAGAAGGTCATATGTCTAGTAATGTTATTCAAACAAAATGACTTCCTCAAAGAATTATTCAGTGTTTCTTTGGGAAGTACCATCTGACACCCCCAGACATTTCTCTGTCGATTTACCTTCCTCGCCTGCATGCCCTGTGGGCACCTAAGACTCAAGAGGACCAAGAGTGAATTACCTGCCTCTCCTTGAAAAGATGATCTTCTTCTCATTGTGCTTTTCCCTGTCTGCTTGCTCTTTCACTTATTCATTGAAACATTTATGAGTGCCCATGAGATGCCAAGCACTATTCGAAGCACTGGGAGTACCTAGAACACAACAGACTTAGTCCTTAGACTATCCTAATTTGAACGAGGATGACAGACCATGGCCAGTCCCAGGTGTTGAGCTGTGGAGACCCTGCTGCATAACAGCAGAATTTGCTGGCATATTCTTTTATCTATACTTTATATTAAATTTGCAAATAGGAAGTGTTGCGAATGGAGTGAAAAGAAGCCTCTTGTGATTCAGAGCAGAGATAATTGTGTTCCACTGAGTTCATCTGGAATTCTGGCAATCAAGCTCATTGTTTACAACATACGAATTAATTGAATTAATTGTTCTATTTCTTTCTTTTCTTACCACAAAATGGGAATAAAAATAATTCCCGTAATTTCTTCATCCAAAAATCATGGATAGGATTCTGCACATGGGACAGGTGCCCTCAGGTGTTGAGTAGCCTCTCTCATTCTTTTCTGTCTCCCTGGGATCTCCCAGGGGGATACCTTATATTGGACACAAAATGGGGATTTGTTAGCTGTGTTGAATGCATGGGCCCAGCCTAATGGAGGAGACATTGCACCAGAGCATCACTGCTGTGAGAGCCAAGAACTGGTCTGGCCTTATTTGTAGCTGTGTCCATGGCACTGACAGTGAAGCCCAGTGCCCAGGGGCCACTTAACCATGTGTATTGAATGAGTGAAATGCAAACCCTTACAGCCTTTCACTGTATTATAAATACAACAGAGGCACCCCCAGAGAACAATGGAAGATGGGGAAAAGTGACCTGACTGGGCAGTTAGGGAAGGCTTCACTAATCCAGTTTAGCCCAGAAGGATGCCTAGGAATTGGGGACTGGGCTGTGAGAAGTGTTTGGAGTGAAAGAAACAGCCTGGGCTCAGGCAGGGATGTGGGGAAGAACGCGGAGTGTTCCCTGGGGAACGTGGCAGGAGAGACGTTGGGCATGGGAGGAGGTACCAGAAAACGAGGTATTTGAACTCTGTTGGGGTCAGGAACTTATGCCTGTAGGAAATGGACACCAGGGAGGGGTTTTCAGCAAGTCAAGGACATTCACGGATGTGTGTTTTAGAAAGATTATTCTGACAGTGAGCTGAGGCCCAACGTAAAAGACCAAAATCCGGTGCAGCGCTCCCCTTGAGAGGTGTTGAGTCCTTGAGCCAGGTAGGAACACTGGGGAGAGAACAGGTAACAGAGACATGGGTTATGGGAAAGTAGGCCATGTGGGGCAAAGTTGAAGGTGCTCACAAAACTTCTGCCTTGGACAACTGTAGGAGCAGAAGCACTGCTACCCCTTCCATCCTTCCTCTGCTCCTCAGGGAGACAGGTGCACCCTGGCCAGCCTATCCCATCACATGTCATCCTCTAACCGTCTGCCACGTGTTTGTTTATTTTGCAGCACACTTCACTACCTGACATTATGTACACTTTTGTTTACAGTCTGTCTTCCCCACTGAAATAAGGGTGGGACTTGGTTTGTGGTGCTGTAGGTGCTCCCAGAGCCTAGAATCGTGGTGGGCACCTTGTAGGCATGCATACATATTTCAATGAATAAATGAAAGAACAAACACAGAAGAGGCACAGTGAGAGGAAAAGCAGATTTTCAGGGAAAGGTAGTTCACTTTCAGCGCTCTTGATTCTTAGATACCCGTGGGGCACACAGGTGAGAGAGGCCAATAAACAGCCACATGTCTGGAGTTTAGGAGAGAGGCCAGAGTTAAGGAGATAGATTTGGAGGTAATTTCAGGTGCTGGGAGAGGAGGAGGAGAGAGTAGAAGGGACCAAGGCGGATGAGGCCCGGGGTAGAGAGCCAAGGACAAGAGGCAGAAACTCAGCTTAGAAGGCCTGAGTAGCGTCACACAGCTGGAAGATGGCAGTGCTGAGATTTGCATTCCAGTCCACCTGACTTCAAATAAAAAAATCAAAGCACTGGACTAAAAGATGGTTGTGAGACCACGTACTTCACATACCTGGGAGAGTGCACAGCACCAGGTGCTCAGCAGTAAATGCACACAACATATCAGTGATGGCTCTTTCCACTGCTAAAGTTATTATCAAGGAGGTTTGGAAAGACATGCAGAATGATGTCTGAAAGCCATTTGACTTGCCAAGAGAAGGTGCATTAGTGAGGTTGGCCAGAATAATGCCAGTGGAATGGTGGGGGCAAAGGCCAATTTGCAGTGGGTAGAAGGGTGGGTAGAAGTGGAGGAAGTTAGTATAAGAAGTGAAGACTTTTTCTTCCAGATCTTCACTGGGAAGGCAGGGAGAAAGAAGGTGGGAACATCAGGTGAGCCAGTGCAGGAGAAGGCATTTAGTTTGTGCAGTGGCATCACTGGGTCTGCTGCTGCCTCTTGGTCAGGGGCTAAGACTGTCCCCTCACTGCCTTGCCCTCAACAGGCTGTCGAAAGCCACCCTTGTCTGTTAGGGGAACGCCGATGTTCCAGCATAGATGTCCCTAGGTAACGGGGAGAGGTCACATCTGGTGACTTCTCCTCAGAGATCTTTCCACTCGTGGCATGGCTCTCTGCAGTGGAAGATTTTGAATGTTGTTTTCTTGCAATGATACTTCTCCTTTCCATGTGTGATAGATTCTGAGACTTCAAAATGCCATTACTGTCACACCCCGCAGATTCGATTTTGTGACCCACTAACAGGACTCAAACTTTGGTGTGTGAAGCTCCAGGTTTCAAGGCCTTCTGAGATCCTGGGGTGAAAAACGCATCAGAGATGCAAGTCATTTTTCCTGATTTATATGTAAATACAGTCTCATTTTAAATTCTTTTAGCAAAGGCCAAAGCTTTTGATGGATGAGTATAAATTGCCATGAAAGAGCCCCTCTGTTCATCATTAAGCACCCCCATGAGCTGACTGATAACAAGCAGCAAAATGGGGATGAGACCATTCAGAGTGGGCTGCCCATGTGTGTCCAGAGGGCTGTGGCCACTGCGTTTGGAGTGGGCTGCCCACGTGTGTCCAGAGGGCTGTGGCCATTGCGTTTGGAATGGGCTGCCCATGTGTGTCCAGAGGGCTGTGGCCACTGCGTTTGGAGTGGGCTGCCCATGTGTGTCCAGAGGGCTGTGGCCATTGCATTTGGAATGGGCTGCCCATGTGTGTCCAGAGGGCTGTGGCCACTGCATCTGGCCTGCTCCAGGGTGCGTTATGGAGTCTGGATGACCGGGGCTTTCTGATACCCTCATCTGGAACAGGGTTGCCCTCCCCCGCCCCATAGCTGCCTTGCCGATTCCTAAGTTTGGGGCAGCTTCATGATTTTTCTGTCAGTAAGAACCAGCGGTGGGAAGGAGACACGGCAGCAAATGCTGTGTCCAGGGAGCCTGTGCCTGCTTTTTATGCTCCAGCTTCCACGGGCAGTTCCTGGCTGGCCCAGATGAGACCTAAAGTGAGAGCCGTTATTCCCACCTGCTCTGCCTGGCATCCTGCACAGGGCACATTCCATGCTTGACTGTATGATGGTTTCCACCTATGTCCATAATCCACAGGCTTCGTGGTGTCCCTGGAGATGGCCACTTGGCTCACTGACTACATAATGACAGGAGAAATCTTAAGTCTGAAATTTTAAATTCCCTTTGAAAACTCCCCTCCCTAGCACCCCTCATGTTACTGTGATTGCAGATTTCACCCTCACTAGCCAATCCAGAGCCCTCAGAGCTGAACGATAGGGGAAGTTGCCGGAGGGCATCTGTGAATTATAATTAATCCTCCCTGGGAGCCTGGTCTAGGGCAGCCCAGCTGTGCTGTCCTCCAACATTTTCTGAATAAATAAAGATTGTTCTCCAGGGCAAATCCTTTGGCCCAGAAAGATCAAAAAGGCTCTCTCACCCATAACCTTGACTGCTTTGGAAAATCTGGAGGTAGAAAATATTTTTAAGCTGAAAGCAGCTCTAAAGGAGGCCGTGGAAAGTTACCCACACCACTGGCTGCACACGTTTCCTTCTCAAAGCCGTGACTGGCAAGGAAGCTGGAGCCTATGGCCTTCAGGGGTGGGGAATTGAGTGCTCTGCTCCGGGAGAAAGAGAGCGTTAGGAAAATGCACACAGGGAGGCAGGCATGGGCGAGGCTGGATGAGGTGGAATTAGGAGAAGGAAGAGAAGAGATCATTTGCTGTTGAGAACATTCTGTTGGGTTGTGACTTTGACACTATACATGCAGGAAGATGTTAGCTGGGGAGACAGAGGAAAGTGTCTTTCAGTTATCAGTTATGTAAAATAAACTCAGAATATATACGGCTGTTATCTGTGTCCCAGATAGTAAATGAACCAATTGTCATTCTTCAATTGTAACTTTTTTTTTTTTACAGTCCATTAACGGGAGGTGTGAGGCATTACACCCTAACTGACTAGTCGGCCTTTCCAATTCCACTAGTAAAAACTTTAGTCTGTTTTGCTGATATTCAGGTCTGTTGGGAAGACTAGCTCCCTAGTGGCTGTGAACTGTTCTCCAGTGGAACAAGATCTACTGATGTTGAGACAGGAAATTTTCCCTGACCCCTTCATGGGACTTGCAAAGAGGGTGGCTTGTTTACTCAGCCCGTGGCTCTCAGCCCCTCTCGGGAGAGGGAGCACGCAGGTGAGTGGGTGCAGGGGCCAAGATGAGTACTTCTGGGTGCCGGCAGGAGCAGAACTCTGTGTGGCCCCAAGGCAGCTTCTAGAGGAGTACCCACAACCCCTGGAGCCCCAGAGGGCGTGTGTTACCGTGCTCCTTTAGTGTTGCTGTCCACAGATGGCTAAGTGTTTAACTCCTTGGTGTGACAGCCCGCTGTATCCCTAGCTCTTGTTCAGCATGCAGGAAGAATCAGGTCACACGAACAAATTGAAGATGGTAAATACAGGGAATTTTATTGCTGATGAAAGTGACTCTCAGCAGGATGGAGAGCTAGAAAGGGGATGGAGTGGGAAGGTGGTCTTCCCCTGGGGTTCAGCCATCACTGGCCACACTCTTCTCTGAGGTCCCGCCATCAAGCCATCCCCCTGAAGTCAAGCTGCTTCTCAACGACGTCAGGCTGCTGCTTCTCTTTTCTCCATCTCTGCTACTCCACTGCCAGTGGAGCCTGGAGTTTTTATGGGTACAGGATGGGGGGGTGGTGTGGGCCAGAGTGGTTTTGAAAAAGGCAACATTCGAGAAGGAAAACAGGAATGTGGGTCCAGGCTTGAGAGTGGGGCCCTCACTGGGGACTGCTGCCTTCTACCCAGTATTTCCCTGCCTCCTGTCCATATCAGTGGGCAGGAAGTTAACAAGTCTGGGGTGTGCACTGGTGATGTTACCATCACACAGAAGTGATGTGTGCACATTCAGACCATGCCGTCCTCAGACAGCACTGCAGTGATGGTTTAGCATCTGGAAGTGGGACCCCTGATGGGCCTCCAGGGCATGTGGCCAGAGTGAAGCTGAAATCCCAGAGGCAGTGAGAGGATGACAAAGAGAAAATGAAGCCCTTCATTACTGTGCCACGTTTATCTAGGGGTTAGATGGGGCTTTAAGGAGAGAATCCTGCTCAGAAACACCAGTCACTGGAGGAAACTGAAAGAAGGGGGAAAATATCCCCAAACTCTATTTTCTAAGAAGTCTTCTGTCTCATGTCCTGATGTTCAGGAATGGGAAGGTGGGTGTCAACTCTGGGGATCCCTGAGGTGACAAAAACTTAGAACCAGGCTGTCTTTTCATTCTGAAGCTAAAGGCACCCTCCTCGCTGGAGATTCGGCTGGGCAGATGCCAGCACTCTCCTGCCTCTACATTTGTCTTTGTTCCCAACCATGAATTCTACCCAAGCACCCTAAACAGATCTGGGGACAGATTTGCCCTCCCTGTCTGGAGGAAGAAAACGGAGTGTAGAGGGCTTAGCAGGGGCCACTCAGGAAGCAGAATCCAATTCATTCAGCACAAGTGAAGAAACGTTAATGAAGGAACTCTTTGCAGAAGTGAAGGTCAGTCTAAGGCAGTCCGTGGGATATTGCAGGACCCCAGGACAAGCAATAGCAGGAAGCTGTTATCATCCCCAGACTTAAAGGGGCAAGGGAAGGAAAGCGTGTTCCTGGAGCCCTAGAGAGAAAGAGCAGGGAGTGGGCAGGACACCAATACCCCGGCTTCCTCCTGCCTTCTGAGCTTGGCGCGTGCCTCAAGACAGCAAAAATTAGGGAGATAGGGTGGTGTGTTCCCTGGGGGCCAGCCTCTGGGGGTACAGAGCAGGGCAAGGAAGGGCAGAGAGCAAGGGGGATGCGTGAGTGGGGGCGGAATAGCCAGCCCAGAGGAGTGGATGTCTTGAAAAGTTTTCTTAAAGACTCAGAATTCATTTGCACACCAGTCTCGTGTGAGATGTTTGTGTAAAGTAGGTGGCTGGTAGTGGTTCATACGTCAAGGCAGTGCCACGAAAGTGGCTCCCAAGTGTGGCTTTTGTTCATCTCCGGAGTAGCGGGAAATGAATAACTGTATCAGGAACGCGAAATTACAAATCCCAAGCTTTGGTGATTTCCAGATATAAATATGTAACACACTTCAAATTTTTCTCTCTTTGTTTGTTTGTGTGTTTTTTCCTAAAAGAGCAATAAGGGAATATTTCCTGAGATGACGTTGCAGGTTTACTTTCAAGATAGGGAAATAGTTTTGGATTTTTTTGTTTTTCTGTTTGGAATATAGTATATGTTTATTAGATTCCTTTGCTGCCACAAAGAAAAGAAAGAGAGAGAGAGAAAAAAAACACACAAGTTTATTTTCAGCAAAGCTTTGAGGTAGCTATTTGTTAATGTTTGACTGGAGGTTTTGCTTTCAGGGTGATTAACTGTTCTCCACACCCCGGTGCTGCCCTGGGGTCAGGGAGGGGAAGGAATGTTTCCTGGTTCGGGGATCTGTCTGTGGAAGTGTTTCTTGTGCCTCTTAGCCATTCGCACGGCACAAAGCGCTACCAGCTGGGATGAGGCTGAGGCCAGACCGCTCACCAGGCCTGTGCCGGGCTCAGGAAGCAGCGCCTGGAGAGGGAGGTGGAAACTGCACTGGGGTTTTGGGATGCGTGTTACTGGCTGTGTGTTTTCACGAGTTATGCTATGCCCTGGGGAGGCGGGGGAAAACCTCACAAAGCACTCCTCTACATCCCTTTGGTTTTTAAGGCAAGGCTAAGTGCCTAAGACTACTGGAAAGGAAGGGGATCAAAACCCCCTTAAGCCTTGGCCGGCCAGGCAGCACTGCCAGCTTTCCCTTGAGCCCCCGCCCAGATGTGCCGTACTTGATAGCAGCTCACAAGAAGACCTTGCTGCTTCTTCAGGGCTCATGCAGGAAATTCCACTTAGAGCTTCACTTCTTTAGCACAATATTTGCCTTCTGTTAAAGTGCAAATGCCCTGGGAAGGAAGGCACTAATTCGTTTGCCATGGGCCACTCGCTCCCCGCCCCGGAGATGCTGGGCAGGAGTTTGCCACTCCTGATTTCTATTTTCCTGTAAGCTCTTTTCTCATTCTCTCTCCAGTCCATTTTTCAAAGGGATGCAGAGTCTGGATACTTTCTGGGTGGATGAAATCCCTCTAAATCTAAATGAGCGGGGAGAGAGTGAGTTCCCAAACGCTTCAGGTTAGCCCTGTCCTGTTCACCAAGGTTTTAAAGGGAGTTGAATTATTCACAGAGACAGTTTGCAAATGTCCCGGTCTTTTAATTAAGTGTCCTAGAAAGGGGAAAGGTCAGCACCTGTCTGAACCTACACACATTCCTTTGATTAGAGCAGTGACAGACTTTACATGGCCTTAAGGACAAACGTGGACAAAGAAGCATGTTGGAGCTGCTGTTACGACAATTAGGGGATTGTATATGCTGGAGTTCAATGATTTAGGGCAGGAAAAGTATTTAGTAGTGGGTGTTTTTAACAAGATTTTGAGCCAAAGATTAGTTCTAGTTAATTTGTAGAAATGTGTTCTGTACCTAGTGTAGAAGTATGCTGCTTGTTACATGGAAAATTTTAAAGCATCAAACCTTTAGTCATTTCACTATCTCCACCACCATGTCCAAGAGCATGACCTTGAAATTAAGTCACGAAATGAAAAGAGGGTCACACCATTTGGGGCCCTCGTCCATATCACCGAGATTGAATCTGACAAGGAGGTGAATTGGATTATCTGAATTTTGTAGACAAGGCTAAATCAAATTACTTAGCACACAGCATCCCTCCTGCTGGTGTCATTGCTCGTGGGACTTCCTCACTGAAACTGGTGGGCGGCTATTCTTGTGTGCCTGAGTCTAAACATATGTTGGCTTATTTGTTTGAGAGCTAGCCTTTCCTGCTGTCTCTCTATTCCCTCTGACTTTCATCACCCATGGGTTTCTTTTTAGACCTCGGTAGTTTGCATGTATTTTGTGTGCATGTATAGGCGAGGTATGGCAGAAAAGAAATGGAGTTGGGAGACGTTCTTTGACGTTAACTGTACGGCACCCCGAAGTCTTTGGCAAAATTCAAAACCAGCAGGATGTCATCTTTCTGGAACAAAGTTGTCAATATTCTGGCTGAAGGGATGGCACCTCTAGCTGCCCTGGGGAGATGTCTTTTCATCCTGGGAAGCCTATGTTCTGTTTCTGTGGGATGAACCATTATACTGAAGCTGGCCATTGTGCTTCATCTGTGGTATAGTTCAACTGACTGTGCCATGATGCAAATGAATCATCATGTAGGCCATGGTGAATAATTCCTTCCATAAAGTCCCATGCTGTGGAATCAACCAGAAATGAATTCTTGCCAATAGTAATAACAGTTGGAAACAAAGCAGAGTAAACATGAATTACTTTTTTTTTTTTTTTTTTTTTTTGAGACAAAGTCTCACTCTATCACCCAGGCTGGAGTGCAGTGGTATGATCTCGGCTCACTGCAACTTCCGCCTTCCAGGTTTAAGTAATTCTTGTGCCTCGCCTCCTGAGTAGCTGGGATTACAGGCGCACGGCACCACACCCAGCTAATTTTTGTGTTTTTTTAGTAGAGACAGGGTTTTGCCATGTTGGCCAGGCTGGTCTCAAACTCCTGGCCTCAAGGGATTCACCCGCCTCAGCCACCAAAAGTGCTGGGATTACAAGTGTGAGTCACCGTTCACAGCCAACATGAATTACTTTTACAATGTTCTTTAGTATCTGTCCTTGTCCTTTCCAGTGAACTTACAGGCGTATGAATGACTTGAAGGGGAGTGATACTTGTAACCATTTAGAAAGACATTTTCTTAGGCGTCATTTGCAGTGCTAAGAATGAATGCCATAGCATTGCTACCATTCACTGTCACCCAGGCAGGGGGAAGCTCTTCACAGAGTGAATGGCTATTCTCTATCAGAAGAATTGGGAAGTGAGTGATAACTATAGAAAAAAAGAGTTATCTGATTATTTTAGGCAACTCACCTCCCAGATTTATACCTTTAAACCCATTCTGAAAATGTAGAAAGCAATCTCCTCGGTTAGCTTCTGGCTAAGAAATTGAGAGAATCAATATTTGGAATCTAGAGACGAAAGAGGGCTAGTTAAATAAATTACGTGACTCTACTCATTCAGAATTTTAAAAAGGAACTTTAAATGTATCTAGGCATAGGTTCTAAGAAATGACTTCTCATACTAATGAAATCTAAGAGGGAGAAATGCCTTCCCAGAATCGATGTGGACATCTTTACGGAATCAGGTTTTTATTCGTCTGGAGACAGAGAGACTGTCTCGTGGTCTCAGTGACCAAAGTATCCTCCCAGCCAGCTGGTCTTTGACATGAACACTGGTGACCTGAAGCAAGGTGGCTTTTCCGTAAAGGCTTTAAACTTTATGGAAAAGTGAGGTTTTTAAGTAACAGTTGATTTAGCATGGCAGGCTCCAGATTCTGAAGACTCTAAATTCTATCCATTATTAGAACACTTTACACAGTCTTCCATTGAAGAAATGACTGTAGGAAGCTGTGCTTGGGCATCCCACTGGAGTATGAAGATGGAAAAACTGTGCTACTCATGTTCTCAGTTGTGGCTGGTGCATTTCTCTCATCTTGTGGGAACTGCCAGCAAGGGTAGCAGGCTTGCATCCTGGCCTTATACATACATCCTAACAGTTTCTCCAAGAGTGTAGATTAGCCCCTCCTAAACAGAAATAGGGAACTAGGAAGTGGTAGAGATTATTTAGTTTGTTGCCTTACTTTGCATATGCAGAAACTGAGGCCCAAGAAGGCTGAGCAATTGCCCAAAGTCCCATAGCCAGGTGGGCAGCACCCAATCCTGTTTCTCCTGCCTCCTAGTCCAGCTCCTTCCTCTGAGGTCATTTCAAGCCACAGTAGGCCATTTTGAACCTTGCATTAGAAAGAATGCTTAGGTTTCTCCTCTGGGTGAAAGCTCAGGAATAAGCAGGTGACATTCACCACCCACCAGTGATGGTGAATTCTCTTTGATGTACTGATTGCCTCAGCAAATGTGCAAGTTCCACAAGTAGGGAGGGACCCAAGCAAAGTTTGGCTAAATGTGAGCATCGTAAACAAAAGAATATAGTTCACCATCCATTTTTGTCCGTGGCTGCAGAGGCTACAAGCAACGCAGGTCTGAAGATTTCCCACAGTCCCTGTAAGAGACCTTAACCCCTCAGCTTATTTATTCTCCACTTCTGAGGACGTGGCTCTTAAGTTTTCATCTCTGAGGTTATAAACCGTATTTCCGCTTATTTTAATGAACCTAAAAAGCATCTCCAAACAGGTCCAAATGATAGATGGCTACAACAGAACCCAGTCATATCAGGGCACCATGGAAATGAGCCCACTTATTTCCAGAACCCAAACTGTATTGAACATGAATAATAACCCAAGAGCAAATGATGTGCAGACTGCCTGAAATTATTTAAATTTTTATAGCCAACTGCCTCATAAATTAGAGACTTTCTTAAGAGGAGGCCTGCAAATGAACTCATAAAGTATGCATTGAATATTTTATTTATGATATAACTATAGCATGGCAAATACATAGCTATAGCTATATAGCTATATCACTGCAAAAAGGTGGCATCAAAATGTCTGGGCAAACACTTTATATTGGACTTTGTGTCATGGAGAAGAAGAGCATTTGATGGTCTGAAAAGAGGAGACACTTGAGAATTATTTTGCTAGGCACTCCAATTGGGATGGAGGACTAATTTCTTTAAGAGACTCAAGAATTATAATAAGTTTATGGTTAAGAAAGAAAAAAGAAATGAGTAAAAATCTAGGATGGAAAATCCCCAGTTTCGGCAGTGTAGCAATTTGGAGAAAAAGTCCTATGTGGTTTATCTTTTGATTTGTAGATGGATTCGGAAGCTCCTGTACTCATTCAGTCATTCAGTCCACTACAGTATATGCAAAATATTATGAGTGGTTATGTAGAGCAAACCAAAAACATTTTTACCTTAAAAAAAAGATTTGTAGAAGTATAATTTGTACCCTCATGAAGGTTACCTATTTCAACTCAATGACTTCTAATAAAATTGACAAGAGTTTTCAACTTACTACTACAATCCAGTTTTAGAACGTTATCTTCCTCCTAACAAGATCCCTCATGCCCATTTGCAGTCACTCTCTGTTCACACTCTCAGCTCTGGATAACCACTAATCAATTTGTCTCTATATATTTGCCTTTTCTATGCATTTTATAAATAAACGGCTGGATAATATTCCATTGTATGGATATACCACATTTTGTTTATTCATTCCCCAGTTAATGGACATTTGAATTATTTCTACTTTTTTATTATTATGAATAATGCTGATATGAATCCTCATATACAGGTCTTTTTATAGTTATAAATTTTCATTTCTCTTGATGAGGTATATGAAATGAAATTTTCATTTCTCTTGACGGGTCAGATGGTAAGTTTGTTTAATTTTTTAAGAAACTGCCAAACTTTGTTCCAAAGTGTCAAAAATCAATTGACTATAAATATAAGGATTTACTTCTGGACTCAGTACTGTTTCACTAATCCATATCACTATCCTATGTCAGTACCACAATTTCTTGATGACTGTAGGTATAGGAAGTTTCAAAAGAAAAAAAAAAAAGCAAGTCCTCCAAATTTGTTCTTTTTCAACATTTTTTGGGGGGTCATCTGTGTCCTCTGCATTTATATGTAAATTTTAGATTCAACTTCTCAATTTCTGCAACAACAACAAAAAGAAAATCCAAAAACAAGCAAACAAAAAGCTTGCTGGGATTTTAATATAAATTATAATGTCTATATATCAGTTTAGGAACAAATGACTATCTTAATAATATCAAGTCTTCCAATCCATGAACATGGTATGTCACTCTACTTATTAGATCTTTGATTTCTCTCAATGATATTTTTTAGTTTTGAGTGTATAAGTCTTCCACTTATTTTGATAAATTTATTCCTAAATATATTCTTTTTTGATGCTATTATAAATGATTTTTTTCTTAATTTCATTTTCAGAGTGCTCATTGCTAATACATAGAAATACAGTTGATTTTTTCAGTACACTTATCTTGTAACATGACACCTTGCTGAACTTGTTAATTAATTCTAGTAGTTTTTGGGTGACTTCCCCGGAGTTTTCACATACAGAATCATGTCATTTATGAATAAAGACAGTTTTACTTGTTCCAATCTGGAGACACCTATTTATTTATTTATGCCTGACTGTACTGGCTAGAACCTCAAATACAATGTTGAATAGAAGTGGTGAGAGTGCCTTACTTTGTTTCTGATCTTAAGGGTAAGTCATCTAGTTTTTCTAAATTAGGTATCATGTTTACTGTAGGCTTTTCATAGATGTCTTTTCTCAAATTGAGAATGTTTTCTTCTATTCCTGGTTTGTTGAGTTTTTATCATAAAAGGGTGTTGGATTTTGTCAAATACTCTTTCTCCTTGCATTGAAATAACCATATGGTTTTATCCTTTATCCTATTAATATGGTATATTACATTAATTGTTATCTTTTGTTCTATTAATATGGGTGTTAAACCAGTGTTGCATTCCAGGGACAAATCCGACTTGGCCATTGTATATAATCCTTCTTATACAATACTGGATTTATTTGCTATATTTTCTTATGGATTTTGTGTCTACATTCATGGGGAATATAGGTCTATAGTGTCCTTTTCTTGTGATATATTTGTCTGGTTTGGTGTTGGGTTAGTGATTCCCCTTCTCTTTTCTATATCAATGATCTTCCTAGTAATTTCTAGTTCCCTATGGCTTCTCTTTTCAGTTCTCCAGCCAGAAATCTGGGTTTATTAATATATACCCAGCTCAGTGGCTTCTATTTATTGTGTTTGCATCTGGAGCCAAACAGAGGGTGGAGAGCGAAAGGGAGAGAGAGAGAGAACAATGGGATTTCACTCCACCTTCTCAAAATCACAATGCCACTAATTAGACAGGAAGATTTAGCCTCCTTTAGAGTTTTAGGCTCAAAACATTGCTGCACTGCCACAGGATTGCTTGGTGACTGAGGTGTGAGAATGGAGAATAAAAAGAGGGGAAAATTTTTGTATTCTTTCTGAGTGTTAGGATTTCCTTTTTCCATTTATTAAGCTAGAACTCTAGGATTCTCCTAGAGCTCTCTCTGTCTGGACCCTTGTGCCTATTTCTGGGTTTTGGACCACGCCAAGAGACACTGGAGAGAACAAATGGTAAACCCACCACTAGCTTGGTGGTACTTTGAGTTCTTATCTTCTTTTCCGACCCTTTTACCACTACATGTTTGCTTTTCAGAATCCTTAAATAGATTTTACTTAGAACTCAAGCTCTTTCTCTGCTATGTTATTTCATTTTTCTAGTAATTCATTTTAATATATTTTACAAGAACATTTGTCCTCAAATTGATTGGGAATTAAAAATAATGACTATTCTGGATGATGGAATGAAGGCTACAGGGGATTTTGAAGGGAGAGATGAATGGGGATTGGATATTTCTGTTAACAGTCATCAAGCATAAAAAAATGGAACTTTAGAGTTGGACTTTACAAGTCAAAATGATGCTAATAGTTTCTGCATGTAGTAGACATAGCCATGACATTTACTCCAACTTTGATTCATGTAGTGCCATTTGGAAATAACAAAACAATCTTTTCCTTTCTTTTTCTGAAATTTCCTGGGGGTGACATTGTTCCAGAAAGGTTATAACTGAGCTGGTCTTTGAAGAAATTATCTGCAACAGGAAAAGGACCTTGTTCGTTTTTAAAGATCCTTTTTCTCTGCGTTCTTCCAATTGGATACATTCTATTGTTTTGTCTTAGAGTACATGGTCTTTTTCTTCTGTTATATCAATTCTATCATTTCTGCTACTGAGTCCTTCCAGATATTATATATTTCACTTCTAAAATTTCCATTTTAATTTAATAGTTTCTATTTCTCTGCTGAAACAAAAAACTACCTTGCCATTTATTTCAAGAGTATTTACCCTTTACCTCATAGACTATGGTTATAATTGCTAATTCAAGGTCTTGATCTGATCATTCCAATATCTGAGCCTTCCCAATTTGGGACTCTATTGATTGCCTTTTACCTTGAGAATTGGTCATATTTGCTTTTTTGTTTGTTGAATTTTTTATTGTATAATGGACATTTTGAATATTTTGAATATTATGTTTTAAGATTCTGGATCCTGTTTAAATTCTCTGAAGGAGATTTAATTTTTTTCCATCAGACTTGGTTAGGTTTAGACTGCAAGCTCTGCCTTACCATCTGTGGGCAGTAGTTTCCATGTCAGTTCAGTTTTAGAAGGCTGTGCTATTCACAGCTTAAGTCTGCATACATCACTCAAGGTTTATACTGGTAATCTGGGACTTGGGCAATGGTTTACATTGTAGTTCAGTTCTCAAAGCCTTTGCTGTGCTGCTTTGAGTGTTTTCTGCACATGTGTACCTTAGGGGTAGTCCAGGACTTTAATTCATTCATATAGAAAATAAAGACATTCTCTTCTCCCTCTCTTTCCTCTGTGAGATTTCCAGATTAATTATTAATTTTTATCAAAGTACATGTTTCATATAGTTCGCTATTTTATGATTTGCTATATTTAAACTTTTAATTCCACTCTATGAAAAATATTATAATTTTACTCTCATCCCTCCCCTCTTTGTCTCCCAATCCTAATATTGGATATTTACGTTATCTTTTATTCTGTTGGCTGCATTTGTAACATTTTATTTAATATACATAAGCCTCTACTTCTTGATCTATCAAGTTGCATAACTTCTTCAATTCCTGAGTTCACATGGTGGTAATACCTATGCTTTTTCTTTCCCCTTTCATTCCAACCTTTCAAGAGCTACACTTAAACCATCGTGTTGTCAATGTTGTACTCTTTCCAAAGGTTCACAGTACGTGTTTAAAATTTTTCATTTAAAAGAACACAAAAAAGTATTTGTACTATTCTAACTGGATAAATATTGTTCAATACTGGGACAAGTCACAGTTCAGGAGTATATGCCTTCCTTAAGGTCCTATGTGATACACTGGCCAATTGAAGAATGTTAATAGCATCAAGCAAAAGGATTTCTTTACCTTTTCTCCTTCAGTATGTAAAATTACGTTACTTGTTTGAATCATTATTTTTGCATATGTTAGATATATATATGCATGCTTGTATATCTATATATGCATATATTTCCAAGATTTCTAAGTCCTCTTTTTTCCTGGGAGACTTCCTGCTGTCTGTGACTTGTGCAGACATGTCATTCTTACTGGAAAAGTGCATTTCCAAATAACTTCCTAATGTAGGATGAATGGGAAGGGAAAGTTTCTACCTAGGGATATGATCAGAAATTCCTTTGTTTTTCCATTTGATTGATAGTTCGCCTGGGTTTAGAATTCTAGATTGAAAGTTATTTTCTCTCAGAACTTTGAAAGCTCTACCCCACTGACTTCTAGCATCCACTGTTGCATCAACCAGGAGATATAAGGAATGAGGATAATTAATTTATTAGCCAATTCAGCCCATGGACTTCTTTCCTCTTTGTGAGACAGCGATCATAAAGGTTCTCCTTTGTCCTGAAGAGGTGGGCTGGGATATTGGATTTCTGTAAAGCACTATGTTTCAGTGCTTGTCTCTCTCAAATTTGCTAGTGGACTTTTCTGTTGAAGGGCCCCTTTACCGCTCACTGTTCTAGGAAGGCAGCAGTGCTGATCATGGTGCTGGTGTAGTCTTTGCTCTCCAGCTTTGAGACTGTCAAAGAATGTCAGGAATTCTAGTTGCATATGTAATTTTTCTTTATTTTCCTTTTCTTCAACTACTCATCCAATTCTCCTTGTACCTTGAGCTAAAGTATAAAAGTTGTGGAGGGCAGATATTGCCCTTGCCAAAATAGTAACATTTAATTAACACAAAGCAGAAAGTGCTCCAAAGTGAGTGTATAGTACAGGGATATTCTGTAATTCTTCTATAATGTGATTCTCAATAGAAAATTTCAGGTATATTAGTCTGCTTCTACATTGCTATAAAGAACTACCTGAGACTGGGTAATTTATGAAGAAAATAGGTTTAATTGACACAGTTCATAGGCTGTACAGGAGGCACAATTGGGGAGGCCACAGGAAACTTACAATCATGGCAGAAGGCAAAGGGGAAGCAAGCACATATTCACATGGCCAGCATGAGAGAGAGAGTGAAAGGGGAGGTGCCACACACTTTCAAACAACCAGATCTTTTGATAACTTTATCACAAGAACAGCACTAGGAGAATGGTGCTAAACCACCCCCATGATCCAGCCACCTCCCACCAGGCCCCACCTCCAACACTGGAACTTGTAATTCAACATGAGATTTGGATGGGGACACAGAGCCAAACCATATCACTAGGCTACCCAGTATTTATCATTTTCAGCATCTGCATTCACTTTTTCTCATCAATTATTTCTGCTTTGTCTTTTTCAGCAACAGAAATTGCAAGGAAATCCAACAAAGAAAACCAAATCAAAAAGACCAGATCCCCTCAAAGGACAGAAGGTTATTGCAAGATGTGATGAAAATGGCTTTTATTTTCCAGGTAGTTTTTTTTTTTTTAATTTCGTGAGGCTTTTGTTAAATAATTTGATACTAGGGACAAGAAGTTTCAACCTGTGCTTTTGCTAGAACACTGACATTTCATGAGCTGGCCTGAGCTAGTCCACTTTTCACAGAGAAGAAGTGGAATATCTCTGGCCAGCTCATGAAATGAGCGTATTTGGGCCCCCCAAAAAAGTAGCCAGAAAAATGCACTTATTTTAATTTCTCATTTTTTAGTAAACAAATTTTTATTACCCATTTACTGCGTTGCATGTATGTAATATTTTGAAAGTACTGGTCTAATGGTATGAGCAAAAAGGTGAACATTCTTGCTTTTTGGAGATTACATCTTAAAGGAGACAGACAAGCAATGAAATAAACAGATAAAATATGTGGTGTGTCAGATACAGTGCCATAGAGAAAAATCAAGCCACAAATGGGGTTGAGAATGTTGGGGTGAGGGTTTTGATTCTATATTTGGTGGTTAATGAAGAGCTCCTGGGGAAGGTGACATATGAATAAGGACTTAAAGGAGGTGGGGCAAGCCATGAGATTGGGGAAGGGAGTTCTAAGCAGAAACAACAGCGGTGCCCAGGCCTCAGGGTGGAGTGCACACGTGTGTTGGAGGAAGGGCCATGAGACTGGGATAGCTGGGCCTCAGAGGTTTGCCCCAGACTTCCTGGGGGATGTGATCCCTGAAGGAATCAGCCAGCTGCAATTCAGCAAGGGGTGGAGGTATGAAGGGAGTTTCATGGATGGTGACAATAATACGTGTGAAGACTTAGAAATGAAGAAAGACATCTATGTCTGGAGAAATAAAATTGATTCTGGCTGGAACATAAAATGAGAAGGAAGGGTGGAAATAATAAAGCTCTTCAGAGAGGTGAGCATGGGGCTATGCATAAAGGGTCATATTAAGGATTTGCACTTTACCCTGAGGGCAATGAGAGCCACATTTAAAGCAGTGAGAAACACAATCACATTTGAAGTTTTCAAAAGCTCTCTCCCACTGCTGTGTGAAGATTGGATACCAAGGGGTTAGGATGTCTCTGGTCCCTGGCTTCGGGTGGTAGATAGATAGTGGTACCTACAGGAGATGGTGGTGTGGATGGAAAGACAATGAGATGTGTCTGCAACATGATGAATTGCAGGTGCCTGCAAGATGCCCAGATGAAGATATCAGAGAAGCAATTGGAGATGTGGGTCTAGAGTCTGGAGACAGAGATTTGGGAGACATAACCACAGAAGTCATCACTGAAATCATGGGAAGGGTCTGTAGGGAAAAGGGAACTGGGAGAAAACCCTGAGGAAGCTCTGTCAGGCAAAAAGATTACATTGCAGGGCGGGTGTGGTGGGTCACACCTGTAATCCCAGCACTTTGAGAGGCCGAGGCTGGTGGATCACTTAAGGTCAGGAGTTCAAGACCAGCCTGGCCAACATGGTGAAACCTCATCTCTACTAAAAAAAAAAAAAAAAAAAAAAAATTAACCGGGCACCTGTAGTCCCAGCTACTCGGGAGACTGAACCAGGAGAATCACTAGAACCTGGGAGGCAGAGGTTGCAGTGAGATCACGCCACTGCACTCCAGCCTGGGCGGCAAAGTGAGACTCTGTCTCATAAAAAAAGATTACGTTGCAGATACGTAGCTGGCCTTTCATAGGCATGATCTATCTATCAACAGTTAAAAGAATAATTATTATTTAAATTTAATTGAATAATATTTTAGGTGGGAAAAAAATACTTCAGCAGGATTTTTGGTTTCCAGCGGGCACATATGTACAACTGACATCAGGGACAGGTTATTTGAAACGTGATAAATGTGCTTGGGAGTTGCCTGGATGAGAGTAAATATGGATCCCAGCACTTGGGATGATCGCATAGGCTAAGGCATGACACCCTTCTTTACAAGGGCTGGGAATCTTCCATTTCTCTGGGGTGCAGATTTTCTAAGAGGTGATTATAGAAGGCCACCCCTGCTTGAGAAATTTTGATTTTCTGAATTTGAGCCTTGGAGAGAGTTTTATGGCTAAACTAGTAGTCGAATGAAAATACTAAAAGTGGGGCCAGGTGCGGTGGCTCACACCTGTAATCTCAGCACTTTGGGAGGCCAAGGCAGGCAGATCACCTGAGGTCGGGAGTTTGAGACCAGCCTGACCAACATGGTGAAAACTCATTTCTACTAAAAATACAGAATTAGCCGGACGTGGTGGCGGGCACCTGTAATCCCAGCTACTCGGGAGGCTGAGGCAGGAGAATCGCTTGAACCCAGAAGACAGAGGTTGCAGTGAGCCAAGATCTTGCCACTGCACTCTAGCCTGGGAGACAGAGTGAGACTCTATCTCCAAAAAAAAAAGAGAGAGAAAAGAAAATGCTAAAAGAGACTGGATTCTAAATGGTTGGGTTAGGGGCTTGGGGTCACTGCTGGCTAGGGCCCCGGGAAAATGTAGAATGGCTCGAACTTCTACCCAGCACCATGCTTGTGTGATGAGAAAATTCTAAAGACCTACTGGGGGGAGTAGAGGAGATGGGGCTAATACCATGGCCATGTGCAATGCCTGAGGCCACAACGGAAATTTTTTTAATGTGCAATTAGAGGCAGAAAGTACATACTATACTCCCAACAGCCGCATGGGATCTGACTAAGCAGGAATTTTTAATTTGCAGTGTAATTAAACTTCAATAAATCAGCTTGAAGGAAATATTTGAATTTAGTCATATAAGCGGTAATTTTGATTAGTGTCTAAGTAGTAAACTTTGACTCAGCCAGATTAAGTGGCAGTGCATGGGTTATCTCCATGAACCTAGTTTTTGTGCCCTCTCTTCCCAGTCACCTGATCTTTTCCTTAACTGGGAATAACTTTACTTTCATGATTTTTTTATTAAAAATTCAAACATACAGAAAAGTCACAAGAATAATACAGAGAACCCCACTATACTCTTTACCCAGATTTGCCAATTTTTAACATTTGGTCACATTTTATCACATATATTATTTTATTCTCTCTTTCATACATATATACACACACCTTATTTTTTATGAACTCTTAGAAATTAGGTAACATTTATCATGTTACTTTATCCCTTAACACATCAGTGTGGATTAAGAGTAAGAATAATCTCTTAATATAACCACAATAAAGGTAGAAAATTCAAAAAACGTAACACTATTATAGTACTTTTATTTAATCTATGTATTTTGATTTTGTTAATTGTCCCAATAATGGCCTTTATCACATTTATTTTCTCCAGGACAGGTCTCAGCCCAGAATCATGTATTGCATTTAGTGGACATGTCTCTAGCCCTCTTTGATCTAGAATCATTCTTTAGCCTTTCGTATTATCTTTCATGATAGTGACATTATTTAAGCATAAGGCCAGTTATTTTACAGAACGTTCCTCAGTTTGGGTTAGATTACATTCAGGTTATCATTGCCGGCCAGAATACTGCCTAAGTGATGTCATGGCCCTCTGGGTCATCCCGTCTAGAGGCACGTGATGCTCACCTGCCCTCATTGGTGATGTTAATTTAGATCACCTGTTCACTGTGAGTCACTATTTTCCCTCACACACACACACACACACAAAAAAAAAAAAAAAAAAAAAAAAAAAGAAGGCCAAATAAAATGTTGCAGAGCATAGGCTTGATGTCATTGGTGACTCCTTTTCTGGTAACTGTTGTTCAAAACCTCCTAAACATTTTTAGTAAAAAAAACAGCTCACTTAAAATGCACCTTAGCAGAAGGCAAGATTGGAGTCACTGGATTGAGGCGTCCACTACATGAGGCCAGGTCCACGCGGAAGCAGAGCTGGCCAGACTGGCTGTTGCCACTGTTGTCGGGATTGTGGTGGGGATTTCCCTGTGACCAACGTTATTCCAGGGGTCAGTGTGGGTGATCCAGTTGAGGAAATGACTGACTGTGTTGTACAGAGCGATAGCCTGGCTTATCTGGATGCCGAAAGGCAAGGAGGAAGACACATTTTCAACCCTTATTTGAAATCATTATTTGTGGAAACTGGGTCATCCTGTTGTTCTGTGAGAAGCAGCATTTTACTTCAGGAAATCCACAGTGATTTCTGCACTATGCCATAAGAAGAAGTTGTCATGAAGAAAAAGGGGACAAAATGGAACACTTTCTCAGGTGTGATGAGCTCAGGTCAAAAGTCCTGTGTTTTCATTTATTTGAGTTCTGCCTCTTGCCTCTGCTGGCCACACGACTGCAATCACTTTGTTTCCCTGTACCTCAGTGTCCCTGTCTTCTCCAACGGGATTTAAAACAATGAAACCCTTCATAAACTGGCTGTGTAGATTAAATGCGATGACGTACAGCCCTTTGTTAATTCCATGGAAAGAGTTTTTCTGCATCCGATGTGAGAGCTCCTCTTAGGAGTAGGGATAAACACCTCGCCTCCTCTCCTGGGGAGGAGGGAGCTGCTTTCTATTTCACAGCAGCTTAGAACCTTTCACAGCAAGTCAAAGCAGCAAAAGTCAGCACAGAGGGTAGAAAGGAAACCTCCGAGACTGGAGGGAGAAGCGGACACGAGGACTGTGAAGGATGACACTGCCGAGGAGTGGGCAGCTGGAGGGATGCTCTGGCTGGAGCAGAGTGAAAGCCTTTTTGAAGAGGTGGAATTTAAGCCGGGCTTTGTATATCGGAAGGTTCTTAGAGCCAAAGGTTTAAAAAAAAGAAAATCCAGTCTCCAGCCTGACAAAACCTATTTGGAGCAAAGGTTCAGAACCACTCATGCATCTTTCACCAAACAAACTGACTTCCACTGTTTACTCAGATTGTGACACCAATTCTCTGACCCCTGAGCACCCGCAGCATTTTTGCTGAAGGCCTCCATAGGAGCACAGGCCCTTTCTCCAGCTGAATACAGGACAACCCCGACTGAGGCAGGGAGCCAACTCATCCCCAGGGAGGCACTGGGCTTACCAGCTTCCGCCCAGAGGAGGGGAGGCAGTGGAAGCTCTGGGCCCGCCAGCCTCTGCCCAGAGAAAGAGGGGAGGCAGTGGAGGTTCTTCAGCTTGCCACCCTTCAGAACCGAGGTCCTCAAACGGGTCCCAGAGATTTCAGAGCTGGGAGACACAGCCTCACCTCTCAAGGCTGAGGACAGAGAGAAACTATAGGGTAAGGGAAGCCAAAAATTGGAGCTGATCTTGAATCAGGACACAAGAAATGGTTGCAGTCCCTTAATTAGATGGAGAAGGAGCAGGTACAGAGGCTTAGCAGTGGTGGGACAGGCCAGTCCTGGGCCCTACAGCTGCCCAGAGTGAGGCCACATGGGGGCCCTCGAGGCCAGGTTGAAGCCAGACCGTAAGAAACTGTGCTCATTTCTGGAGATGAACAAAGACCCACATCTACAGAGATTATACAAAGAAGGAAGGTGAATTAAAGGAACTAAAAAGAAGTCATCATAACAGTCCAAAAAGTTTAGGTCCAAAGAAGAAAGTCAGTGATAAATGGTTTAGGCTTCGTCGGCTACACAGGCTCTGTCACAACTTCTCAATTTAGGCAAACAACTGGAAAACTGCCTAGTAGGCTTGATACTGGATACTGCTAAGTCCCAAAGGCTAAGGATTTGAAGAGAGTCACATGGGCCAGTGTGGCTGTAGTGGCAGCTCAGACCCTTCCCTGGGGCCGTGGGAGGGACGTGGGGCACACAGTGCGTGGCAGGAGACGAGTCCCCTGATTCTCAATCAGGAGCGGCTCTTGTTTCCAGAATAGAAATTATTTCTAAAAGGTAGTATTTGTTTTTCTGATTAAAAAGGTAAAGTCAGTTTATGGTAGAAATGTGTGAATAATGTGTAAATATTTCAAAACCCAAAGTAAACATTTTAGTCCGATCAGAAAACACACAATGGTAAGCTGGCTTGAGTGTGCATATTTTTCAAAAAAAATTCATTCCTTTGGCCATTTAAAACAAGACACATGGATCAAGATGAAAATCAGCAGCTATCTCTTTGCCCCATGAGAGGACACAGGGCTTTGCTTAGCAGGCACGTGAGCCAGGACTGGGGAGCTGCTGCAGCACATGCCGTGGAGCCCAGCGGGACGCGTGTGCTCATTTCTGTCTCCAGGAGGGTCTGTGAGCAGCTGATACTGCTGGGGGAGGTGTCCAATGTCATCATCTCCCCCTTAATGTTTAGAATCCCTTTTTAATGGGAGGATAAATTTCAAGTCGGATAAATTACAAAAAATATACATCTTAACACAGGTATTTTCTTTTCCTAGAATGATAATCTATTCTAATAATTATATTAATTAAAATGTATAACAAAATTATTATATAATTAAATAATATATATGTTTGTGTGTATATATATTAGGCTGGTGCAAAAGTAATTGTGGTTTTGGTCATTTTTTTAATGGCAAAAACCGCAATTATTTTTATACCAACCTTATGTTATCTATCATGCACTCCTTTAGTATAACAAAAAAAGAAACTTCTTACCTCTTTTTTCATTTTTTTTTTTTTGAGACATAATTTTGCTTTTGTCGCCCAGGCTGGAGTGCAATGACGCAATCTCAGCTCACTGCAACCTCCACCTCCCGGGTTCAAGCGTTTCTCCTGCCTCAGCCTCCCGAGTAGCTGGGATTACAGGCGTGTGCCACCATGCCCAGCTAATTTTTGTATTTTCAGTAGAGACGGGGTTTCACCATGTTAGCCAGGCTGGTCTTGAACTCCTGACCTCAGGTGATCCACCTGCCTCAGCCTCCCAAGGTTCTGAGATTACAGGTGTGAGCCACCACGCCCAGCCTTACATCTTTTTTCTTTGTTCCTTTCAGCTGTATATTTTGGGGAAGCTGAGTATGTTCAGTCTAGTCAGATGAAAAGCCAATTTGGATGGGAGTTTATATTTCCTTTTTACTTTCCCAATTTAATTAACAACATGTATTTTCTATCTTTAAGTATTATGGAAAAAAATAGGGCTAAAGTAAATGAAAATATCAGGTGGTAGGAGGTGTTCGAGAAGAGGATCTTTATTTCCAGGACCCATGTTCCTGTCAGGATGGGGGCTGATGGCGCAGGATGAACAAGTCTAGTCCATTCTCACTGGTTCTCATCTCAGCGGGTGCCCAGACCAGGCATGTGCACCACTTTGAATTGGTCAACCCAGTAGGCATCCTATGGTGCCCAAGATTATCTGCTGGAGAAATCAAAGGGGCACACTGATTTAAACAGGCAAAGTGTTATAACTCAGCATGGCCAGAAAGATGGCACAAGCCTAAGGGAAGGGATGTTATTTGTCTTTATATTTTATGTTTTCTTTGATTCCTTCCAGGGGTTGTGAAGAAGTGTGTGAGCCGCACCCAAGCACTGGTGGGCTTCAGTTACGGAGACACCAAGGTCGTGTCCACCTCCTTCATCACGCCTGTGGGGGGCGCCATGCCCTGCCCGCTGCTCCAGGTACCCAGTCCCTGATGTGTTCTGGGGCCCCTTTTCACCATCCACAGAGTTTTGAATAACAGAACGCCAAGGCCACTGTTTGGCCCTTTGCTGAACCTACACGGGCTCCTGCAGGGAGGGTGTGTTTGGGCAGGAAGAACAATGGCCCCTGTTCTGGGACCTGTCACCTGGAGATTTCTTTGCTCGTGACCCTGACCTGCCAACTCCCTGTTATGTAGCTCAGGGCTGCACAGACTTGTTTGCACTGCACCTTGAGGTCCTTGTCCCTTTACAAGACAATAGAGTTTGGGGGAAGGACATTGCTGTAGCTGCCAGTACTGTGGACACTTTTAACTACAAAAGATTCTATTCTATTCTATTCTATTCTATTCTATTCTATTCTATTCTATTCTATTCTATTCTATTCTATTCTATGCCATGCCATGCCATGCCATGCCATCCCACCCCATCCCATCCCATTCCATTCTATTCTATTACATAATAACAAGGGCAGAGGTAGCACTTTCCTTGGCACTGTAATCAGCTGATGTCAGACGGTGATACCGTAATGCACAGTTAGCCCAAATGTGCATTCCATAGATGTGTCACCGGAGGAAAGGCCATGAATGTCAGTTGTCCAGGGGTGTTTTGAACAAAGAATTGAACAATATGCACAAATAAAGTAACAAAGGAATGGAACACAGGAATGAAGCTGCGAATGCAGGGGTTTATTAAAGTGAGAAAGCACTCCACAGGGTGGGAATGGGCCCGAGCAAGAGGCTCAAGGGCGCTGTTACAAAGATTTCTGGGTTTTAAGTACCCCTTTTGAGGTTCCTATGGACTACCCCTTATCTGGATGAAGGATTTGGTCTGTGGCTAATTAAAGGCTGAGGTGAATTAGTGCCCTATGTAGATGAAGGGATGGTCCCTGCTTGGCCTGTGGCCAATCCAAGGCACACTCCCTTTCCCTCTGAGCCGGGGTGGAAAGGGAGGGTTGCAGGGAGACTGGCCTTTGACCCTTTGCTACCCGGCGTCAGGAGATGGGGTTTCTCCTTTTGGTTTAGCTTTAGGAAGTTTGCAGTGATTGGCCTTAGGTTCCCTGCCTCAGACCCAGATGTTTTCCCTTTGATTTAACTTTAGGAAATTATCACAAATTGGCCCCAGATTCCCTGCCCCCCAGACCTTGGTGCTTTCCCTGCCCCCAGACCTTGGTGCTTCGCTTGATTCAGCCTTAGAAAGTCAGCATGAATTGACCTTAAGTTCCCTGACTCCAGACCCTGTTCTCCTGCCTCAGTTGGGCCAGATTAATGTGTTCTCATCTGCTCACAAACTCATAAAAGCTGTGCCATGTCTGGCTCATCCTCTTGCCGCGTTCCTAATTCCAGCTCCAAGGCCTGGGATTAGAGGGAAATCCTTGCAGAGCACCCTGCTGCTGTCTTGCCCAGTGTGAGCCGGGAGGAGAAGCGCTGGAGGAGGAATTGGAGAATTCATCCTTGGGCCTCTGCTGCTGCTTCCTAGTCAGAGCACTGGAACACAACAGTGCTCTTGTACCCTGATGATGCAGAAGGGCCTGCAGCCTCTGCATGTCCCTCCACAAGATCCTTTTTCTGCTGCAAATTCTCCGTTTGCGACTTTTACCCTTGGATTCTGGGTGTGTGCTTTGGAGCAACAATAAACAAACCTCTCCCTTTCTACGTCTTGGTGACAGCCCTTCTGGCAGATGAGGACACTGTTTATCTTTGCATGACAAACACCCCAGGTTCCTTCAACTAGTCTCTTTAGGGTGTGGTTTCCAGAACCCTCACCATCTTGCTGGCAGACCCTTGGGTCCTTGTCAGTTGGTGAAGTCCTACCAAAATGGGGCTTCCCAAACTGATCACAAAATTCCAGATGTGGCCCAATGAGCCCAGAGAATCTTGGAACTCTTTCTTAACTGAGAAAAAAAATATCTATTTGAATTTTAGCATCAGTACTTGCCAATTGCCTTGGAGTATTTTAAAACTTGCTTATGTTAACATTGTCTGTACAATCCATAAGCAAAATATTTGCTCTATGTTCTCCTCTGCAGGTTGGAGATTATGTGTTTGCCAAAATTGTGATACCCAAAGGATTTGACTTCTATGTCCCTGCCATTGTCATAGCACTTCCCAATAAGCATGTGGCCACAGAAAAATTCTACACAGTTTTGAAGTGTAACAACCGGAGAGTAAGTAGATTTTCATTTAGAAAAGGACTTTCTCCTGGGCAATGCCAGGCTGTATCCTGGCACTGCCAGGCTTCTTGATGAATGGTTTCCCTGGCTGCATCTGCTGCCCTGCTCTCCACTCCCTGTGTTTTGGCTTCTGCCCACCGTGCCACACAGACCCTGCCCTCACTGAGGTGGCCATGGCCTCTGCTGCCTGTACTGTGCAGTTCTTTGGCTCCCACTGCTGAACCATGCTTTGCATTTGACGGACTGGCAGGCTCACTCTAGGGTCTTGGAGCACCACTCTCTCTGGCTCTCCGTCTTCCTCATCCTCGCGTCCTCATCCTCCTCCTCCTCCTCCGCCTCCTCAGACTGCCCCTGCTTTGAGGTCCCCTGCTGGCCCTGCAGACTTGGTCACCTCCTGGGCCACCGCTAGTGCTGTCCTCCTCTGCCTCCTCCTGGTGTCTTTCGGTGTGAGCCTCCATCTCTGGACACCTCCTCTGTGCCAGAAGTGCCAGCCCCGCTCCTGCCCTGAGCTCCAACCCTGTGCTTCTAGCTGGGTCCTCCTGGAGCACTCCCTCAGAGTGAACACAGGCATCTCAGACTCCGCAAGCCAGTGCACCCCCTTTCCCCAAGCGCCTCCTTCTCCTCTGTGTCCCCTGTATTGGGGTGCTACTACCTGGTTCCCCATCTCCTACTTACCTAGGAACCACCTCCAGAGTTGGCAGAAGTTGGGAGACATAAGGGCGGACAGGCACAAAGTGGAGTAGAGTGAAAAGAACACAGGCTTTACAGTTAAAAGCCCTGTGTTTAGGCCAGGTGCGGTGGCTCACGCCTGTAATCCCAGCAATTTGGGAGGCTGAGGTGGACAGATCACAAGGTCAGGAGATCGAGACCATCCTGGCTAACACGGTGAAACCCCATCTCTACTAAAAATACAAAAAATGAGCCGGGCATGGTAGTGGGCGCCTGTAGTCCCAGCTACTCGGGAGGCTGAGGCAGGAGAATGGCGTGAACCTGGGAGGCAGAGCTTGCAGTGAGCCGAGATCACACCACTGCACTCCAGCCTGGGCGACACAGCAAGACTGTCTCAAAAAAAAACAAAAAAACAAAACAAAAAAAAAAACCTGTGTTTGAATTATATGAACATTCACTCTGCTCTTTATTGGTTGTCTGACCTGAGCAGGTTGCTTCACCCCCTGAGACTCAGTTTGGTCACATATAAAATGAATACTTTACATATCTATATCTGTATTTATCTATGTATACCCTACAGGGTGATTGTGAGGCTTGAAGAAAAGACATGTAAAAGATGTAAAAGATCTGTGTGTCTGACAGGTAGGTGTTAGGTAACAGTAGTGATGATGTGGCTGCAGAGGTTGGCAGCATCACTCAGATCCCTTCCTTCTACACTCCCCAGTGCCAGCGAGTGGGAATGACTCGGTTAACTGTATCACCTCTAGATTGATTTGCTCATTGGACGGATGTTTGTTAAGGGTCTGTATTGTCTGTTGGATCGTTTGTCTTTTTTATTGACTAGGGGAGGTCTTCTCTGCCTTCTGGGTAGTAATTCTTGGTAATATATGCAGCCAATAGTTTTCCCCGGTCTGTTGCTTGTCTTTTAACTTTGGAATCTTTGTTGACAGGAAGCATTAAATTTTAATATGGTCAAATTTATCCCTCTTCTCCTTCTGCCCTTTCTATGTTTATTTAAGAAATCCTTTCTTAATTATATATTTCTGTATGTAATTTTTCTAAAAGTTTCAGAAGAATTCTTTATCAGTTTACGAAACTGATGATGTAGTTTGCCTGATTGACGTCTCCTGCCTCCTCTCAACCCACACACATGCTTCGTGTCACCCTCAGGGAGTATGCCCCCAGGACCCCAGTGTGGCCCCAGCCGGCTCCATGAGCTTGACCTCCAGCCAGGTGGAAGACTCACTGCTTCCTGAATGCGGTGGGCTTTTTCAAGTCCCAGGCTTTTGCCTCTTCCTGGACTGCCCTCCCCATCTCCTCTCCCCCAAACTCCCGTCACCCTAAAGACTCTGCCTGATTGTGACTTCCTGCAGGCCCTCAGGTTCCTCCTGTCCACTACACTGCACTTGCCAAACTGGCTTCCTCACCAACCTCTCAATCCTTGAAGGCAGAGACCACGTCTGTTCACCTTTGTCCCTCCCAGCACAGTCCCTGATGAAGAGAAGGGTCTCACAATTGTTTTTTAAATTACTTGAATGAACGACATTCCTAATGGAAAATGACATTGTTTTGATGGACGACTTAACATGCCTGGAAAACAGACCCACAAGTGAACTAGATTGGTGAGCAAAAAGCCAGGTAACAGTGGCTCTTTCTTAGGACCTTACTGTGTGCCATGCATTCCAATCCAAGCGCTTTACACAGAGTGGACCCTTGGATCCTCAGAACACCATGAGGTAGAGACTATTATTACACTGATTTCCAGAAAAGGAATTGAAGCAAGAGGTTAAAGCACACACCTGGTGTGTTGAGTAGGCATTCGAACACAGACAATCTGGCTCCATGGCCTACCCTCTAAACTACCATGCCCGGCTGCCTAGGATACAGAATAAAAATATCCAGTGCCTCCTTGACTGTGGCATGAGGTAGTTCCACCAGGGAGAGGGGCATGGGAAATGAAATTTAGGGTTAAGCGCAAAGGAGAAAGACCATCAGAGCCAGCGGCCACTGGAGCACTGTATCCAACCCAACAGGGCAAGCGGAGAAGGAGTTGTCTGCTCATCACCCCAGAAAAAAACCCCTTGGAGAAAATGGAGTTTCCTGAAGCTGTCTGGATAGCAGTAGAGAAACATCTGGAAGGGCAGAGCATGGGGAAGCCTTCCCCTTCCTGATGTGTGGGACCATTCTGGGGATATCAACTGTGAAAGGGAGGGATGTTTTAAGAGATGTCCCCGGGCATGCCCTAGGGTGTGGGGAGAGATGAGGCAGTTGGCCCAGGACCCCTGAGGGGAAGCCGCAGACCCCAGAAAAGGACCTTGAACTTACCTACAGGACATGGGGCCCTGGAGGCTAGAGTGGCATGGCCGGGGGCGGGGGGTGGAGGTGGGTGTGGCAGGGTGGAGGGGGAAGGATACTGGAGACAGTTCTGATAGGGACTTGGGGAGACCCAAAGAGGGTGAAGGTGGGGCAGTCAGCAAAAGTGGTGGCCAAAGGCTGAAATAAAGATAGAAAGGAAGGTGGTTATGTGAAGGTGTGTGTGTGTGTGTGTGTGTGTGTGTGTGTGTGTCTTACGTGGGTACATTTGGCAATTGATCCAGAATATGGAGAAATGACAGAGAGGACTCAATGATGACTTTTATTCAGCAAATAATTGTCAAGTGAGGGTCTGAATTTGAACTACTCTTTTAAGTGTCACCCTGAATAGGATAATGACTAGAAGCTATTATAATGGGTTGAGCTAGAATAAAATTGTATCTGAATTGTGGACATTTCTGATTTAAGTTGAGTGAACTCTGTTGGTATTATTACAGGAATTTTGCCCTCGGAGTGCACTTATTAAGATCAGCCAAAACAAGTATGCGCTCTCTTGCTCTCATATAAAGTCACCCCCAATTCCTGAGGATCCAGAAGTGTAAGTGTACTCAACTTTTATCTCTTGAATATTAATTTATATCCTTGCACCTTTAATCTGTTTTTGAGATGAGATCCATGACCTCTAAATACTAGGGAAGAAAAGTAGAGATGCAGAATGTCCTACTTAAAATGTAGCTCTGTGTTTATTATTCCTTCGACGTCACACCTTTCACCTGCTACTTATTCATCCATCTGGTTCTAATCTCAAATTCTACATTATTTGACCCTTCAGGAAAGCATTCATGAATATGAAGGAATTGTTCCCCTTTTATTTGTAAAGACTGAAGGCCTTCTAATTAAGTTGCATTTGGGTCCAGTCACCTACCTACCTCTCCCCTTGCTGGGAGGTGGGAGCAAGGGGCTGGCCCTGGCTTGCCTGTAGCCAGGTCAGGGTGTTGGAGGGGCGGTGGCTTCCAGGGGCTGCAGTGGAGTGAACACATTTTCAGGTGAGGTAGTAGGATGGCTAAGAGCTGTAAGGTAGACTAAAGCCAAGGCAAAAGGAAAGGGGGAGGCCTGCAGAGCAAACACGAACCCAAGTCCATGGGGCCAACGAGGGGCATCAAAATTGGGCTCATGGAGCCATGACCTTGGAGTCAAGGTCATACAAAAAGAGATGAAGTTGGATGTTGAGCAAGTGTTGGGGAAAAGGACCCAGGAAACATCTTCCAGTTTCTGTTAGAGCTTGCAGGCTGTCTTTGGGTGCTAACCTTCATTCTCCTAATGGCCTTACCTTCTACTTCGTCAAAGAACCATCAGACATCCTCTCCCTCCACTTCTGATCTCCCACTTCTGGGCTTATGGAAGTCTCTGCCTTTGCCCCCGATGTCAAAGAATCAGTGTCCTTCCTTTCACCCCAGGCTGATCTGTCCATTGGGCTCCAGAGGCCCATCCTCCACTGCCTCGGGTCCTGGATCCATCAGTGATCCCTGGATTCTTCTCACCTCTCTCCTTAGCTCCTCTTCACTGAGCCCTTCACCTCAGCAAGTACACAGGTTGGCCTCCTGTTCACACACACGCAGCACCCACAAACACACACACTCCTAAATAAATACCGTTCCCTTGGTTCCGCAGTGTGATCCAGCATGCTCCCTGCCCTTCACTGCCGGTCTCCATGCGTCATCGGATAGACTCAACGTCCCCACTCTCCTGTTCACTCCTGAGCCTTGGATATAGGCATCCACCCTTACCCCTCCAAGAAACTGCTTCCACAGAGGCCACACGGGACCTCTCACGAGCCTGAACCAGTGAGCTCCGCCCTCACTGACTGAACCTGCTCCAGAGTCGCTTTGGACGCCACCAGCCACTCCCTTCTGCCCTAAACCCTCCTCTTGAGGCTCGTTGCCCCTCTACCTCTCTGGGGTTTATCCCTGCCTGACTTCACTGCCTCTCACTGCCTCCATGACTCCCTTTGCACTAAGGACCCCATGTCTCCTTCTCCAACCCAGGCTGCTCTCCTGTGCTTGTGTGTCACAGTCAGACTCCGAGAGTGGGCCTGGAGGCAGGTTTTTCTGAAAGCCCCCAGCTGGTTGCAAGGTGCAGCCATGATGGGTAACTATAGGGGGAAGAGCATTGGAACCAAGATTGGGTTTATATCCCAGCCCTGCCCTCATTAGTTTTGTGGTTGCTCATCGACCCTGAGCTCATCTGCAGGATGACAGTGATGTGAAGATTGGGGACGGTCATTGTCTGGCAGGTGTTCAGCACATTGTGGGAAGGGCATTGTTTCCAACCACCCCCTGGATATTTCCACCTGAGTGTACAGAATCTCAAAAATTCAGCACATCTAAAACTGAAATCAGAGCTCCCCACAAACCTGCTCCCATCTCGGGCTTCCCCATCTCAGTTCACCCTTTTACCCACAAGTCACGGAGCTGTCCAGCCAGAAATCTGGTGGTCATCTTTGGCTGCTGCTTGTCCTTCACCTACCACACCCCCTTGGTCTCCAGGTTGCAGGCATCCTAACTGGCCAGGAGTTCTCATGTCCTCCAGCCTCCTCCTGCCACAGTCCCAGTCACTCACCATAAGGGCTGAGCAGAATCAACTTCCTCACATGCAAATCTGCCTGTGTCCCTTCCGCACTTAAAAATCCTTCAGAGCCCCATCCCCATCACCCCTTCTTATCACAGCTTAGCTTCTTGTTGGTCTGGCCCAGACCTGCCTACCTTGCCTCACTTGTCCCTAGCCACTCCCAGCTAACCCACCAATGCCTTCTGCATGCTAACCACACTAAGCTACATGTAGGTTTTGCCCACACCATGCTTTCTCAGGTCTCTGTGCCTTCACCAGATTAAGTATTCTCCCTGGACAGCTATTCCTTGCCCTCAGCCACCTGGGGAACTCCAAGACTGAGCTCAAACGTCAACACCACCATGTGATGTCCCAGCACCCTAGCCCCCCCAGGTAGTGAGGTGGCCCCACGGCAACCCGTAGAGGTTTCTGTTAAAGAAAATTTCCTTTGCATTGGACACTGTAGGCACAAGTCCTTGAAGGTAGGGGACAGGTTCTATCTGCCTCTGAATCCCAGTTGCCAGGGTCCAGCTCACAGAATGCCCCCAATGACTATTTGAAGAACAAATAAATATATACAGACACATGCTAGCAGATGCCCAGCGATGCTCCTCAAGGGGTGTGCGGCTCCACAGAGAACCTTTCCTTAGCTATGATTATCAAAAACGTATGCTACAATTCTCCATTCTTTGTCTAGATGGGTTGATACTTCATTTAAAATAGCAGGACATTTTCTGCTCATCTCAAACATCTACCCCAACAATGGTCCCTGTGGGTCTTGCTTCTGGTTCCTATGATGTCCAAATTACAGCTCATTATAAAGGAATATGAGCAGATGTATCTAAGTATTACCCATTTTCACCAAACTCAATGTTATCAATCATTATTTTAGAATGAAAATGCAAATCCTTGTATGTTGAGAAAAGCCTTTGTTTTCCATCTTCCCCAGGCCTTATTTAAAGCTCTTCACTGTGAATTATCTACCCTTGCTTCTGGGCTTCACATGGTGGAAGTCTTCATTGACTCTCGAGTCCCCCATTGTAATTTCTACTCTTTTTTATGTTGGCTGCCTCTGTGGGAGCAAGAGACTGAGTTTAATGCTCATAAGCAGAGATCACATTCAACCTACTAAGTTCAGAGCTTAACCTGTCTCTGTTTCTATAATAAGGGCTAGCAGAACCGAGTACAAAAATAAAGGCATAGGTCTGATTTTGTGTCTGAGCTGGGATTTCCTTCTGGTAGGTCCCTTCCTCAGGAGCTCTTTCTCACTTACTTTACAAATGTGTTCCTTAGGGAGCATTCATGCCATTATTCCTGTTAGAAATGCTTATTCCCCGGTGCTATAAAGAAATAGCACTTGAACATAAATTTAATTTCTTCCGCAAGGCCATTTTTATACTTTCTGCAGAAAGGGTACACTTGCCAGCAGTTTTGCCATGAGAGTACACCGAACAAAGGAGACAGGGTCATTTATAACCTGACGTGTCCACCCTGCTGCTATGCCCGGTTTCCATTGGCTGGAACGGGACCTCACATTCTGTATTTGTTCTGACTGACTAGCAACTTAGAACTTTTTTAAAGAGGCAAAGGCAGAGGAGAGCAAAGGAAGGAGGAAGTAACTTGGGGAATGCTGAGAAAGGTAAAATCACCTTCAAATAAGGAAGAGGAACAGGCTATGACCTAACGCTTGCTTGGACCAGTATAAGCTTGCCAGGGCAAATATTTAAACTAAATTGTGAGAGCTAAGAACATAAAGTACATTGATTTCTTTATTACGGTTAGCAGATGTTTAAGAATGTTAGCACAGGTCTTTGAATAAATTTTGCTTCTAAGAGAAGTTACTCGTTATTCCTAATTAGATGGGGAGGAAAGTCTTTGAAGAGGAACCTCTACTTTACTTTTTACATTCCAAATGAGGCCATCTAAAAAAATCCTGATGCTTTCTTCACAGGCTATTAAAGACATGTACTGTAGGTTACATCTCCAACAGAACATTATTTGACTAAATTTAATTTTTAAATATTGAATTTACTATAACTATCTGCTTGCAGGGTAAAGCAAGGGATACCTGGGCCCAAACAGCCTCCATCTTCCCCCCAACCTCCTTTCCTTCCTTCTGGGAGCCTTTCCTCCAGGTCTCTCTTCTGGCTTCTGAGTGAGAACGGTGCACAGTGAAAGGCAGGAAGAAAGGCATTTGGAGGCTGAAGGGCTCAAAACTAATTGAACACAGCGAAATCTGATGCACATTTTCATTTTCAACTTAAAATTTGACACCTAAATGATTCTTAAAGACTTTTTTTAAAAAAACAAGATTGGCTTATAAAATATGTTATCAATATTGCTAAATTCCAGACTACTCATTCCTCAAGGAGGGGATGCTGGTATTGCCATATTTGCAATGTGAAACCAGCTAGGCGGGTGCAGATTTTCTCTTTCCTTTGCAGCATGACGACGGCATTCTCTGACACACGGCTGAGAGGCGTGTCTTTCAAGACAGTGTGTCCGATGGAGGGAAATAACTGCTCTTCCCTTCCCTTCCGTTCAGGAGTGTCCCTGAGCTTTCTGCTACATTCCATGGCATCAGAGATGTCTTTTCTGAGGGAGAATAGTCCGTATCCTGTCTATAACTGCCTCCATTTGAGAACATATGTGTAGTTTCTCCCATGTGGTCCTTCTCAATAACTACAAGAAACAGGCAGAACAGAGGGATTTTCCTCCATTTGGCATCCTCTCTCCTTGCCAGGGCAGGGGACTCACAGACCAAGTCCTTCCCTGGCTGCCTCCCCTGGCGTCCCGTTCCCATCAGAGGACTGTGGCCTCTGGCCAGGGCAGGGGGAGGCACCTGGTGGGTCTGATGCTCCAGCTGCTGGTGTTCTCCAGTGGAGAGAGGTGCCTCTAGCAGGCATTACTCAACCACCCACAGGCTGGGGTTTCAGGCCGCCTGAACTGAATACACACACCTGGTGCCACTTAACTAGCTAGAACTCTCTCCCAGATGAGCTGGAATCCTTCCTCCCCTTACCCTTAACAGAGCACAGCTTGTTTTTACCTTCAAGACTCCTCCTTAAGAAGACTCCTGTCCGGGGGCAGTGGCTCATGCCTGTAACCCTAGCACTTTGGGAGGCCGAGATGGGCAGATCATTTGAGGTCAGGAGTTCGAGACCAGCCTGGCCATTATGGTGAAACCTCGCCTCTACTAAAAATACAAAAATTAGATGGACATGGTGGTGGGCACCCTTAATCCCAGCTACTCGGGAGGCTGAGAGAAGAATCACTTGAACCCAGGAGGTAGAGCTTGCCATGAGCCGAGATCACACCACTGCACTCCAGCCTGGGCGACAGAGCGAGACTCTGTCAAAAAAAAAAAAAAGAAAAAAGAAAAAAAAGCCTTTTTAGAGGGAGTATGATTTATTTTTAAAAAAATAATAACTTTCCAAATGTGATATCAGGAAAGCAAAATAGGACTCAGCATTTCCTCTGTGCTCCAGGGAAACATCAGGCATCTGAAGGAAGCTGTTAGGTTCTGGGGCCCTGGAGGCAAGGCATGTTCTTCTCTTGCTGCTTGAGGGTCATTGTGTGGTCCTGGGGACATGGCTATGTATGAGTCGGCAGGAGGAGAGACCCTCCCAGGGCCAGGTGGGGTTTGTCTGGGTCTCTGGTCAACCCCTGTTCCCCACAATTCCTGTTACACAAAATATTAGCCTCTCATTATCTGTCTTTTGAGCAGTTGAGGAACTTTCCATGAAGCCATTGGATTTGGGAGTGTGTCCCAGTGGAAATGATACCGTGCGCAGTGTTTAACACTCCTCCCTTGACCCCGTGTAGTGTTGTGGACTCACATTGTCTCCTGACATCAGTGAAATTAAGTCATTGATTGAAACTTCAAGATTCAGCTCTGCCTCTGACATTACGTCAGATGAATCACTTCACTTAATCTCGCCTGGTCACTCCTGACGATTTTCTCCTAAGAGGCGTCTGTGCATTTGAAATCATTAAGCCTCTGTATGTCATTAGCTCCCTCCGTCCCCTCTGGTTGGATTAGGAGCCCCATTTCTTATGCTGGAACAAAGCCCTGAAAAACGTGCAGTTCAGCAACAAACCCTGTCTGTGAGTGTCCTATGTAATTTAGAAGGACACGTGCCGTTGCTTACATTCAGGAAGCATGTGGTGGTGCCCTAGGACATGGGACAAGGGGACACAAGGAGACACAGAGATTCGCCAGCCTTCAGGGCCAGCAGTAGCAATTCAGATAGCAACAGCCTTTGCTTATCCATTTCTTCATTCTCCACCCCTTCAGTTGCTGAAAGTCTAAGACCCCCCACCGGGTCTTCATCAAACATCTGCTGGTGCCTACTCCATGGGTCCTCTTGTTCTTTATGTTCTAAGGCAGCCTTGCTGAGAGAGAGACACTTAGGGCACAATACAAACGAGACCTCAGGAATCCAGCAGGATTTCTGACAAGCTGCCAATGCTTTATTCAGCAAAGGGGGTGGGTTCTGACCCCAGGAGGGCATGGAGTGGGCACTCAGCACTTTCTTCCCAGAAGTGGAACCAGCACAGCGCCAGAGTCCTCCAGGCAGGGGGGTAGGCATCTCCCTACCTTGTTCTTTCCATGCTTTTAATGCCTGAAAATCTCTCTACTTCTCACATCCGCTTCTTGTCGCTCCTCTTTCTGAGAGATTATAGCTTAGGGACTGGACTGTAATCATGGATCCTAACTCATGGAAAATAGAGAAAAACCCTGAAAAAGAAACAGAATGTATCAACTTATTCTGCTCTGGAGAGAGGTAGCAATTTGAGGGATAGTTGAGGGTAACCTGATGGATAAGATTTTAGACTTCACAGAGCAGGGGCGGTAAGTGTACCCTTGAAGCATGATTCCTAGAAGTCTCTCAGAACCTGCTATCACAGAACCTATACATCCACACAAGCGCTGGCCTCAGATTTAAAGATGATTTTGTCTGTGGCCTCCCAGAAAGGCTTTTCCCAATGTCACTGCTGTCGCCCAGGCCAATTTTTTAATCTCTCTTGGGAATCTCTCCTGAGTCTTTGAGCCAATCTTTGAAAATGATCATGTGCAGTGAATCTTGATTCTTTCACAAGGGATTTGAATGGTGGCATTTTCTATTTGAAAATAGCAAAAACTCTCTTTCTACTTTATTGTTTTGTTTTTCCCTGACAATTTCCAAAAGGATCCGAAGCAGTAATAGTCAGAAGTTATGCGGAGTAAAAACAAAACAAAAAATTATTCGGATTGAAGGCAGGTTGATCAAGATAGCTGATACTGATTATGGGAAGAAAATAAGGTTTAACATTAGGCAGTGGGTGTCCTTAACTTACCCTGAAGGCCCTGAAAAAAGGTGAGCTCCCAAAACGGTGAGCCATGGAGGCATGGCTGGAATGAGGTCATGGTGTTATCAAGGTGCCTTCTTTGAAGGACAGCACTTCTGGGTAAATAAGCTTTGTCAGCGTATTTTCTAAATAGTAATCTAGCTCTGTGACTTCATAGTCATTCCTAAGTTCAATGTCATTACAAATCATACCATTTTGGACATTTGGAAAAATGTTTCCGATAGTATACCTTGGAGTCATTACAGAAACACAGGGTGTGAAAGAATATCTCTGATGTACAAGCTCCAATACAGGGATGAACTGGGCTGTGATGGGGCCAAGCTCATCTCCCTGGGGCGGACACAGGTCTATGCTGAGGAGTTTCCAGGGGCTTTTGGGCTGGGAGTTGTTCCTTCACTGGCTTGGTCAGGACGGGTCCGTATACTCAAGTTCTCCGTGCCGTGGGAGGCTCCCAAACACCAAAGGCTCGTGGAAATGAACTGAGTGGACCTAAGCCCAGCCTAAAGCATTGGGTTCACAGCGCTCCAGAGACTCCTTTCCATGGGAAGAGGGACGTGGGCAAGGAGCTGAGAAGCAGCCGTGGGGATGGCTTGGACATCTCTGTAGACCCCGCAGCCATCAAGGCAGGGTAACCCTGATCTCTCTCTGTCTCTAGAGAGGATGTGGAGGCGAGGAACTCTGCTTTCCTCTTCTGGCCACTGAAAGAAGCGGACACGCAGGATTCCAGAGAGCCAAGACGAGAGAAGCCCAGGAGGAAAAAGAGGCCCGCCAAGCAGCCACTCCAGCAGGCGGCGCCCTCGGACTCGGACGGCTCCTCCCACGGCATCAGCTCCCATGGGTCCTGCCAGGGGACACACCCCGAGCCCAGGGTTTGGGTGATGGGGGGGGAACACAACATCGCTTATCTCAGGAACACCCTGAAATCCCTTTCAAGAATAGTACACCTAACATCGTCCTTCAGATTCTGGGCCTGTTTAGGCTCCAGTGCAGCAAAGACCCTAACATCCTTAAGTAATGCTGAACTCTGCTTCCCCAGACAGCCCACCTCCACTTCCCCGCGGCCGGGCGTCTAGGACTCAGCAGCCACGCCATCATTGCCACACCTCCACCTCGAGCAGCCCTGCCCTGTACTCTCCAAGCCACCCACAGCAGCAAAGGGCTGAGGAGCGTCCCTGAGACACTTTAAGGCCGTCTGGTGGCAGCTATGTTTAAGAGACCAGCGTCCTTCCAGGCTGTTCAGACCTCAGCGTTGACACTGAAACTGGCCCCTCCGCGGAGGTAAGGCCGCCCTCCGCGCCGCCTATGCCTGCCCTGTCTGTAGCAAAGACTCCTCTCCCCTCCATCCCTGCTGCCTCCCCTACCCGTTTGACGACTTGGTTCTGGCTTTTTCTGACTGTTCTTTATCCTGTTTTCCCCCTGCACTCACAAAATTGTATTCCATCTTCTGGTAGACGCCCCACCCCCAGAAGTTTTAACCTGAAGGATGACTGTCACAGGACTTTCAAATTGTTTAGCAGTCAGCATAGTCAGGATCCAAGCCCGCAATCTTGTTTTAAATTAATTATCACATCTAAATTAGAGAATTTGTCACCCAATATTAGGACTGAAATTCAGACTCGGTAACTTGTCTGAGATCTGCAAGACTGAACATCCCCTACTGTATAGTTTCCTGACATTTTCATTTAGCCTTTCCTAATTATTTTTGTCTATAGTCTGTTGTAGGTAACTCTAATTGAGCCCGAAACCAGAATAAAAACTCTTACATTGGAAACATTTCAAAACCATTGGATTGTTGGATTATTTGTTACCATTTTTCTCTGAACACATTTTAGCAATGACATATGAAAGTATTCAGTTGTGTTTACTAACTTCAAAAATGAAATCGCTCCATCAAATTTCGTTTTTCTAGTCGGTAAGATCCCTGAGGCTAGATGAAAATAGAGCACAGGTCATCACTAGGGAAAATATTGGATGCTTTTTGCAAACAGAACAGATAGGGCTGAGTTCTGATACTCTAAAAATTTACAATCTAATTAAAAGTGGCATTCACATTCCTGAAAGCTAGGAGTAGCCAGGGTTATGGTGAAGAAATTAAAGAACTAATCCACTTCTAAAAATATGAAAAAAAAAAAATAAGGGACATGCGCTCAGCATCAGGCTAAAAACAATAATGCAGTGAGGAAGGAACTGAAGAGTGAGGGAATTGTTTGAAACAAGGCAAGGAACAGTGCTTGTGGGAGGCAGAGTACCTCCCAGAACTCAGACGTTTCCTCCCAGCAGGAAGGCTCTGGAGCAGTCTCCGCTAATGAGAGTTGTGTCCTGGAAGGAAGGAAGGGTATGAGGGTCTGAAGGAAGCAAGGTGTCTGGTCTGGAGAACTAGTGGAGCAGTTTAGAAACCACCCAGTCATAGGCATTGGTTCATTTATTCATACGTGCATGCATGTGAGCCTGCGTACATTCATTCAATTATTCAACAAGCAATTTGAGTGCTGACAGCCTGCCAGGCTCCAGAGAGATGCCAGCAGACTTGGAAGGTGGTTATCTTCCCTCTGTACCCATCTCGCTCTCTTCGTCTCCACTTTCTCATTGGAACAATCACTGGTGTCTGGTGGTGGGGTATGAGCAGAGACAAATGACTACAGGGCAAATATATACAATGCTAGTTGCATTGGTGTTACATTGCAGTGCACAAGGCCATCATTTGATGTGTTCAATGATAGTGCCTACTTCAGTGTAATGGAGGAAGTTGCAATTACAACGGTGAACTTCCACCTCCAACCAATACAGAATGGCAGCAACTAGAATTACACTCCCACCAAAACAACTAACACACCTGCTAAAATATATGTAACAACAGTTTCCAAAACACTGGGCGTCAGGTGATAAGGACAGTGCTCTTTGAGAGATAAATGTGATGAGCCCTGTGCATTTCCCAGTCGCTTCCTGGAGATATTTCCAGGCTGCAGCATAGGGAGGGGGAACCCAAACACAGCCCGGCAGCCTCTGTGAGCTGAGGAGATGGAAATGGAATTCTGAGGACACCAAGGTAGCTGGAGTTTACCAGGGTCAGGGCTGGTGAGCAGAGAGCTACAGAGAGAAAGCTCGCTGGAGACCTGCGGAGTGGCCCTCTTCAGTCTTCAGCTAATAAGTGCATGGCTGTGAGGAAATTACTGAAGACCAGAGAAAGGACCACTCAAAGTGATTACAAGGAACAATTCCTATGGTTTACACAGGGCTGGGAATATTTCCTGTTTCCTTCAACCAAAGTGGAAAATATTATTCATGGGGCATCGGATAAAGTATTCAGGAGTTTGTCTCAATAGTGGAGCAAAACTGGCATTTGACTAAATGTTTCCGTGGTCCCAGCCTAACAAAGCTGAAAAGCAAGCCTGGGAAGGATCAAACCTGTTTCCAAATACCTGTGTCCCAGAACAAAGATCAAGGATATTTATAGGGATACAAAAATATCCATCATCCAACAAGGTACAATTTACAATGTCTGACATCCAATCAAAGACTGGCCTAAAGACAGGCATGAAAAACAGCAAGAAAATAACCCATAATAAAGAGAAAAGCTGGCCGGACTTGGTGGCTCACGCCTGTTATCCCAGCACTTTGGGAGGCCGAGGTGGGTGGATCACCTGAGCTCAGGAGTTCAAGACCAGCCTGGCCAACATGGTGAAACCCTGTCTCTACTAAAAATACAAAAATTAGCTGGGTGTGGTGGCTTGCACCTGTAATCCCAGTTACTTGGGAGGAGAGGCTGAGGCAAAAGAATCGCTTGAACCCAGGAGGTTACTCCGGAGCAAGAGTCCATCTCAAAAAAAAAAAAAGAAAAAAAAGAGAAGCCAATTGGAATCAGCTCCGGAATGACACAGACAATGAAAAGTACCAGAAATGGCAACTGATGGTATATATATGAAAGACTTTCTTTTCTTACCATTTAAATCTCCTTTAAAGATAATTGGCTTTATAGAGTAATGTCGATAGTACATTAATGCATTTTCATAAATCCTTGAACATGCACCTGGATGCATTCATTGCCTCAGATGATTTGCACATTTGATTTTTTTGCTGAATAAATCTGTACTTTTAGCATATACCAGAAGTAATAAAAGGGGTTCAATCTGTTAAACACACTCACAGACACACACAATAATAATAGTGATGATAATAATAATACCTATGTATCTAGATTTTATGGCCACCCTATATAATAGGCCAGGATCACAAGCCAGGGGCAGTGGGTGATTGCTATAGGGATGGAGTGATTGAAAACCAGATGTAAACTATGTGGAATGGGTACAAGGTGAATCCTTGAAACAGAAGGATGTTCTTCAGAAGAAAGGGAACAGATATTCAAAAAGAGACTGGATCACCAATTAAGTGATGTAAAAAAGATTCCATACTTCAAGTGAGAGTCATCTACATACTTCTAAGCTCCTTTCCAACTCTAGGAGTCTACAGCTCAATGACACAGTCTATTGCCAACTCAGAGCATTTCCACATAGATGAAAAACTGTCCTTATAAAAGGTGGATGGGTTGTAGCCAACAAAACTAGACAAGAGAAATCAATTAGAGGAATAATAATTGGAAAAGAAGGAAAATGATGTTTGCACATGATAAAAGACAACACCTGAAAATTCTGAATCAATAACACTAATCCAAACAAAAGAATTCAGTGAGACGAAGGATATAAATTTAATACACAGAAATCGATATACACAAATCATGATCGATTAGAAGATATGTTGATAGTGAAAAACCTCATTTACAATGACAACAAAGAAACTAAAATGCAGTTGATTCTCACTATTCATGTAGTTACGTTCTATACAGTGGCATCTAACACTGAATACTGAATCATTTTTCCTAGGAGACACACAAGATTAGGTTCCTGCAGGCCGCTGGTCACCATATTTTCATCAACTAATCAATATGTAACTTTGTTTTTGTGTGTTTCTGTTCAAAGGTATCTTAATATATATTGCTGACTCATTAACATACTCATGCCCAACCCTATAAGCATGTTTACAGTAGGAGAGCTAAAACAAGAAGGCAGTAGGCAGATTTTTTCACTTCTTTGAGCATGCACCTGTCTGCAAACATGCCTTGAGCATTGATTTTGAGGTTACAAATAAGTTTTAGCAGTGATATGGTTTCCACCCCAAAATCACATGTCAAATTATAATTTCTGGCTGGGCGCGGTGGCTCATGCCTGTAATTCCAGCACTTTGGGAGGCCAAAACTGGTGGATCATTTGAGCTCAGAAGTTCAAGACCAGCCTGGGCAACATGGCAAAACCCTGTCTCTGCCAAAAATACAAAAAAATTGCTGGGTGTGGTGACACACGCCTGTAGTCTCAGCTACTTGGGGTGGGGCTGAAGTGGGAGAATGGCTTGAACCCGTGAGGCAGAGGTTGCAGTGAGCCAAGATCATGCCACTGTACCCCAGCGTGGGCAACAAAGTGAAACTCTGTCTCAAAAAAAAAAAAAAAAAAAGTGTAATCCCCAATGTTTGAGGAGGGCCTGGTGGGAGGGTGATTAGATCATGGGGGTGGAGTTCTCATTAATGCTTTAGTACCATCCCTCCTGGGTACTGTATAGTGACTGAGTTCTTAGGAGATCGGTTGTTTAAAATATGTAGCACCTCCCCTCCCCTCTCTTCCTTCTGCTCTGGCCTTGTAAGTACTGGCTCCTTCTTCACCTTCCACCATAATTGGAAGCTTCCTGAGGCCTCCCCAGAAGCAGATGCTGCCATGCTTCCTGTACATCCTGCGGAACCATGAGCCAATTAAACCTCTTTTCTTTATAAATTACCCAGTCTCTAGTATTTCTTTATCACAATGTGAGAATGGACTAATATAAGCAGGTAGGTGAATTCACAAATATGGAACCTGTAAATAGTGAGCATGGACTGTACCTAGAATAAACTTAACAAGAAATGTGCAAAACCAATGCATGAAAAGCTTTGAAACACTCTTGAAAGATACAAAAGTAGACTGGAACATCCTTTGTTTTAGATAGGATGACTGAACATCATGAAGATGATAGTTCCCCCTGAGTTCATGTATTACTATAACACAATCCAAGTAAAAACAACAGCAAACGTTTTATGAGGCTTGAAAAGTTTATAGTAAAGTGGTAAACCAAAAATAAAATTCTAAACCCCCCCCAGCCATCTGAGTGGCCTTCCTCCTAGGCCAGAGCACTCTAAAGTTTAACGTGAAAGACTGGTTCAGGCCCTGAGGGGAAGTGGGGGTCGGAGGTGCCTCATTATACCCTCCAGCATTAACATCAACACAGACCTTAAGCCTGATAAGAAACATTTACAATCTATTCTCTCTGAAGCCTGCTACCTGGAGGCTTCATCAGCATGATAAAACTTTGGTCTCAACAACCTCTTATGGTAACCCAGACATTCCCTTCCCTTGATAATAAGTCTTTCAACCAATTGCCAATCAGAAAAATTTCAAATCTACCTATAACCTGGTAGCCCCCACTTTGAATTGTCCTGCCTTTCTGGAACGAACCATTCTATATCTTAAAGGTATTTAATTGATGTCTCATGTCTCCCTAAAATGTATAAAATCAAGCTGAACCCTGACCACCTTAGGCACATGTCCTCAGGATCTCCTGAGGGCTGTGTCACGGGCCATGGTCACTCATATTTGGCTCAGAATAAATCTCTACAAATATTTTACAGAGTTTAACTCTTTTTGTCAACAAAGTTCATATGGAAAAAGAAATGTGAGTAGCTAAGAAAATTCTGAAAAATAAAGCTATGGGGAGGAACTTATGTTAGCATATTAAACACTATGATATCTGTATGGTTAAAATAGTGTGGCACCAATGAGATATCATCTCACACCAGTCAGAATGGCTATTATTAAAAGTAAAGAAAATAACAGATGCTGGTGAGGTTGTGGAGAAAAAGGAATGCTTTTACACAGTTGGTGGGAGTGTAAATTAGTTCAACCATTGTGGAAGACTGTGTGGCAATTCCTCAAAGACCTAAAGACAGAAATACAATTTGACCCAGCAATCCCATTACTCGCTTTATACCCAAAGAAATATAAATTTTTTATTATAAATACACATGTATGTGTATGTTTATTTCAGTACTATTCACAATAGCAAAGACATGGAATTAACCCAAATGCCCATCAATGATAGACTGGATAAAGAAAATATGGTACATATACACCATGGAATACTATGCAGCCATAAAAAAGAATGAGATAATGTCCTTTACAGGGACATAGATGAAACTGGAGGCCATTGTCCTCAGCAAACTAACACAGGAACAGAAAACCAAATACTGCATGTTCTCACTTATAAGTGGGAACTAAATGATGAGAACACATGGACACATGGTGGAGGGAACAAAACACACTGTGGCGTATCAGAGGGTTGAAGAGTGAGAGGAGGGAGAGAAACAGAAAAAATAACTAATGGATACTAAACTTAATACCTGGGTGATGAAATAATCTGTATAACCAATCCCCATGAAACACATTTACCTATGTAACAAACCTGCACATGTACCCCTGAACTTAAAAGTTAAAAAAATAATAGTGTGGTACTATCACAAGGAAAGGCAAATGGACTAGGTGTCCAAAAAAGACATAATATATATTATTTATCTATCATCTATCTGTCAGTCTATCTACCTATCTATATATCTGCAATTGTCCCTCAGTACTTAAGAGATTGGTTCCAGCAACCCCTTGGATACCAAAATCTGAGAATGCTCAAGCCCTGCAGTTGGCCCTGTGGAACCCATGGATATGAAAAGTCAGCCCTCCATATTTATGGGTTCCACATCCCACGAATAGTGTAATTTGCAATCCACAGTTGGTTGAATCCACAGATGAAGAACCTGAGGATACAGAGGACTGGCTATATTTGGAAATGTTGTATATTATAAAGGTGGCATCTCAAATCACTGAAACTTTAATAACAGGTACTAGGACAATGGATAGCCATTGGAAAACAATAAAATTAGATCCATGCCTCACACCACATACAAGAATAAACTCCAAATGGATAAAAGAAAAAAAAAAAGCAGACAGGTACTAGAAGAAAACATGAGTGAATTCTAACTCAAATTCCAGGTGCAATAAAATGTTGCTAACCTTGACTAGATAAAAATGCATTTTTAAAAATATATTTCCAAAGACAACATAAAGAAAGTCAAAAGACAAATGACAAATGGAGAGAAAGTATTTGCACTAAATAGCAGACAAAGGGCTGGAGTCTGTAAAATACAAAGAACTCTTTAAAATTCAATGAAAAAACTGACCAAAGACCTGGCAGAAAAATAGGCAAAAGACAATGAACTATCTATAAAGCTGTAAGAATGGATCTAAAAATATGAAAAGATGTTTAACTTCACTCATGATAAGAGAAAAACAAATTAAAACTAGACTTAGGCCAGACACAGTGACTCACATTTATAATCCCAACACTTTGGGAGTCTGAGATGGGTGGATAAAATGAGGCTAGGAGTTCAAGACCCATCTAGACAGCAAGGCAAAACCTCATCTCTACTAAAAATATAAAAATTAGCCATGCATGGTGGTGCATGCCTGTAATCCTAGCTACTTGGGAGGCTGAGGCATGAGAATGGCTTGAACCTGGTAGGCAGAGGTTGCAATGAGCCTAGATCACGCCACTGCACTCCAACCTGGGTGACAGAGTGAGACTCCATCACACACACACACACACACACACACACACACACTCACACAACAAAACAAAAAAACTACATTTAGAGAACTGTCAATAATGTGCCAATATGAAGTAATCATGCAAATACTTTTACAGGTAACAATTTTAAGATCTCGATATGGTTTGGCTGTGTCCCCACCCAAATCTCATCTTGAATTGTAACTCCCATAATTCCCATGTGTCATGGGAGGGGCCAAGTGGGAGGTAATTGAATCATGGGGCTGGTCTTTCCCATGCTATTCTTGTGATAGTAACAAGTCTCATGAGAGCTGATGGTTTCATGAAGGGGCAGTCCCCTGCACACACTCTCTTGCCTGCCACCAAGTAAGTCATGGCTTTCCTCCTCCTTTACCTTCCACCGTGATTGTGAGGCTTCCCCAGCTATGTGGAACTGTGAGTCCATTAAATCGCTTTTCTTTCTAAATTAGCCAGTCTCGGGTATGTCTTTATTAGCAGCATGAGAACAGACTAATACAGTAAATTGGTGCCAGGAGTGGGGTGCTGCTGTAAAGATACCAGAAAATATGGAGGCAACTTTGGAACTGGATAACAGGCAGAGGTTGGAACAGTTTGGAGGACTCAGAAAAAGACAGGAAAATGTTGGAAAGTTTGGAACTTCCTAGAGACTCATTGAATGGCTTTGACTAAAATGCTGACAGTGATATGGACAATAAAGTCCAGGCTGTGGTGGACTCAGATGGAGATGAGGAAATTGTTGGGAACTGTAGTAAAGGTTGCCTTTGCTATGCAAAGAGACTGGCAGCATTTTGCCTCTGCTCTAGAGATCTGTGGAACTTTGAAATTGAGAGAGATGATTTAGGGTATCTGGTGGAAGAAATTTCTAAGCAGCAAAGCACTCAAGAGGTGACAGAGCGTAGAAGTTCGGAAAATTTGCAGCCCAATGATGCAATAGGAGAGAAAACGCCATTTTCTGGGGAGAAATTCCAGCCAACTGCAGAAATATGCATAAGTAATGAGGAGCCAAATGCTAATCACCAAGACAATGGGGAAAATGTCTCCAGGCCCTGTCAGAGACCTTCATGGCAGCCCCTCCCATCACAGGCCTAGAGGCGTAGGACGGAAAAAATGGTTTTGTGGACTGGGCCCAGGACACCTCTGCTCTATGCAGCCTTCAAACAGGGTGCTCTGCATCCCAGCTGTTTCAGCTTCAGCCATGAGGTCAGTGTACAGCTCAGGCTGTTGCTTCAGAGGATGCAAGCACCAAACCTTTGCAGCTTACAAGTGGTGTTGGGCCTGTGGGTGCAAAGAAGTCAAGAACTGAAGTTTTGGAACCTCTGCCTAGATTTCGGAGGATGTTTGGAAATGCCTGGATGCCCAGGCAGAAGTTTGCTTCAGGGATGGGGCCCTCATGGAGAACCTCTGCTAGGGCAGTGCAGAAGGAAAATGTGGGGTCAGATCCCCCACACAGAGTCCCTACTGAGGCATTGCCTAGTGGAGCTGTGAGAAGAGGGCCACTGTTCTCCAGATCCCAGAATGGTAGGTCCACCAACAGCTTGCACCATGCACCTGGAAAAGCCACTGACACTCAATACCAGCCATAAAAGCAACCAGAAATGGGGCTGTACTCTGAAAAGTCCCCCTTGTGGCAGAGCTGCCCAAGGCCGGGGAAGCTTATCTCTTGCATCAGCATGACCTGGATGTGAGACGTGGAGTGAAAAGACATCATTTCAGAGCTTTAAGATGTGACTGCCCTAACTCCTTCATTTTGGCCAATTTCTCTCATTTGGAATGGTTGTATTAATAACTTGCTTTTGATTATACAGGCTCTCAGGCAGAATGGACTTGCCTTGTGTCAGATGAGACTTTGGACTGTGGACTTCTGAGTTAATGCTGAAATGAGTTAAGACTTTGGGGTACTGTTGGGAAAGCATGATTGGTTTTGATATGTAAAGACATGAGATTTGGGAGGGGCTAGTGGTGGAATGATATGGTTTGGCTGTGTCCCCATCCAAATCTCATCTTGAATTTTAGCTCCCATAATTCCCACATGTCATGGGAGGGACCCAGTGGGAGGTAATTGAATCATGGGGGCAGGTCTTTCCCATGCTGTTCTTGTGATAGGGATAAGTCTCATGAGAGCTGATGATTTCATAAAGGGGAGTTCCCTGCACATGCTCTCTTGCCTGCTTCCATGTAAGTCATGCCTTTTTTCCTCCCTTGCCTTCTGCCATGATTGTGAGGCCTCCCCAGCCATGTGGAACTGTGAGTCCATTACACTTCTTTCCTTTCTGAGAACAAACTAATAAGACCTGGATAAATTTTTTTAAGTTACCTCTATTTAAAGGCACAATAAAATGCTCAAGAACAGAGAGAAGCTGCTGGAGAGTTTATTCTTTAAAACTGCAAATGGAGAAGGAAAGAATTGTGAGTTTGTGACATTCTGGCCTGAGGGCACTCCCCAACTTTCAGGGTCAAGGCAACAAAAAACTATAGCCTAACTGGCTCAAGGTGCCAGAAATAAGAGTTCAGGGCTAGAAAAAAAGTGGAAGTTTAAAGAAAAACGCTCAGCATCAAGAAACTACAGTAAGAGTGAATCATAAAACCTAAGTATGAACTTTGCCCTGATTCCTAGCTAGCCCCTAAATTAGGCATGTACAAGAGAGAACCCAGGGAACTCTGTGAAAAAATTAGGCAGAAACTAGAGAGGAATCTACTGTTCAGAAACAAAGCTGCACAGGGAAAGGTCTGTGTGTTTGCTGCTTTTTAACTGAAATGCATTTGCAAGCCATGTGCAGCTTGGGCAGCAGTAATCTAATGTCTTATGGGCTTAAAGTACCAGGGGACAGAACCCAAGTCTAGAAAAACAGATGGAAATTTAAGCAAGGGAACCACTAAAAGAGTGAGCCCTCAAAGCTGCCCAAATCCCTGGATGACCACTATATTATGTAGGCATAGGGAAAACACCCAAGGTGCCAGGATAAAAGCAGCAATTTGAAGCCATAAGAACAGACTAGAGATGTGAACTCCTTCATATTACAAGAGAAAAAAGTTTGCAGTTTGAGTCCAGGCAAGTTGACTGCCTACTAGAATTGAAAATAAAAAATTAAGTGTACGAAAAACAACCACACACACACACACAAGAAAAACCCTTAAGAACACAACAGAATCCAGAATCACTAGAATATATTGCCTGCAGTCCAATTTTGAACCAAAATTTAGTAGGCATGCAAAGAAACAGGAAAATGTATTCTATTCTTATGATAAAAGACAAACATTCAATAAAAATTTTGATTTATTCCAGTTGTTGTATAGCAGACATCAAAGTAGCTACTATAAAAGAAAGAGTATCAATGAAGAAATGGGTAATCTCAATACAGAAATGAAGGTATTAAAATGCCAGTGGAAAATTCGAGAGCTAAAAGTTACTACATAAAGTACACTAAATAGACTGAGCAGCAAAATGGAAAAGGCAGAAGAATTATTGAATTTGAATATAGATTGATAAAATTTACTCAATCCAAAAAAACAAATAAAAAGGGAAAGAATATTGAAAAAAGTTAACAGAACCTCAGAGACCCATGGAATAATTTCAGGCATTTCAAATTATGTATAATTGGAGACCTAGAAGAGGAGGAGATAGAAAAAGAGAAAGAAAAAAAAAATCACTGGAGACAAAATAACTGAAAACTTCCAAAATGTGGTAGAAAATGTTAATAGATTCGAGAAGCCTAAGGAACCTCAAAACATGATAAACATAAAGAAATTACTCCTACACACATCATAGTCAGACTGCTAACAAGGAAATATTGAAACCAGAGAAAAGAACCACATATTACAGTCAGAGGAAGATTGACATGATTACAGATGACTTCTCAACAAAAGCTATAGGCACTGGAGGATATTGGAATGGCATAGTGCAAAAAGAAAAGAATTTAAGAACCTATCAGCAAAGAATTGTATATGCAGTAAAACTAGCCTTCAAAATGAAGGTGAGAGGAGTTCCACTTCCAGTATATTCAAATAAATTCTTAAGAAAGACCCTCCACCAAAGTAAGCAGATTCTGATGTGGTGAGCATCCTGTTATTACATATTTTAGCTTAAGGGCAGGCTAAGAAAAGACATGGTAAGTACCACACGTGGAGGCTTAAACTCTGAATGAAGACTTACAGTCTTTCTGGCTTGAAAAACCAGAAAACAGAGTTTGGGAAAACTACAGCTCTTAGAGTATACAGAGAGAATAACAGCAAGGAAAGATCCAAAGACAAGGAGCCATAGATTTTGTGCATAAACTTGGCCCACGTCTCTGACACTTTTTTTTTTTTTAGACTAAATCTTGCTCTGTCACGTAGGTTGGAGTCCAGTTGTGCAATCTTAGCTCACTGCAATCTCTGCCTCCCAAGTTCAAACCATTCTCCTGCCTCAGCTTCCCAAGTAGCTGGGACTACAGGAATGCACCACCACACTCAGCTAATTTTTGTATTTTTAGTAGAGATGAGGTTTCGCTGTGTTGGCCAGACTAGTCTTGAACTCCTGACCTCAAGTGATCCACCCATGTCAGCTTCCCAGAGTGCTGGGATTAGAGGTGTGAGTCACCACAGCCAGCCTCTAACTTCTTAACCATATATGCACAGACAGATTGCAAACAGATCAATTAAGGGTAAGAGAGCTAAATTGAAATTTTAACTGCCACTCAAGAGGCAGCATTTTCAGTATAAGTTCAAGAAAGTTAATTGTCTGCTAAAACAAAAATAACAAGTCTTCTGAGGAATGTAACAGAATTCAGAGTCTCTACAACCTAACATTTATAAAGTATGGGTTAAAATTCTAAGTTATTCACCATGTAACCATGAAAATGTGATCTCCCAGTTTCCAAAGAAAAAATATAAGCCAATTAACCCTGAGATGATCCAGCTGTTGGATTATCAGACAAGGACTTCATGGCAGCTATAATAACTATGTTCATTAAAGTCAAAGAAAATATGCTTATAATAAACTATTAAAAAACAAACAAATGAAAATTCCAGAACTAAAAAATACAATGTCTTAATGTTAAAAAAAAAAAATCCACTGGATGGGCTTAAGAACAGAATAGAAATGACAGAGGAGTCAGTGGCTCTGAGACTGATCAATAGAAATTGTCAAATCTGAAAAAGAGATACAAGATTTAAATAAATAGGACTTCAGAAACTGTGGGGAAATACACACTTTGTAATCCGAGTTTTAAGATGAGAAGAGAGAGATAACGGGGAAAAATATTTGGAGAAATAATGGCTGTAAATCTCTCAAATTTGTCTAAAGATGTAAATTTATAGATCCAAGAAGTTCAGTGAATCCCAGAGTAAATAGGAAGTAAATCATTCCGTCATAGTCACAATGTTGAAAACCAAACAAGGAGAAAAAAATCTTGACAGCTGCCAGAATAAAAAACGACACATCACATAAAGGGGAATAATAATTAGAAACCACTGGCTTTTCATCAGCACCTATAAAGGCGATGCCCCTGCAGTGGGACAATATCATTAAAGTGCTGAAAGAAAAGAAAACCTCTCAACCCAAAATTCCACATCAAGTGAAAATAACCTCAAAAATTAGAGCAAAATGAAGACTTTTGCAGATAAAAGTAAGCCAAAAGAATATATCATCAGAAGAATTGCACTGTAAGAAATGCTAAAGGAAATTCCTCAGGCTGATGGGAATTGATAGAAAACAGAAAATCGTATCTTAAGGTTGAGATGAACGGGATCTGAAATAACAATTACCCAGGTGAATATTTTCAAATATTTTTCTGTGTATTTCCTTAATATACATATAGTTATAATACACATGGCGACATGGCAACTATGGCACAAATAGGAACACGTGGAGGGGTGAATGGACATACATGGTTGCAAGGCTTTTGCTTCTTATATAGTTGTAGATTTTAACTTCTTTCTCTCAACACTTCCTAGAACAAGTAGACCAAAACCAAAAACCAGTAGAGATTATCTCAACCATCTTGACCTGTATGCCAAATCCCAGATAATATATTTATTTTCAAGTATGCTTGTTGCTTTCACCAAGTCAGTCCATGTGCTTGGCCATAAACCAAGTTCCAATAAATTTAAAAGAATTGCAGTCATATAAAGTGTGTTCTTGGCCCACAGTGAAATTAAATGAAAAGCCAATAACAATAAAATATTTATGAAAATCTCAAAATATTTGGAAATGAGACATATATTTCTAAAAATCCATGCAACAAAGAAGAAATCGCAAGGTAAAATGACAACCACAAAAATTAGTTATTTGAAATAAACAAACAACATAGATAAACCTCTAATTAGCAAGAAAAAAGAGAAAACACAAATACAAAGGGGTTATCACTACTAGAGTGCATACAGACATTCAAATCATAATAAAATAATATTATGGACAAACTATTTCCTGAAAATTCAAAAATGAAGATAAAATAAACCTTGAAGAATATAACCAACCAAAACTGACATAAAATGAAACAAAGTATAAATTACCTTATATCTATGAAAGAAAGTAAATTTGCTATCAAAACCCTTTTTACAAAAGAAGCTCCAGGCCCAGATGGTTTAGCTGGTGAATTTTATCAAATATTTGAAGACAAAATTATAGGCTGGGCATGGCAGCTTACACCTGTAATGCCAGCACTTTGGGAGGCTGAGGCAGGAGGATTGCTTGAACTCAGGATTTCGAGACCAGCCTGGGAAACATAGTAAGACCCCATCTCTACAAAAAATAAAATAATTAGCCAGGCGTGGTGGCATGCACCTGTGGTCCCAGTTAGGAGGCTGGAGTGGGAGGATCACTTGAGCCCAGAAGGTCGAGGCTGCAGTGAGCCAAGATTGTGCCACTGCACTCCAGCCTGGGCAACAGAGTGAGACCCTATCTCAAGAAAATAAATAAATAAATATGAAATAATAACAATCTTACACAAACTCTTTCAGAAAATGGGGGAGGAATAGGGGAAGGGGCCAGAAGTCAAGCAATGCAGACAGCCTCTAGAAGCCAGAAAAGATAAACAGATTCTCAACCTGAAGCTTTGAGAAGAAGGCTGCCAACACCATGATTTTAAGAATTCTGACCTCTGGAAATGCAAGAGAATAAATTTCTGTTGTTTTGAGTCACTTGAAAAAAAAAAAAAAGTAGGCCAGGTGCAGAGACTCACGCCTGTAATCCCAGCACTTTGGGAAGCCGAGCCAGGCAGATTGCTTGAATCCAGGAGTTTGAGACCAGCCTGGGCAACATGGCGAAACCTGTCTCTACTAAAAATACAAAACTAGCCAGGCATGGTGGCACATGCCTGTAGTCCCAGCTACTTGGGAGGCTGAGGTGAGAGGATCACTTGAGCCAGGGAGGTTGAGGCTGCAGTGAGCCAAGATGATGACACTGCACTCCGGCCTGGGCAACAGAGCAAGACCCTGTCTCTAAAACAAACAAACAAAAGATATAAAAAACAAGAAAAAAAAGTAAAGAAAATAAGGGAGAAGGTAACATTTCTCAACTCGTTTTATGAGCCCAGTTCAACTCAAATCTCAACAAAGATTACAATGAAAGCAAATTAGTATATAAGCAAATCAAAGCCAGTAATGCCTAAAACAGAAGCTAACTCTGTCATGACCAAGTTAAATTCATACAAGAAATAAAAGACTGTTTTAACAATCAAAACTCTATGTAATTCAGTTAATTCCAGTTGAAGAGCTCTTCTGAATAGGTGGAGAAAAATGTATTTGACATAATTCAAGATCCATTCACAATACAAACTTTCAGGAAAACAGGAAAAGAACTTCCTCAAACTGATGAAGGGCATGGTTATAGAAATCAGTCAAAGACAACCTCTGTGTGTTGGTCTCTAGGTTGTTTATTTCTTCTGTACTAGATGAGACCTGTTAGCTCAAAGTCTGTCAGCAACAAACTCAAATTTTTGCACATCCAATTATTCTTAAAATGCTTGTTTTAAAAAACAAGCATACGTTCAGCCATTTATATTCTGTGTGCTTCACGTACCCCACGAAACCTCATCCGACAGCTGTTACCTATTGCTCAGATAGGGCCCTGACATTGTAAGCCCTGAAACCACTGCTGCCCTTCAGGGGTTTCTAACAGAGACTCCCCACTATGCTACTGAGCAACATCACCAAGGCACCTGTTTCTGATGCCCTGTCTCTTGCCCTCCTTCTGTGGGTGGCCCCTTACCACAAGCCTCTGGGAGGTCTCATGCTACAAGGGACCTCACCTCTCATTCAACCCTGTCCAAGTGCCACCCAATAAAGTTTTGTGTGTGTTACTGCCACTCATGGTGATATTTTTTTTCTTGATCAGTCCCCAAATCCCTCGAACCCCCTATAAATATCCACAAAAAAAATCTACAGGTATCATCATACTTAACAGTGAATCAATGAATGCTTTTCTGCTATGATTGGGAACAAGCCAAGGATGCCCACTGTGACCACTTCTGTTAAACATTGTACTGAGCAAGGTCCTGGCCACTGCAATAAGGCAAGAAAAAGAAAAGGCATAAAGATCAGGAAAAAAGCAAAAATATTTATATTTGCTAGGTCATAATTATTTATATAGAAACTCCTAAGACATATTCACTACTACTATTAGAATTTATAAGTGACTTTAGCAAAGTTGCAGGATATAAAGTCAATATACAAAACTCAATTGTATTTCTATGTATAAATAACAAGTCATTGAAAATAAAATCTTAAAATTTTTAATTTAAAATAGTGTCAAAAACCACAAAGTATTTAGTAATAAATTTAGCCAAAGAAGAACCTCTACCTTGAAAACTAAAACATTCTTCAGAGAAATTAAAGATCAAAATAAGTAGATAAATCAAGTTCATAGATTGGGGGGAAAAGATCAACATTATTAAGATGTCAATTCTCCCCCAAACCTCTATAAATTCAATGATATTCCACACATAGTTCCAGCAGGTTTGTTGACAGAAACTAGGAATCTTATTCTAAAATACATGTAGAAATATAAAGGAACTAAAATTTCCAAATCATTCTTAATAAAATACCATGAAGTTGGGGGATTTAACCTACCTCATCTCAAGGCCTACTTTAAAGCTACATTAAACAATAAGGTGTGGTTTTGGTGAAAGGATTGCCATATAGATCAACTGAATGAAAAATAGTCCAAAAAAGGACCCACACACATATATGGTCAACTGATTTTCAACAAAAGTCCCAAGGCAATTTGATGGGGCAGAGAAAGTCTTTTCAACAAATGATAATTAGAAAAACTGGATATTCATATGGGGAAAAAATGACCATAAACAATAAATCACACCATAAATAAAAATTCACAGGAAATAGATTAGATCATAGACATAAATGTAAAAGCTAAAACTACAAAATATCTAAAACTTAGGAAGAAATATTTGTGACCATGGAGGTAGGCTAATGTTTATTTGTCAAGTTACAAAAATCACTAAACATAAACGAAAAAATTGATGTTTGTCTCCATTAAAATTCGAAACTTCTACTCAAAAAAAGATACTAACAAGGAAACAAATAAGCAAACCACAGACGGAGAGAAAATATTTGCAATACGTATTATTTGATAAAGGACTGGTTTCTAGGATATAAAATAACTCTTACAACTCAGTAGTAAAAAGGCAAACAACCCTTTTTTTTTAATGGGCAAGATCTTAAAAGTGGATCTATGACTGGCCATAAGTACATGAAGAGTAGATCTCCATCATTAGCCATCAGGGAAATTATGGTAGTCACCAGGAAAAACCTTATGTGTCAATTTAGCTAGGCCACGGTGCTCAGTTATTCAAGAAAACACTTCTAGGTATTGTGAAGGTATCTTGTAGATGGGATTGAGGTCCATGGTCAGTTGACGTTAAACAAGGGAAGCTATCCTAGATAATCTGGGTGGGCCTGGCTCAATCAGTCGAAAGGCCTTAAGAACAGACCTGATGTATTGTGTCCTTTATGAAGAAGAAATTCCATCTGTGGGCAGCAGTTCCTGCCCGTGCCCAAGAGTCTCAGCCTGCCCTTCCTGACTGCCTGCCCCACACATTTCACTTTGGCTGGGCTGCAGAGTGTAAAGATGGGTGATAAGAAGGATGTCGTTTGACAGCCTTCAGGAAATGCTACCAGAGAGGCTGACTCCATCTGAATGATGCTGTACTGTGATCTCCGGACCTATGAGAACTAAGGCAGAAACATCACATACCCTACAACATCTGGGACTGCTGCTCTCACGTGGGTCTCCTGGCACATTAGAGTCACCATCTTCCAAGGGAGGGACTGCATGGAGCTATTCAAGGTGCAGGGGATATTCTAATGCTAGACAGCCAACATCAGACATTTGCTTACACCCATTTCCAGCCCCCAGCCTCCAAGGGGAAGCTCAGGTCTAACTAAGGGGCTCTTTTCCCTTACTTTCCTAAGGGCTGGGATTTACTTGGAGGATGGTGGTCCGGAGACTTATAGTCCCAGGACTGCTCTAGGAAGTGGATTGAATAATTCTCTCTCCCCTCTTTACCACATCTCCTCTCCTTGTTAATTTATTTATCCTACACCTTGTGCCCATCAGAGAAACATCTCGTTTGCTGTTTTGCTGTGACTGAGATCCTGAAAATCACATCAGGTTGCACCAACTCTCAATTCTTAAGGTCCATCTGGTGCCTTTGCTCCCTGGGCACTGATCTGCCTCCAGCCTACTTTCTGTATGAGTTGTCTGTATTCATATTTGTATTGTTCTAGACACACCTCTGGGAAGGTTTCTGCTCACTCCCCATCAAAGCTTGGAAGCCGTGGCAAGGCGGTATTTCATCAGGAATCTTCACTGGGCAAGCCTTCTCTGAGCCTTGCAAGAATGTGGTACTACAAAAGCTTTGCTTTTAATTCAAAGGTTGGGATACCCCCATGCTCCTGGAGGTGGCCTTTTTCACTTTTTTTGTAATTTAAAAAACACACAAAATTTAACCTCTTACAATTTTTAAGTGTTCAGATAAATATTGGGAAGTATATTCACATTGTTTTGCAGCTTTGCTTTTTTTGTTTTTGTTTTTGTTTTTGTTTTTGTTTTTTGAGACGGAGTCTCGCTCAGTCCCCCAGGCTGGAGTGCAGTGGCTCCATCTCAGCTCACTGCAAGCTCCGCCTCCCGGGTTCACGCCATTCTCCTGCCTCAGCCTCCCGAGTAGCTGGGACTATAGGCGCCTGCCACCACGCCCGGCTAATGCTTTTTTTGTTTTTAAAAGTAACTCTGCCATCATGTGGATTTACACATGGTCTGCTGGGGAATGTCATGAGGTTTTAAATCTGTCTCTGGGATTTTTTTGGAGGTACAATCCAACAGACCTATCCACGTTATCAAAAGCCTCTGTGTGTGTTTCTCTGCTGTCAGGATACATTTGAATATAAATAATTCACTTCCTGCCCGGAATCCAAAATGAGATTCTATATATGTGAGTCTTCCCAAAACTCCATCCTTACCTGTAGAACCAAGGAGAAACTGTGCAAGGTGGCAATTACTCCCCACAGTGGAGGTCTGCAACTTTAACTTGCCTATGCATGGCCCTGGTGACAATGCAGAATCCCAAGCCCTGTCCCAAGAGATTTGAATTTAGTGGGCCTGGAGTGGCACCTGTCATTCTGTGTTTTTCACACACTCCTGAGCAGGATGGCAGCAAATCATCCTTGGGGAACCAAAACCTAAGTAGGTGATCAGAGAGGAGATGCCTGCCCACTATGCTTCTCCCCTCTCAGGCCTGAGCCGTGAGCATCCTCAAGTTGAGCCCCAGGAGAATTCAAGGACCTCCAAGATCCAGAGCCTGTTTTGCTTCTTCACTTAGAGGCTTGTAGTCAGTACAGAAGATCCTCTAGGCACTTGTGAGCCTGCCTCACAGGGCAGTCCTGAAGGTAAACTGGATAGAGGGCTTAGAACAGGATCTGGCACACAGTGACAACTCAATTAACGTTAGCCGTTGCTCTCCCCATGACCATGGTCATTGCTGGTGCCATCACTAACACTCCTACCAAGAGATGGCAAGGAGAAGGTTCCTGAGTGACCTCTCCAGCCCCTACCATGTGAGAAAGAGGACCCCACTCTAAGCAGGCAAGAGCTGTGCAAAACAAATTAAAATCATGAGTCTAGCATCAGCACCACACCCCTTCCATCTCATCTCCCTCACACTGGGAGTCTTTTCCAAGCTTCTCATCTCTGCAGGAGCAGCCCAGGCATTTCACCCAGCAGGAGACCATCCTCCACTAAGGTTAGAGGACCCTTCTCCAAGACTGTTTCTCCCTACCTGCCCCTGTAATCTCTAAATCCCCTTCCCGTCATCCCAGACAACGTTCAGCATCCCACTCTGATCCAACCCCCTTCACCAAGTGGAGGCCCTCACCAAGCCCCCTTCTGAAGTCAAAGTGCTGTGAATCTTCCCCAGGACATCAATGACTGTGCTGAGCCTTAGCCCCCTTCCCACTGTTCCCAGCACAGTCCTTCAGCAGCAAGTCAACCTGCATTCCAGGGGCAAATGGCTGTGTCTTGCTCCCCTAGTCTGTGCACAAACAGTAGTCTTTGTCAGAATGTGATGAGGTGGGCATACTGTACATACAGCCAAGCACATAATAGGTGCTCAGTGGAATGAATGGACCTTCATTTAAGCATCCTTGCTTGTGGGCTTCAAAATTCTCTGACTAGAGTATGTGTACTTTAGAGAAACAACTCACGGCAGACCCCCAGCAGTGGCCAGCCTCTCCAGTCAGCGCCTCTGAGGAACGGGGAATGGAGAGGAAGAGCGGCCTGGAGGCAGCAGGAACCCCCTACCCTGTCCGTTCTGACTTGGCCTCGGGTAAAGAGTCACATGTAGTATGGCCTGGCCATACATGTCCCATTACATGACCTGTAGTCACCAGCCGTTTTGCCTCTAATTGATGGTATTTTGCATTTTAGGCCCAATACCTTCTAATAAAAGGATACTGGTTTCATAATGGCTAATAAAACAATGAGAGGTAGGCCAGATGCTACAATCAGGAATAAAATGGGACACCCAATTCTCAGAGTGTCTGGCCAGTGTCTGTTTATCAATGTGCCCACCTGAAAGGAAGAAGTCTAATCAAGCTCACAATTCACCCCTGATTTGCTGTTTGGGGGCAACCAATGAGATAAGGCAGGAAATCTTAACCTCATTCACAATGAAGAGATGAGCGTTGGTGACTTCTTAGTAGTTACCCCATCTGAAAGCTGGCCATCCCAAATAAGGTCAAGTGGTCACACCCTCTTGTTTCTCCCAGCCTGTTAATCTTTCCAGGCCAGAGCGTGTCTCACTCTGAAGACAGGTTTAAATGCACTGCGGTCCTCACAGCCACATCACCAACCTTTTTAGGGGCTGAGAGTTCACACTCCTCTGCCTGGGTATCTGCTGGGAGGATTCTGAGTCCGAGAAGGGCTTGGAGGCCCAGCTTCCTGATGTGACAGAGACAGCAGAGAAACAGTTTAAATGTGTGGTTAAGAACCCACACGTTGTGCACATGTACCCTAGAACTTAAAGTATAATTATAAAAATAAATAAATAAATAAAAATTAAAAAAAAAGAACCCACCTCTGATGCTGGCCTAGCTCTACTGATGGTGGGCACCTCAGCTGTGCTTCAGTTTCTCCTACGCTGTCATGAAAATCAAATGAGTTGACTTAAAAAGTGCTTTGCACACTGTGCAGTAGCGAGTAAGCACTATGGATGTGTCGGCTATCATTACCACCAGGGCTCATGTCTTCTCAGCACCTCTCTCTACATTAATAAGCAGGTTTTATCCCTGTAGGATTGTTAGAAGCAATTTTCTGTGAAACGGGCAATGCCTTGGCTCTCCAAAAATCACAGAACTGTCTGTCTGTTTGATAGTTCTGCGAAATTCTGTACCTGCTTTTTAATAAACTGGAGGCATAATCCAAACCTACTGGGCTTACCATCTCCTGTCACAATATCGAGGGAACCCAGGGGATCTGCTGGGCAGGAGCTTCAGCTAGACAGAGAGTCGGGACCTGATCGCAAAAGGTGGTCATTAGTGGACAGCCAGTCAAACTTACCATTTAACCATGAGTTGGTCAGTAGCCATGCTGTACAGAGTGCAGGTCTGAGGAATGGGGTCGGCTGTGTGGGAGGAGACTTGCTGCAGCCAGTGACTCCGAACAAACCTCCAAGTCCACCTCCTATATCTCCTCTCCTCATTCTTCTTTGACAACCAAAACAAGCATCAGTAACAACTGATGGTTATGAGGCCTGTGCAACACACAGAGAATGTGAGCTCACACCAGGCAGGGGAAAACAGCAGAGAAGCCCTCCTCCCCAGGGAAGGTAGATGCTGTGGCAGGGGTGGGGGTGGGGAGTAGAGAGGGTGAACCCAGCTAGAGCAACAAGGCCAAGCCTTGGCTCAAAAAAAAAAAAAAAGAAATGAAATGAAAAAGAGGTAGAAGAAGGAGAAAGAAAGAATAAAAACTGAAACAAGAAAAGGTGGAAGGAATGAAGGAAGGAGGGAGGGAAGAAGGGGCAGAAAAAAAAAGATAAATTCCTTTATTTGTCCACTTGATTAGACATCAGAATTCAAATAGACAGGGAAAATGCAAAAGCTGCCCTTCACAAAGAGTCACATGGAAATGTAAAACACCCTTGTCTCCTCTAAAATACATGATTCATTGCTCTGTCACTGCAAATGTGTGTGCTGTGTCCACTCGCAGAGAAGCAGGATATATTTGCATGATTTAAATGTCTCCTAGATCTTGTGAATAATAAACTGTGAGCCATTCCACAGGGTCTGAATCATGTTCCCTGGAAACCATTCCTTCATGAGCTAACCCCCATGCCAGGGTCTGAAATTCTCGGAGCCTGTGACTTCTTATTGCTCTGTCCCATTACTCCAGAAAGCAGCAGGGTAAAAACAAATTATGCCCTCTTCCTCAGCAGCTTTCAAACACTGCCAGTACTTGAGGCCACCTCATCATCATATCAAAGGAGTTAGAGCTAGCCCCTTCCCCCAGGGAATGTTAACATTCAGCATCGTCCTGAAAGAGGCATGACAATAAACATCTGAGAGTGATAATTGAGTAAAGTGGTTACAGATGGGTGGCGGAAAATAATGACTTTTTCTAAGTAGCATTCACTGAAATGTGATTATTGTTTTATGATTTTCAAGAGACTTTGACATATGTTATCTCCATTATTTATGTGGTGGGGAAAAACTTCTCCCCTACTTGTATTCCTAGAGCTCGGTATCCAAAGCCAAGATACACACATTTCGCAGGTAATTATTGAGTTGCCACTATGTGCCTGACTTTATTGTAGGCACTGGGAAATATAACAGTAAACAAAGGAGGTAAAAATCTCTCTCCTCGTGGCATTTGCAGACTAGTGGGAAGAGGTAGAAAACAAAAATAAATTAAATATGCAAAATATCAGATAAAGAGCAATGGAGAGAGTGGGTGGGATGGGAGAGGGGTCTTGAGATTTTGAATAGGGGTATTCAGGAAATGCCTTCTTAAGAAAGTGATAGATGAGCAAAGATGTGAAGGAAGAGAAGGAGGAAGCCACACTGCTATACAGTAGGAAAAGCAGGTGCACAGGCCCTGAGGCAGAAGTGTGCCTGGCTGTGTGGGGATTAACAAGGAAGCTAGTCAATGGAGCAAGGGTGGAAGCAGGCAGCGGAACCATTTTGGAGGCAATTGCAACGACCTCGGCTGGATGTGTGGATGACTTGGACAAAAGGGTAGCAATGGAGTTGGCAAGAAGTGATGAGAGTCTGGACTTATTTTGAAGGTAGAATAGGTGAGATTTGCCACAGGAGGGGATGTGGGTTATAAAAGAAATAGAGGCCGGAAAATTGCTTGAACCCAGGAGGCGGAGGTTGCAGTGAGCCAAGATCGCACCACTGCACTCCAGCCTGGGAAACAAAGAAAACCTCCGTCTCAAAAAAAAAAAAAAAAGAAAGAAAGAAAGAAAGAAGTAGAGGAGTCCATCCAAGATGATTCTAAGGTTTGAGGCCTGAGTTATTTGAAGGTTGGCATTGTCATAACAAGGTCTTTGGTAAAGCATTTTAAATAGGAGGAGGCCATGACTCTTGGAGCATGGTAACACTCTCAGGATTGGGGTTGTGGAAGAGGAACAAGTTGAGACCCAGTGCTGGAGATGAATTTCCACCCTTCTTCACCTGTAGGCACCAAAAACATCCCAACACCCCAATTTCATCTCATCCCACCCCCCTTTTTAGTGGTCACTGATTTAAAAAAATTAGTACAATTTATAACGAGAGATATGTAATTTACTTCCAATTAAATGCATAAATGTTAAAACCTTAGTGCAAAGAACTTTGACATTCATATACACCTGTGACACCACCACCCCATACCAGATGTAAAATATTGACTTAATCACAGAAAGTTCCTTCCTGCTCCATGGAATCACACTGTGTGCATGCTTTTGTGTCTGGCTTATCAGCCTTGACTTAATGATTTTGAGAATCATCCCTATTGTTTCATGTATGAGTAGTCCTTCCCTCTTGTCGCTGAGTACTATTCCATGTTTGAATAAATCACAATCTGCCTGTCCATTCATCTATCCACAGGCATTTGGGCTATTTCTAGTTTGGGGCTATTATAAATGTAGCTGCTATGAACATTTGTGCACAGCCATTTTGACAACATAGGTTTTCATTTCTCTCGGAAAAATACCTAGGAGTCAAAATGCTGGTTCATGTTGTAAGTGCACATTTAGCTTTGTAACAAAGTTCCAAATAGTTTTCCAAACTGTTTGAACCATTTTCCATTCCCACCAGCAATGTATGTGTTGCTGTATATCCTCCCGCGGTTTAGTGCTGCCAGTCGCTCTTGTGGATGGGTAGTAGTACCTCATTGTGGCTTTAATTTGCACTTCTAATTCATAATTAGCATTTCGACTACTATAATAACATTGAGTACTTTTCATGTGTATGTTTGTCATCCATATATCTTCTTTAGTGAAATGTTTGTTCAAATATTTTCCCAATGTGTTAATTGGGTTTTCTTTTTATTATTGATTTACATAAAAATATTATATACTTTGAAGATGAGTCCCTTGTCAAATATATTTACTGTGAATATTTTGTCTGTGTCTGGGGATTATCTGCACATTCTTCTTTATTAACATTTATTTTGAAGTAATTTAAGACTTCCAGAAATAGAAAGTAAAATAAGACTTGCAAAAAATAATCCAAAGAATTTCCAAACACCTTTCAGCCAGCACCCATAAATGCTAACGTTTTGCTATGTTGGCTTTGTCAGTATCCTTGTTTCTGTCTTTCATAGATGCACACACACACACACACACAGACATACACACACCAATTTTTTTTTTTTTTTTTTTTTTTGAGATGGAGTCTCACTCTGTCACCCAGGCTAGAGTGCAGTGGAGCAATCTCGGCTCACTGAAACCTCTGCCTCCTGGGTTCAAGCGATTCTCCTGCCTCAGCCTCCCAAGTAGCTGGGACTACAGGTGCCTGCCACCACGCCCGGCTAATTTTTTTTGTATTTTTAGTAGAGACGGGGTTTTACTATGTTGGCCAGGCTGGTCTTGAACTCCTGACCTCGTGATCTGCCTGCCTTGGCCGCCCAAAGTGCTGGGATTACAAGCATGAGCCACTATGCCTGGCCCACACACCAATTTTTTTCTGAACCATTAGAGACTAAGTGACAGAGATGATATTCCTTTATCTCTAATACTTCAAAGAATACTTTCTAAAAACAAGGACATTCTCTTACTGAGCCATAGTACAGTGATCAAAATCAGTACATTAATCGGGATATATTATTATCTAATCTGCAGACCTTGTTCAAAATTCACCAGTTGTCCCACAAGGCCTGTATAGAAAAAAGAAAAAAAATTACCAAGGCCAAAAATCCAAACCAAGATCACACGTTGCATTTAGTTTTTATTTATCTTTAGTCTCTTTTAATCTGGAACAGTTTGTCAGTCAGCCAGTCAATCAGTCTATCTATCCATCCATTCATCCATCCATCATCCATCCATCCATCCAGCCAGCCAGCCATCTATTCATCTATCCATCAATTACTCACTTATTGTCTTTCGCAACTTTGACACTTTTGAAGAGTACATAGCATTTATTTTGTAGACTATTCTGTTCATTTTCTTCATGGTATCTTTTGATTAGAATAAATTTTTATTTTGATTAAGTGTAATTCATTGGGAGTTTTTTTTATTGTTAGTGCGTTTTGTGTCCTATCTAAGAGAATTCTGCCTTCTCTAAACTCATGAAAATTTCTGGATTTTTGTGTCTAGAGTGTTAGGGCTCTCACTTTTATACTTAGGTCTATCTATCATCCATTTTCAATTAATTTTTTATATGGAGTGAGACAGAGATTGAGATTCATCTTTGTTTACCATATCCAGTTGTTCCAGCACCACTTCTTAAGATGAACTTCCTTTCCCCACTGAATTGCCTTCGTATCTTTATCAAAAATAATTTGGCCATACATACATGGTTCTTTTTCTGAAATTTCCATTTTGTTACACTAACCTGTTCCTTATGCCAATACCACACTGTTTTGATTACTATAGCTTTATCATTAGTTTTGAGATCAGGTAATGTAAATCCTCCAATTTTGTTCTTTTTCAGTCTTGTTTTGTCTAATGTAGATCTTTTGTATTTCTGTAAAATTTTGTAACTACTATTTCCTTCTTAACATAGCCTGTAATCGCAGCACTTTGGGAGACCAAGGCGGGCAGATCATGAGGTCAGGAGATCGAGACCATCCTGGCTAACACAGTGAAACCTTGTCTCTACTAAAAATACAAAAAAATCAGCTGGGCATGGTGGCTGGTGCCTGTAGTCCCAATTACTTGGGAGGCTGAGACAGGAGAATGGCTTGAACGCGGGAGGCGGAACTTGCAATGAGCCGAGATGACACCACTGCACTCCAGCCTGGCTGACAGAGTGAGACTCTGTCTCAAAAAAAAAAGATAGCCTGTTGGAATTTTAATTGGGATTGTATGGAATCAACAGATCAATTTTGGAGGACAATATTTTAAAATTATTGAGATTTTATAAACATATGTCATAACATGATAAATCTTTCCATTTATTTAGGTCTTCTTTAATTTCTCTCAGCAATGTTTCACAAGTCTTGCACATAATGACAGTTTTAGTCCTAAGTAATTAATGTATTTAATGCTATTGTAAATGATATTTTTAAAATTTCATTTTCTACTGTTTGTTGTTAGAACATAGTACAATTGAGTTTTGTATATTAACTGTGTACTACAATATTCTAGTTTCATTTTTTGTAGATTACATAGGATTTTCTGCATACACAATCATGCTACCCGTGAATCATGATAGTTATCTTTTTGTCTTCGTTATACCATTTGGATTCTTTTTCTTTTATTTTTTCCTATATTGCACTGGCAATGACTTTCAGTACAATGTTGAATAGAATGTAAAGATTCTATTCTAAATTCAGTCTCTCTAAATAAGAATGTAAAGGATACTTCAGCGCATAGCAGGTATATCAGTTTGGGTCTAATTAAGAGACAGAAGTCACACAATGACTATAAAACAGAAAGTGACTATAAAGGAGAAGGCTAATATGAAGATCATTAAACTATGATAAAAGGTAAGTATAAGATGTAAGAGAACCCTTCATGGCACCCTAGGGCTGAAGGAGAGCAGCCAAAGAAGGATGAACTTGGAATGTGGTCCCCCTCTCCAAGGCCAGCATTCAGACCTTGTTGGAGCAAGCATAGTTGCAGCCCAATGATTGGCAGAGAAGTGTGCTGGTTTGCACAGGCCAGAGCTGGTCTGTAGTTGCTGAGCAGGTAGGAAGCAGCTCTCACCTGGAGTGCAGATGGGTTTGAGTAAGCCACAACCAATGGCCAGCCACACAGGTGTGCAGGGAAAATGGGTGCTCATGTGAATAGGAGCCCTGAGCTGTGGTGTTTGTGTTAGAAGGGCTGCAGCACCAGAAGGTCACAGCAGGCAAGCCTGGGGGAAGCAGGCATAGGAAAGCAGAGGGAGTTGGGGCAGCAGTGCAGGCAGGAGGGCTGTGGCATGCAGGGTCCATGCTGCAAGAGCTGCAGAAAGATGACCACCAGGCCAGGCTGGAGCTGGGAAGTCATGAAGGGACCTTGTGTTCCAGGCATGTGGCCAAGGTGGAGCACTACCAGACATTCTCCCACCTGTGTCATTCGCCAATCTTGCAGTCACCAGAAACAGCAGGAGAGCCCCTTCCTGCTCCGGTGCCACTCCAGCATCCTCTGCTGAGAAAGTTTAACATCATGCTCACTGTAATACTCAAACAAATTCTGTCCATTATTGCAGAGCAGGTATTGAAGATACATTTGGAACTGGGAGACAACAAATTGATAAGTGACATGGCATGGTTGAAGAATGAGGTTTCCTAAGAAATCAAGTATTTGACATGCCCAATATTCTTTTAGAAAATTCTGGAATGAAAGTGAAAAGCAGAATCATTTTTTAATAGATGATGAACCCGATTCCTATGTTAAATTTAACTTTGCTCAAAGTTAAAGAAATTTCAAATGAAACTGTCTAGACCTTATGTCAAAATAAGCCCAATTGTATTAAAGAGTATTAAATTGTATTAAGAATAAAAACACATGGCCGGGCGCGGTGGCTCACGCCTGTAATCCCAGCACTTTGGGAGGACGAGATGGGCGGATTACAAGGTCAGGAGATTGAGACCATCCTGGCTAACATGGTGAAACCCCGTCTCTACTAAAAATACAAAAAAAAAAAAATTGTCCAGCCGTGGTGGCAGGTGCCTCTAGTCCCAGCTACTCCAGAGGCTGAGGCAGGAGAATGATGTGAACCCGGGAGGCAGAGCTTGCAGTGAGCCGAGATCTCGCCACTGCACTCCGGCCTAGGCGACAGAGCGAGACTCTGTCTCAAAAAAAAATAAATAAATAAAAAATAAAAACACATAAAACCACCAAAAAGAGAGTAGATATTATATATGTAGTAGAAGTACGCATTTCTTGGCTTTCAAATATTTGCAAGTCTCTAGAATAAATATTATCGGAACTCAAATAAAAAGGCAAGCAGACTAAAGAAAATATTTTCATAATATAAACCAGGAAAAAGCCTCTGTCAGTATTGCACAAAAAGCTCATGAAAACTGAAAGAAGATCAAAACTTTAATGTAAATGGGCAAAGGACATGAGTAGGTGATTCATAAACAGGACACACAAGTAATAAATATACATAAGAAAATTGTCAACTTTACTACCTCTTGTTGAGATGCAAATTAAAGCTGTAATGGGATACAGTTTATGCATTAAATTTGAAAAAATAAAATAGAATGCTGGCAAAAATAAAATACAGTAGAACTGGTAAATGGTTAATCGCAGTATAAATTGTTTAAACTTCTCTTGAATTCAGATATTCATATCCCTAGGGTAATCCTACTACTGAGACTATAACTGAAGGAAATAATTACAAAAAATAGGGGAAGTTTTGATGCATGTGTTTACAGCAGTCATTTTTAAAAGTGAAAAAGTGGGAACTAATTTAAATGTACATAAAAAAGGTCAACTATGGTGTAAATCACCCTATTAATTATGTAATTCATTTCACCAGGATCATGGTCAGTGACAAATGATTTGGTCATGACCAAAAACCACTGGAAACTAATGCAGCACAATAGGCTATTTCTCAAACTAGAAAGCCTAATTAAAAGCAGAATAATAAAATTATATATTTACATCACTGTTACTATCCCTGTGAAAAAGAATACGTGCATGCGAATGAAAACTAGAAAGTAACAGAAAATATACAATTGATTTATTAGGTTGACTTTCTTATTTTTATTTTTGACAGGGTCTTGCTCTGTCACCCAGGCTGGAGTGCAGTGGCACGATCATGGCTCACTGCAGCCTTGACCTCCTGGGCTCAAGCAATCCTCCCATCTCAGCCTCCCAAGTAGCTGGGAATACAAGTGCACCACCATGCCCACATATTTTTTTTAATTCTTTATTTTTTGTAGAGATGAGATTTCCTTATGTTGCTTAGGCTAATCTCAAACTCCCAGGCTCGAGCGATCCTCCCGCCTTGGTTTCCCAAAGTGCTGAGATTACAGGCATGAGCCACCACGCCCAGCTAATTTTTAAAGTTATATTATGACTAATATAGTGATGTCTGTAAATTTTTTTAAATATGGCAACTAAAATCAAAATAATCCAGGTACGTTGACAGAGAGGAGCTGAGCAAGACTCACCTCTCTTCTATATGATATACTTCTATTAAGTCAGCCTTATTTCTCATTAACTTTTTGCCAATTTTTGTGGAGACACATCACCCTGAGGCTTCGCATCTTACTGAGCGAGTTCTGGTAAGCCACGTCTCCTCTTCCTGTACTTGGGGGGCTGACTTTTTGGACGCTGATACAGAACTTTACATGTGTTCCTGTTATGTCTTTTCTTGGCCTGTATATTTAGTGCATCATTGAAGGCTCTCAAGATTTTTTTGGATTTTGATTTATACTCCTTAGTCACCATATATTCTGAGTGCATGTTAGCTATACATTCTATAACTCCGTATCCATATTAAAATATGCAGGAAACTCCATATGTTCACCCAAGGCCGTGATAATGATGTCAAACTGAGCAGTACTGAGTCCCAGAGCATATCACACCTATTAGCGAGCACTTTGATGCCGTTCACATCACAATCCACAAAAACAGCCTTGCATCCAGCACACTGATTGCCAGCTTAGCAATTAGAAAAGGTGATTGTCCTTCTTTTGTGGGTGGAAAATGAAGGCTTTAGGCTTAGAGAAAAGCTCAAGTGATTTCGCTGGGCCAGGACTAGGCTCAGTTGTAACCGGGGCCAAGCTTGCCCTCAGTATTTAAAGTCTCACCTGTGCCCTTTCCCCCTGATCTTACCCACCTCCTGCTATGGCGCCCATCCCATGCCACGCTCACTGGCCTGCAGGATCCTCAAATGTGCTCCTCAATTTTTCCTACCAAAACTTTGTATTTGATTCTTTATCCACACTCTATCTCATGGAGTTATTGGCATTTTAAAAGGGATCCAAGTTTGAAAATAGAGAGATGACGTTCCAATGGTAGGACTTCAGGCATTGATGGTCAGACAGTAGAAATTTGGAGAGTGGAAAGCTGGCACTGGGGTCTTAAGGGCAGCCCCTATAGCGACTGTTTGCAAAGCTGACCTGAAAGAGACAGGGAGTCCCCAGGGGACAAGATAGATTAGATCCTATGGTCCCACAGTCCTCCTCAAGCTCTTAATGGTATTTGGTTAGAATTTCTAACTCTTCAAATCTTGTTCATTCATTTAATTTAACTTTCCTTCTATTCTTCCAACTGCCAGGTAGGTGAGAGAAATAGATGCCATCATCTTGATTGCCTGAGAAGGAAACAGGCAAAGTGGGCTTTAAAGACAGAAAATAACTGCTTTTCCCCAACTTGGGGCCTCCCCATCCTGCAATTTTGCACTGACTGACAGAATTCCTGCGGGGAAAACTGAGGCATCTTGCTTCTCATGTAAACCTTGCCTGTCTCCTCATAAATATTTTATTTCCCAAAAGCCATTCCTACAAATTGCCTTATCATTTGCCAAGGATCTAGACCATCTGCCAAAGCAAGTTCACACATCCCTCCTTGCTGATAACTGGGTTTATCTGTTTGCATTTCTGTGTATCGTCGGTTAGTCTGGCTTATCTACTTATGAGATTGTGTGTTCTTTAACACACTGGACACCATATGGCCCCCAGCAGAGACAGCAGTCCTGTTGCCTACCTATGGGCACTATTTGTGTGCCTTTCAACCCTGACTATAAAATATCAGGTCCCTAGTACATCTAAAATTTGTTTGGACTGGGAAGATTTTACAAAATTAGAATCAAAAATTTAGTTCTTCCCGCCCCTATTTTTAAAGCAATGTGTACAATATGCATACAGAATAAATAAATAACAAATTATTTACACAGTGAAACTAAATGAACTATAGCTACAAGCAACATCACCAAATCTTACTAACCTAATATTCATTGACAAAAGCAAATCCCAGGAGACTACATAGACTATCACATTGTTTCTAAATTTCAAAAACACAACTAAACATCATTGAGGAGTCCCCCGAGCCACACATGTACACACTTACGCTCAGACTCAATACATCTGGGCTTGGCTGGTATTTTCCTTTCATTTCCTGGCACCGAATTCACAGGTGGATAGAACTGGTCTCATCAGGCTCCCTGGCTCCAGACTTCCTCAGCTCCTGGGTGCTACTCTTTTCCCCACAGACCCCTCCCCACTTCCTTAGTGTCCTGGCTGAGGCTGAAGCAACTTAGCATTCACCTGGCCCCCACCCCCTTCCTCCCACTCTCACCTGCTCTGTCAGAAAGAGGAGATGGTGCTTTCTCCATAGCTCTCTTCTTCCTGTGGTCTCCCTATTCTAACAAACACCAAAAGACTTTGGGTTTCTGAGAATCGCGCTCCTTGGTCTCTTAGTGCCATGGGCCTGTTAGAGCATCCCACTAATTTATTCAGAGGTTGCTGTATCCTGCATCTTCACAAAATCTTGCTGTCCCTTCCACACTCGACCATGCCTCAGTTGAAGCTTGAGCAATAATTGGAAAGGTCCCCAGAGGCCACTCCATTGAGTGAGCATTGGGCCAAATCTGGACCCTCCATCATGGCAGCCTAGGATCTTGCAGCTCGATGACTTTTGCAGGCAAATTCACAGATACATCCCCTTCAGTCTCTTTCCATTCATTTCCAGTCTCTTCATCTGTTTCCACTTTTCAGACACCCAAAGTTCTTCAATGATAACTATTGCCACATACATCATTCCCTAGGGGCCAACTATGTGCCCATTTCTGTGCTAAACACTCTATCTCATTTCATCAGACTCAGGACACTTCTCCATTTCTTGATTAATTCTGTGAGGTCTTGTTTTCCCCTTCAAATCTTAGGAATGATGTGCATTTCAGAAACAAAGTCCAAGGGGATTTTTCAGGATGATGCCTTAAAATGATCTCATGATCACTACTATTTACTCCAAAATCAGGATTTAAGATTCTTTTGAAACTCTGAAATGTTTCTGGACAACAGAAAATAATCATCTGCTTCCAGTCTTCCCTGAGGACAAGCCAGCAGGAAACAGCTTTAACTTGTTGCATAAATTAATGAGATTAGAAGAAATAAAGCATTTCCTGACAATGAGAACTATAAAAAAAATGCACATAACAACTGAGGCACGTGGAGATTCATAATTGAGGCACGTGGAGATTCCCTGGAATAAGAATACTGAAGTCCTCAATGAGGCAAAGTCTCATCTATTATATTTTCTCTTGAAATTATTATAATTTCAGGTTCCTTTCAGAAGCCCAAGTAATAAAATAAGAATTCTCCTCTCTTCCAACTTCTGTGGCTTTGGCTTCCTTTTGTTGATTCACCACTTCCATTTATTTGCTCTTCCACTACCAGAGTCCCTTGAATCTGAACGACTAAGCCTGATTTTCTTTGGGGGAAAATTTGTCTAGGTTTTACTTCCCCCCTTTAAGACATGACATGTGTGCACACATGCACATGTGTGTGTGAGCCATTCTAATTCTTTATTTCTTCAGTGAAAAACATACACTTCATCTCTCCCTTCAAGTATTGCATGAACTCGATGAACTTAAGCCTTCTAAAGATAATGTGTTCAATTAACAGGCGATTTGATAAGTATGCTAGGAAATGCCATGTACTCCAAGTCCTCAGAGAAGCTCTGGTTAGCTGGCTGCGGTGGGATCTGCTTTTGTGGAGTTTCTTCCCATGAGGGTATCAGTCAAGAGAACCTGGAACCCAAGAGGCTTGTCCCAGGCAAGGAGGCTTGGATTCCTCCCGGGACCTGCTCCTGCGATCCAGAACCAGAGCATGCAATTGCTGGTGAGGGAAAGGCAGGATTCGGTCTTCATCCTTCATGGAGAGGTGTGTTCTTGGAAGTACACCTTCTGGGAGGAAAATGAGTTTTAGTAAATAAAGTTATTTTCTCCAAAAAGAGTTTAAGTTCCTTGGGCTTCAATAGGGGTTAAATAATTACTAGCTGGATTGGTGGTTTTAATTTTTAGTTCAGGAAATCCGATGTTATCTGATGTGATGGAAGGAAACAAAAACTCTGCAAGGAGAATACACATTGTCCCAAAGAGAAACTTGTTTCTAACATCTTCCCTAAGATGGCAAACGGGTCCAAGACTTTGTGCGTGTGTGTGTGTGTGTGTCCCCACCTTTAAACTTCAAACCCCAGATCTCTGTTGCTTACTCATCCAGTGTGGATTACACTACCAGCAAAACATCCCAGGAAGGAGTCCAGGGTGGCCGCCCACAGTTAGGAGAGAACCCAGAACGGAACGACGGACTTGTTTGCTTTCTTGCCCCTGACTCTCCCCGTCCTCCCTGGGAGGGTTGGGGATGTGAACTAATGACTTCTGCCTCTTTCGGACCGCCTTTGAGGCTCCAGAGCCTCACCTTACTTTCCCACGGAGAGGGAGGCCACAGGCTCCTTCAGCAGTCGCCGAGCAGAGTCCTGGGCCGGGAGCGCGGGGGAGGGAGCGAGCGGAACTGCGCCTAGGAGGCCGAGGGAGGAGGCGCTCCGCAGACCCTGGCGCGCCGCGGAGAAGCTCAAACTTTGGCAGGGTAAGGATTTTTAGGGGCTCTTGAGCTGGAATTTTTTGGGGGGCGCCGGGAGGTGTGCTGGGGCCGCAGACCCCATACAGGAGGTAAGTTAGAGAACCACACGCAGGGGAGGGATGCTGCTGCTTCCAGGGGCGGGCGCGGCGCTGTCCGCAGCCCCCGGTGCTGAAACGGGCCGCGGGCTGGAGAGAAAGTGAAAAAGGATCGGCTACGGCCTCGGCTCCCACTCCCCGGCTCCCATACCCCTCCAGTCCAGTTCAAAGGACAGGAAGCCCTCCCCGTGCTCCCCAAGCCGATCGCACCCCCTTTTACTCACGTCCCACAGCCGCGCTGGGCCGAGCCCGCTGAGCCGTCGGGGCGGGAGGCAGAAGGAGCAGGGCTGGCTCCCGCTGGGGACGGGTAGGGCTTGCAGCCGCGACCCCACCCCATACATTTCCTCCTGTCACGCTGTCCCCGGACCGCCAGTCCGGGAAGGACCCACTTCCCCGGCTCCAAGTCGGGAGCGGGCGCCGCGTCTTCTCGAGTCCGCGCCGCGCCGGGGGAGGTTGAGTCAGTGGCCTGGAGGGAGCAGGGCCGGGGGAAGGCAGCGGCGAAGGACTGCCCCCCAACCCAGGGGACTATTTTCCCTTGGGGATTCAAAGAGAAAGGTAGGCTGAGGAGGAGGCGAGAATTAAAATTCTTTTAGGAGTGCGCGGTTACTTTTTTTAATGATAAAATCACACCCGGGATCTCGGACGCCCGGGGCTTAGTGCTCGGTGATGGAGGAGAAGGGGCGGCGGGCTCTCTGATCCTCTGCAATCCCCTAACCGGATAAAGGCGCCGGGCTCCCAGCCGTCAGGCTTTTCTCTTTAGCTCAGCCCGCGGCCCCTCCCGACGCCCCTGGGGGCCTTGGCGCGCAGGCCCTCGCAGTCCCGCAACCCCGGGCCGGGTGATTCATTTTTCTCCCTGTGTAATCTCCCTACTGAGCGGCGCAGCTGGGACTTTAACTTCGGCCCTCTGCAGCGGGGGTCTCCGGTTGGCGCGGCGCGTGAGGGAGGATGAATGGCGCTGGAACCTAGAGGACCTGGAGCCGGCGCCCCGGCCTCTTTGGCCTGAACCAGGTGCCTCTGACACGCAGTCCGCCGGCTCAGGCCTCGCCGGAAGCTGGCGGGAGCAGTCCCTTGCAGCGAAGCCCGGCACCCCGACGGCAGACGCTCCCCATCACATCTTCCAAAGGGGCGAGGCTGGGATCAGCAGGAATGGCACCCACCCGGGTTCAGACTCCATCCCGGAGTGGACAGCTCGGTGCCCCTAACATTATGCACTGTCCGCCACCCCCTCCCCCCAACACATACACACTTTCATTCATGAAAACCAGCAAGAATAGTGCTGTCTGGGCACGGAGTCCAATGTACAGCGTGCGTTCACGCTGAGAATTCATGGGGGACGCGGGTGGTTGGGCCGGGAGAGGAGAGATGGTCACTTGTGTGTGGTATCCACCAACTGGGTCTTCTACGCCAGAGTCCCAGTTGTAGAAAAGTCGGCCAGGTCAGAGGACCCAGATGGGATTTCACTAAGCTGGTGGGAGCTTCTTTGCGTTCTTTGGGGTAGGGGGAAGGACAGGAACTCCCCCTGCTTCGCACCAATGCCCAAACACCGCACTTCCTCTTCAGCCTCGGTTCAGCCACAGAGAGGGGCCTCCTCCTGTGTAGATGCCCGGAGGGGAGGAGCGGTGGTTCTTGGGGTGACTGGCTGGTGGAGGCAGGATCTTAATCACTTTAGCTGGGACTTTGGCCGTGACTACGTGTGCACTTGCCTTTGATGCTCCTGTTTCTATGTCTTTTCTGTCCTCATTCACCATCTGCTAGTGGTGGCTGCCTCTGATTAATATTGAGGTTGCCATGGCGACCAGTCTCCAGTCGCCATGGTACCCAGAAGGTAAACAGTTGGAAGCTACTCAGGCTCTTTCCAGCTCTGGCCGCTAGTTTCCCTAGGGAGTGGGGCGGGGACGGCAGTGACCAGGTTCCAGAACCCTTCTCCGTCCCGCCCTCCCCTTCCTCCCTCATTCCCACAGCGTCCTGCTCACCTGAAACCCCTGCTAATCCCCCACCAACCACTGTGGCCTCAAGGTTGAGATGGGCCATGCTTTTTTCTCTACTGAGGCTGGGGGTAAACAGTTTTCTCTCTGACCTAATGCATTTTGGTAACACCCTGAATATTTCTGAGTACAAAGGACAAGGCTCAGTCTGGTGGGAGAAACAAAATTTTAAACAGACACAGTCCCTGCCCTCTGGGACCTCACAGTGTAGTGTGGCAGACAAACCCTTGTGCAACCTACCAGGTGGCCTGCATTCCGGGTGTAAATGGAGGTGATAACAGAGCCCTGAGAGTTGAGAGAGGTGGGAGTGACTGACTCCTGGTCAGGGTAGGCCTCCCCAGCAAGGTTATGTTGCAACTGAAACTTGAAATCAACTGGCCAGCAAGAGAGGAAAATCTCTCTAGGCAGAAGCAAGGATGTGTGGATTAGTCAGGAGAGAGTAAGGCCCTGCTGTGGTGACGTATAGACTTGGAATATCTTGGTGGCTTCTCCCTTTGCTTATGCAATGTCTGATTTTTTGGGGAGTCCTGCATCATGGGGGGAGTCCACTTGCCAGAACCCGTCACTCAGCCTTCACCTGGCCTGAAAGGGAGGCTGGAAAATGCAGGAGGCACAAGATGGGCTTTGGTGAGCACTGTCTCTGCCAGTAGGTGGGGGCAAAAAAAAAACCAAATGTACAATACACATAAGGGAAGGGTGAGTAATTTGGCTTAGATGAGCATCCAGTTTAGGCTCACTTGATCCAAATTATGAAAAGTCTTGACCATCAGGCTAAGAAATGGAGACTGCGTGCTGGAGAAAATAGGCACCTCTAAAAGCTTCTGAGAAGAGTGACATAATTAGAACTACCTTTCATAAAGATTCTGGGGTCACTATGGAAGGTTCATTCATTTACACATTTATTCATTCTATACTCATTGAGCACCTCCTTAGTGCCAGAGAATGGATGGATTGTAGGAGTGACAGCCTGAAGATGGGAGATGAGCAAAGATAACTATTTCAGCCATCCTGGGGAGAGAGAAAGGCCTGGATCAAGGCAGGAACAGAGCTCAAAGAGACCAGAAGCAACCTCTGTTCTGATTCCACACTTATACACCTGTCTAGTCTATACACTAGACTAGCACAGGGTGAGTGCTCAGTACATTTCTGAATTAGTAAATAAAAGAGTTGGAGGGGATGGAGGAGAGAGATAGCTGTTGCTGTGACTGATGCTGGATCTGGGGCAGTAAGGGAGAGGGAGGAGTGAAAGCTCACACAGTCTTAGCTGGGTAGTCAGTTGGCTCTGGGTGTTGCTCATGGCATTAACCAAGACAGTACTGCAGGGAGGAAGAGCATGCTTGACAGTAGCTGGGGGAGACAGTGATGCCATTCAGAATAGTTTTGCTCCAAGGAAAACTCTTTCCTGAACTCGGCCTGCACCCGAGAACTCATCTAATCCCCAGAGTGCTTCTTTTGTCCTCCTTTGCAGGATTCATACATTTCACCTAGAATTATACTAATACAGTGTAGGGGTTAAAGTTAAACCGGCTTCTGCCCCCAGGCTCTGCCACTGGGTGACTTTGAACCAAGGTATTTAATCATTCTGAGTCTCAGCTTCTTGGTGTATACCTTGGCAGTAGTAATAATTATAATGCCTTCCTCATCGAGTTGTTGTGGGGATTAAATGAAGTAATTGAAATGAAATCCTCAGCTCAGTGCCTGACATATCGTAAGTGCTCAAAGTTAGATATGGACATCTTATTACCTCCTTATAAAATAAAAGCAATGTGTTACTTTTATAATCACACCACAAAAGTTAATTAAGAAAAAAAACACTTTGCCTTCCATGCTTGCAATTAGGTTTGGAGCATCTATAGAGTTGGCTATGGAGAGCTCTGTTTCCCCAGCTCTGGTAAGGTCCGAAAAGCATTTTCATCCTCTTGCAATCTCAACCTGAACAGCTGAATCTTTTTACAAAGCAGCAATTCCAAAACTGAGCACACTCAGAGCTGAGGAACTCAGAGTCCCATTAATTCTGAATCATCTCTGCAGAGACCAGGACACTTTCTAGGCATGAGACAAGCCCCTGCCTCTTGGTTAAGAAACATAATTGATCATCTTGATCCAATTTCAGTGCATTTTCTTTTACTCCAAATTTCTTCCTGTTCTTAAGAACAATCTTAACTTTCTTCTCAGACAGGAATTGAAACTTTGCAGCTGACATTTGGAAGCTTCCATTTGCTCTTGTTATAAAAATGCTGGAGTTCAGAGAGAGATAACTCTACCTTCCTGTCATGAGAAAGTTTCTTTGGGAAACAAGACTCAACTCTCCCAACTCAGACTCGTTATCTCCATCATGGTGGAGGGACCTTGATGGGTTTGGGACAGCCACCATAGAGAGGAGGAATTGGATTCTGACCTTCATCTCCCTTCATCACCTCACAGCTCAACCCTGAGCACAACAGGATACACCCTTGTTGTCTAAGACTTGAACTGTCTTTTTGGGACCTTTCTTGGGCAGATGGAGGAAGCTTTAATACTTATTGGTCCCAGAAGTTACTTTGTTTCTTGAGAGGCAAGAGCTTAAAAGCTTGCAGGCTCTACAATTAGATTGCCTGTTGAAGTCCTGGCTGTGTGAACTGTGTACCTCGGTTTGCTCCTCTGTAAAATGGGGATGATATGGTTTCGCTCTGTCACCACCCAAATCTCATCTTGAATTCCCACGTGTTGTGGGAGGGACCCAGTGGGAGGTAATTGAATCATCGGGGCAGGCCTTTCCCATGCTGTTCTCATGATAGTGAATAAGTCTCATGAGATCTGATGGCTTTATAAGGGGGAGCGTCCCTGCACAAGCTCTCTCTCTGCCTGCTGCCATCCATGTAAGATGTGACTGGCTCCTCCTTCCACCATGATTGTGAGGCCTCCCCAGCCATGTGGAACTGTAAATCCATTAAACCTCTTTCTTTTGTAAATTACCCATTCTCGGGTATGTCTTTATCAGCAGCATGAAAATGGACTAATACAGGGGATAAGAATAATATTTACCTCATAAGGTTATTGAAAAGATAAAATGAGTTGATACACGTAAAAAGTTATAGAGCAGTGACTGGTATAATGTAAGCCCTCAAAAATGTGATGGTCATTATTATTAATGTCATATTTTGGCATTTCTCCCCTTTATTATGTTTCATGAGTTTCTTGTAGCTGATATTGTGAGTTTTGCATTTTAAAAAGTGTTTTGATTTTAGATTTAAAATTATTTCTTTTTAGATATAATTTTCATGCCACAAATGTCACCCATTTAAAATGCACATTTCACTGGTTTTTAGTATATTTATAGTTGTGCAACCATCACCACATTATAATCTTAGAACTTTTCAACACTGTCAAAAGGGACCCCGTATCCATTAGCAGTCATTCCTCTTTCTCCTTCTCTCCACTCCTGCTCCAGGCAACCTCTACTCTACTTTCTGCCTTAATGGATTTGCCTATTCTGGACATTTCATGTACATGAAATTATATATTATGTGACTCTTTTTGTCTGGCTTCTTCCACTTAGCATAATATTTTCAGGGTTCACCCATGTTGTAGCATGTATCACTGTTTTATTCTTTCCTATCGCCAAATAAGATTCCATCTGAATAACATTCCATTATGTGGACATACTACATTTTGTTTATCCATTTATCGGTGGATAGGCCCTAATAAATGATTGTCGTTTCCACTTAGGGCTACTGTAAATAATGCTGCTATGAACATTCATGTACAAGTTGTTGTGTGGACATGTTTTTATTTCTCTTAGGTATAAGCTTAGCAGTGGAATTCCTGGATCACATGGTAACTCATGTTTAACATTTTGAGGAACTGCCCAGCTGTTCTCCAAAGTGGCTACATCATTTACATTCCCACCAGCAATGAATGAGGCTTCCAGTTTTTCCACATCACATTGTGGAAAATGGTTAATTGTATGTATCATCTTGCCTGGGATACAGGGTGCCCAGATAAAACATTATTTCTGGGGGTGTCTGTGAGCGAGTTTCCAGATGAGATTAGTATTTGAATCCATGGACTGGGTAAAGCAGATTGCCCTCCCCAGTGTTGGTGGCCACTATTCAATCCATTGCGAGCCCGGGTAGGATAAAATGTAGAAGAAAGGGGAATTCATTCTTTGAGCTGGGACATCATCAGTTTCCTGCCCTCTATTGGCCCTCTGGTTCTCAGAACTGCACCACTGGCTTTTCTGGTCTCCAACTTACAGACAGCAGCTCATGGGCTTCTCAGCCTCTAATTCTTTATAATAAATCATATGTATATACAGTTGACCCTTGAGCAATGCAGGGATTGGGGTGCTGATCCCCTATGCAGTCAAAAATCCACATATAACTCTTTTGGCTTCTTCAAAACTGATTTACTAATAGGCTTCTGTTGACCACAAGCCTCACCTATAACATAAATGGCCAATTAACACATATTTTGTAAGTTCTATGTATTACAGGCTGTATTCTTACAATAGATTAAGCAAGAAAAAATGGGGTTTTTCCATTTGTCACATATCTCCAAAATTTTTTCCAATATATTTATTGAAAGAAAAACATATAGAAGTGGACGTGTACAGTTCAAACCCATGCTGTTTAAGGATCAATGGTATATATATCCTATTGGTTCTGTTTCCATGGAGAACCCTAACACACTCACTAACACTTGTTATGGTAATATTAACATTTTATAGTTCTTTTTCTTTCTGTTTTTGAAGCTCTGTAATAATTTTTATTTCCTCCACCTAGGTTCATATTCACACACAAAATATGAGAGGACACTCAAGTATAATATTTGCATTGTAGGGTTTTATTATATCATGGAACTTCTGGAATGGAAGGACCTTTTATAGCCATCCTAGTCAGTGTTGAGTACAGTCATCTCTCAGTATCTGAGGAGCATTTGTTCCAGGACCTACCCACAAATACCAAAATTTAACAGAAGCTGAAGTCACTTATGCAAAATGGCATAGTATTTGCATTAGGTTAGTACAAAAGTAATTGTGGTTTTTGCCATTACCAATCTAATAAATAACCTACTGTATTAGTCCAGTCTTATATTGCTATAAAGAAATACCTGAGAACTTGGTAATTTATAAAGAAAAGAGGTTTACTCAGCTCATAGTTCTGCAGATGGTACAGGAAGCATTATGCTGGCATCTGCTCAGCTTCTTGGGAAGCCTCAGGAAACTTACAATCATGGTGGAAGCCTGAGGGGGAGCATGCACATCATGGCAGGAGTAGGGGCAAGTGGGGGAGGTGTCACACACTTGTAAATGACCAGAACTCATGAGAACTCACTCACTGTCATCAGAACAGCACCAAGGCAGTGGTGCTAAATAATTCATGAGAAATCCACCACTATGAGCCAATTACTCCCACAAGGCTCCACCTCCAACATTGGGGATTACAACAGAACATGAGATTTGGGAGGGGACATAGATCCAAACCATATCACCTACGTACAACCTCCTGTGTACTGTACTTTAAGTCATCTCTAGATTACTTATAGTAGTACCTAATACAGTGTAAATGCTATGTAAATAGTTTGCACTGTATTGTTTTTATTTGTTTTATTTTTATTGTTGTATTGTTATTCTTTATTGTTTTGGTTTTTTTCAAATATTTTCAATCTGTGATTGGTTGAATCTGCAGATGCAGAACCTGCAGATGAGAGGGCCAACTGTAGTAAGTCATTGTGCTTTTGATTTGTATTTCCTCATGACTAAATACGTGGAGAATGTTAGCATGTGCTTCTTAGCCATTCTGTATCTTCTTCAGATAAATGTCTATTCAAATCCTTTGCCTGCTTTTTAATTGAGTTATTTGACTTTTGTTATTGAGTTATAAGAGTTCTTTATATCTTGTGGATATATGCCAATATATGTCTTAAAAATATATTCTGCAATCCCAGCACTTTGGGAGGCTGAAGCAGAAGGATCGCTTGAGCCTAGGAGTTTGAGACCAGCCTGGGAAACATAGAGAGACACCATCTCTACAAAAAATTTAAAATATAGCTAGGCATGGTGGTGTGCACCTGTGGTCCCAGCTACTTAGGAGGCTAAAGTTGGAGGCTGGCTTGAGCCCAGGAGGTCAAGGCTGCAGTGAGCGGTAATCAAACCACTGTGCTGTAGCCTGGGTGACACAGTGAGACTCTGTCTCTAAAGAAATAAAAAATGAAAATAGTTTCTCCCATTCTTTAGATTGCTTTTTTACTTTGTTGATGGCATACTTTGATACACAAAGGCATTTTTATTTTGATGCAGTCCAATCTATTTTTTCTTTTATCACTTTCACCATTCACCGTGCTGTTAACTGTGGTTGTGTCATGGATACCCTTTGTTAGGTTGAGGAAGTTTCCTTATACTCCTAGTTTTTAAATTATTTTCACCATGAAAGCATGTTGGATTTTTGCCAAATGCATTTTCTGTGTTCATGAGATGATTATGAGGTCTTTGCCCTTTATTCTATTAGGAGGGAGTATTACATTGATTGAGTTTGGGTAAGTCTATTTTGCATTTCTGGGATAAACATCACTTGGTTTCCCTGTGAAATCCTTTTGTATGTTGCTGGATATAGTTTACTAGTATTTTGTTGAGAACTTTTGCATATTAATCTGAGTTTCGAAGTGTCCTTTCATGTAAATTCTGATATTCAAATTGTTTTCACTTTTCTTATACAGTTTCCAAAAATATTAACATTATATAGTTTTCCTTTCTGTTTTTGAAGCTCTGGAATGTTTTTATTTTTTCCACATAGGTTCACATTCACACATAAAATATAAGAGGACCCTCAGGTGTAATATTTGCATATAGTGTTTTGCTCCATCATGGAACTTCTAGAATTGAAGGACTTTTAATAATCAACTGGGCCTATGATTTTCAACTCTGTTCCACAGTTTCTTAAGATGTTCTGCACATATTTTAAGTTTTTTAAAAGGTATATTTAAATATTTTTAAAACTCTTATATAAAGATAGCACTGACATGTCTTCTGTACCAAACTTTAATATATTGACTATCATGGCCAAAATTAACTTGTGTCCCACTAATTGTCTTTATCAAAGTTATCAAATACTTTTAAATAAAATACAATAAGTAAATGCTTTATGCATCAGGGTTTTGTGGATTATTTCATTTTAAATAAGGCCATTTCTATTATTAGATGAAAAAATTAAAGTGCTGGTCACTTACCCACATTGGAGGCTAAGCTGGGAAGAGAAGCCATCTCTCCTTCCTCTCAGGCCAGTGCCCTTAACCACTTATACTGCCTTTCAAATGTGATTTGAGTCAAACAAAAGATATTTCACTCAGGGTTTTCTCTCTCCATAAGCCTAGGACTCTGCTTCAAATCACCAGGCCTCTTTGCCGGCTGTAGGAATGTCAGTGTGGTGCCCACGTCAGCTCTGTGGGGTGGTTCACAGGTCTCAGGGTAATTAAGTGCTTCAGCACTGGAGAATTTCCCTTCTACCCTGCAGTTCTCAAGCAGGATGGGGGCATAAGGGAAAGGCAATTGGAAGAGTATTTTGGAAAAGTGTTTTAGAAAAGTTTCAAAGTATGTAGACCCTGGGGGAGTTCTTGACTTATCTTTGGAGTTTAATTTGATGAAGCGAGCCTGCCCAGCCTCACATTTACTGATAACTTGCTGAGTGCATTTGTCCAGGGTGATGCTGAGAAGGTTGAGTTTTGGAGGACTGAAATGAATCAGACTCAGACAGAGTCTGAGAAGATTACTTCTGAGAAGTAAGATAGAAGACCCCAGTGATCAGTCTCTGCTGGAGAAAACAGTGGCCTGGGCTAAGTATGCCTGTCCATCAAGACTCTGTACTCTGTCCTGATTGAGATTTCGGCTTGTTTGCCATGGCTTGTGTCCAGACTCGGCACCTCACTAATTGGACCCGCCAAACCCTGGCTGAATAGAGTCTCCTCCCCAAGGATGATGATCATTCAGAACGACTTCCAGTGGACTTACAGTGCATCCATACAGGGCTATGGACACCTCTGTGTTGTCTCTCCATTGTCAGCTGCATTCAGACTTGGAAAATGGTAATGTTTCAAACCACACAAATTGCACCAGGATTAGTTTTGATGTTCAGGTCACAATAAAAAAGAAGACAGAGAACAAACAAACTGAGTGTAAATGGTCAGTTAGTCATCATGAATGGGGAGCAAGGTTTTCTTTCGGAAGCACGTTCAGTCTAGAGCAAGGGGCTCGAAATGTTTGGCCCTCCTTTGTAGTATGTTTGCTCTCTCATAAATTCCCACTTATAAATTCCAAGTGGAATGGAAATTTTCAGTGTGACTCATTCACACAATCATTGTGAGGATCAAATGAGTAAATATGCACTTAAAGTTATTAGAACAGTAACAGGCAAAGATTAAACAATAAATACGTGGCTGTTATTATCAGTGTCGTCATGATGATTCCTCACCAGTTCCTCCATTTATCACACGCTCTACTACCTACTAAATGTATGTGCCGGGTGTTTGAAGAATAAAATGTTTTTTAGGTAAAAGGAGGCAGTTCTTGCCTTTAAGGCTTTTGGAGTCAGTAAAGGAACAAGAAAAGTACAAGAATAACTGGAATACAGTGAGCTGCGTTAAATGCCTGACTACTCAGGCGTCCGGGCCAATGACAGTGGAGAGAGCCCAGGATGAGCACTGGAGTGCAAAAGTCACAGCTGAATCCTTGAAGGTACACAGCAAAATGTGATTGTAAGTGGTACATGTAACACTGTAATGGTAAATGTTGAATAGTGCTAAGTAAATGTGATGGCTTCTCACCTGGGAAGCCTCCTTAATGGTCCCTAAGGCAGAATTAAGGATTTCCTCCCCATCCTGCATTGCACCCATCGTGCCTCTACCTGTATTTCAACACCATTTGCACTACCTTACCCTCACTGTTTAACACGCCTGTTTTCCCCATGCAAATGTTGTGCTCTCAATGGCAGAGATCTGTCTTCCTCATCTTCACAATTCTCAGGACCAGGTATAGTGCCTGGGACATCATTGGCAAGGAGTCAGTAAGGGGGCTGGTGGCAGGGGGACATGCTAGATTTAGTCATGTTGTAAAGAAAATGGAAATTGCCTGAAATGGCATGTTCTTAGCTCTCCAGTTAAGTCCTAGAAAATACACATTCATTTGGGAGATGCTCAAAAACCACTCCTAGACTCACGCCTGGGATCCACTTCAAGGTCACCTTCACAGTTGCAGAATGCATCTTCTTGCTAGTTTTGAAAATTAAAATTCCATTTGTACATTTCCAATCTCCTGCAGTGCCTGTGATAAACAGAACAAGCCATAATGTGGATTTCAGAGTGAGACAGGCCCAGGGGTCCATTTCCTTATCTGCAAGATGAGCATCACTATTCCCTCTTGGGGTTACTGAGGATTCACGCGTGATGGATATGGAAGTGCCTCGCACCCAGGGGGCCCTGGCTAGATGGCAGCTTTCATTGTCCACAGAGCCTCAGGATCACTGATTGTGGTTTCATTATCTCATTGGTGAGTTCTACTCACAAAGAGTTTATCAAGGCAGGGCCAGATGTGAAAACACATGCAGTGGTTGGGTAATCTCTTAAGATGTCATGACTCAAAAACTGATAAATACAGGGAAATAATTGTTTATTCGGCCTTTCCTATAGGAATTGACCAATCAAATAATTAAGAGTAAAATTTTTTCTTTTAAAAATATTTCAGCTAATTGAGGAAGGAATGGTAGAATACCACCAACTTGCAACCTCTAATGAATTGATGGATCTAGCAAATGAACATCAACAGCTGCTAATGTCCCCCAGAGAAATATAAGATCTTATGTACCTTCTGATGGAAGAACAAAGAATCCCCTATGAAATTGTCATGCAAAAAAAAATTAATAAATTGACCAAGCTTCTGGGTACAGCTACCAGTAGTAGATAACATTTTAAAGTTGGAATTAGCAAAAATTCATACTGTAGTAAACTCCATTGGACAAATAATGAAATTTCTACACAAAGAGAAAAACTTTAGAGGTAAAAATACCAAGAAGATATAACAACCAATCAACAAGATTGGTTCCTTATTTGGTTCCTCCTGATTTTTTAATGTATTTTTTCAAAGACAACCATTTATGACACTTATGAGACAATAGGGAAAAAAGATCTTCTGAGTTATCTTAAACTTACATTTCCCTTTAGTGATGTACATTTTGCCCTGTCCTACTCCAACCATTGTTTTCCTGGATAAAGAACATAGAATTAAAAGGGAAACTTGGCTCACTCCTAAACCTTGAGGGACTTGGGTCAAGAGTACAAATGACCCACTTACTGTAGCCCAAATATCTAAAAGTTAAAGATTCTCTTAGCAGTGATACCCACTCCCCTCCAAAACAGAGCCTTGAACAGGGAATGCAGGCAGGCAGTTTATTTGGGGAGTGATTCCAAGGAACAGGAGTAGGGGTCTTGGAGAGGGCAAAAGGGAAAGAGGACAAGCCAACCCAGATGTCCATTATCAAACTGATCGCCACTCTGGGCAACCAGGGGTTCTCCAAGGAGCCAGGTAGAAAGTGTCTCAGAGCCACCTTCCTGAGGGATGGAAGAGTATATTCCCTCAGGCTCCTGCTTCTATTGGTCCAGGGTTGCCCCAAGGATGTTACCCCTTCAGCTTTTGCACATGTATCAGAACGGTGATGTGGTCTCAGCAAGTGTTTCCTGGGGGAAGTAAGGAAGCCCCCAAGGCAGAAGGCCCTAGAATCTGCAGTGTCACTGAGGCAAAGTACATGGGTTACCCAGCATGCAGCTGGTTGCCATAGCAATGGCTGGACTGAAAGGTGGGCAGGAAGGATGCGAGGTAGAGGACCAGAAATGACCATTACATGGACCAAGATAGCACACTGTTAAATCAAATGTGCCCACCCTCCTAAACTGGCAAATACACTGCATTACCACCTGGAGGCCAGGTTCAAACCGAGAGTACTCAGGCCCCTTGGAGTTGAGCCTGAGAGCAGGAAGTCATGAGGAGAGCTGATCTCTGGTTCCCTGCCCACAACCTGCCCCCTTCTGTCCCCAGCCCTAGGTCCACACCACGTCAAAGGGGCCTTGCACAGGAGGCCCTGCACACCTGTCTGTGGACGCCCTGGCCACATCTCCAGGCTCTGTCTCCCCCACCCCCCACAAACAGCTGCTCCTTGGCCATCCTTGGGCCTAGGGGAGTGCAAGCTGGTGCACTCAGGGAGATGGACCAGGGAAGAGTCCCAGGCAGGCTCTAGAACCAGTTGAAAGCCTCTTGGACAGAGAATCTGGGGGTTTGGGGCATTCAGACCATAGCTGGAGCAGGGGCAGGGTTCCCGGTGGGCATGGCCCCTTGATTCTATGGGCTTCTCGACCCTTTGGGAGGGATGTGGCTGGAGGAGGGCCAGCATGGGGTCCTTTAAAGCAGAGACCCCTCCTGCCCAGGCCTAAAGGCAATACCAGTTCCCTCAATGACTTTGCACTCTCAGGTTTTGGAGTCAGACAGATTTTTAGTCAATCCTGGCTCCGGCCTTCAGCAGCAACCTTAAGGAAATGACTCACCTGTCCAGTTTCTTCATTTGTAAGAGAGGGAGGGGGGCTGCTGTGAGGATTAAGTAAGGAAGTGTTGCACAGCACTCACCTGTGGCTGGCACCTAGTGGCCCTCAACAGGAGGCAGGTCTATGGGAGGACAGAGGTACTGCCTCCATGCAATGGCAGTGGGACCAGAGTTTGTGCCCAGGATAGAGAAAGCAGCTGAGGGGGCTGAAGGAAGGGGCACAGGCTGGAGACAATGCACTTTATTTGGTGTAATTTGCCTGGAAATGTACAAAGAAGAGTAATTCGATAGTTTTTCCACAGAGTCCCAAACTTCTTTGAGACTTGCTCTGCACCCCACTTGACTGTCAGCTCCTGGAGGACAGAGCTGCATATAGCTCTCTAATAAAGCCCCAGCTTCTAGCATATTGCCTGGCACATAGTAAGTGCTCAATTAAAAAGTGTTGAATGGACAATTTTGAATTGGATTTATTGCTTTTTTATCTAAAAACATATAAACATTCCATTTTAAAGTATTGAAAATAATGAGGCCGGGGGGAGGTGGGAGACAAGGATTTGGCCAAAGTCTGCATATACTAAGTCAAATAGGGTTGAGTCCTAATGTGGCTTCTGGACCTCACACGTTCTTTGGAAAGTTACATAACCTGTTATAAGCCTCCATTTCCTCATCTATGCAATGAAGACACTAATAGCATCCACCTCAGAGACTCTCATGTTAGAATAAACAATGATGTAAAAAGCTTAGCACATTGACTGGAATAAAATCAGATTTCAATATATTATAACTACTACTATTTGGATAACACACATGAATATGTGTGTTATTTTTATTTTTATTTTATTTTATTTTATTTTATTTATTTTATTTTATTTTTAGTTCTGGGGTACATGCGCAGGACGTGCAGGTTTGTTACATAGGTAAATGTGTGCCATGGTGGTTTGCTGCATCTATCAACCCATCTCTAGGTATTAAGGCCAGCATGCATTAGCTATTTATCCAGTTACTCTCCCTCCCTGCCACCCCTGGAGAGGCCCCAGTGTGTGTTGTTATTCCCCTCACTGTGTCCACCTGTTCTCATTGTTCAACTCCCACTTATAAGTGAGAACATGCAGTGTTTGGTTTTCTGCTTCCGAGTTAGTTTGCTGAGGATAATGGCTTCCAGCTCCATCCATGTCCCTGCAAAGGACATGATCTCATTCCTTTTTATGGCTGCATAGTATTCCATGGTGTATATGTACCACATTTTCTTTATCTAGTCTATCATTGATGGGCATTTGGGTTGATTCCATGTCTTTGCTATTGTGAATAGTGCCACAATGAACATATGCATGCCTGTATCTTTATAATAGAATAATTTATATTCTTTTGGGTATATAACCAGTAATGGGATTACTGGGTCAAATGGTATTTCTGGTTCTGGGTCTTTGAGGAATTGCCACACTGTCTTCCACATGGTTGAACTAACTTACACTCCCACCAACAGTGTAAAAGCGTTCCTGTTTCTCCACAGCCCCACAAGCAACTGTCCTTTTCTTGACTTTTTTTTTTTTTTTTTTTTTGAGACAGAGTCTTGCTCTGTCGCCCAGGCTGGAGTGCAGTGGCGCGATCTCGGCTCTCTGCAAGCTCCACCTCCCGAGCTCACACCATTCTCCTGCCTCAGCCTCCAGAGTAGCTGGGACTACAGGCGCCCGCCACCACCCCCAGAGAATTTTTTGTATTTTTAGTAGAGACAGGGTTTCACCGTGTTAGCCAGGATGGTCTCGATTTCCTGGCCTCGTGATCCACCTGCCTCGGCCTCCCAAAGTGCTGGGATTACAGGCGTGAGCCACCGCGCCCGGCCTTCTTGGCTTTTTAATAATCACCATTATGACTGGCATGAGATGGTATGTCATCGTGGTTTTGATTTGCATTTCCCTAATGATCAGTGACGTTAAGCTTTTTTTCATATGTTTATTAGCCACATAAATGTCTTCTTTTGAGAAGTGTCTTTTCATGTCCTTTGCCCACTTTTTTTTTTTTTTTTTTTTTTTGAGGCAGAGTTTTGCTCTTGTTGCCCAGGCTGGAGTGCAATGGCACTATCTCGGCTCACTGCAACCTCTGCCTCCCGGGTTCAAGTGATTCTCCTACCTCAGCCTCCCGAGTAGCTAGGATTACAGGCGCCTGCCACCACGCCCAGCTAATTATTTGTATTTTTAGTAGAGATGGGGTTTCACCATATTGGCCAGGCTGGTATCGAACTCCTGACCTCAGGTGATCCACCTGCCTCGGCCTCCCAAAGTGCTGGGATTACAGATGTGAACCACTACACCCGGCCTGCCCACTTTTTAATGTTGTTTTTTTTTTCTTGCAAATTCATTTAAGTTCCTTATAGATGCTGGATGTTAGACCTTTGCCAGATGGGTAGATTGCAAAAATTTTCTCCCATTCTGTAGGTTGTCTGTTCACTCTGATGATAGTTTCTTTTGCTGTGCAGAAGCACACCTGAAATTAATTAGATCCTGTTTGTCAATTTTTGCTTTTGTTGCAATTGCTTTTGATGTTTTTGTCATGAAGCCTTTGCCCGTGCCTGTCTTGAATGGTATTGCGTATATTTTCTTCTAGGGTTTTTACAGTTTGGGGTTTTACATTTAAGTCTCTAATCCATCTTGAGTTAATTTTTGTAAAAGGTGTAAGGAAGGGGTCCAGTTTCAATTTTCTGCATATGGCTAGCCAGTTCTCCCAGCACCATTTATTAAATAGGGAATCCTTTCCCCATTACTTGCTTTGGTCAGATTTGTTAAAGATCAGATGGTTGTAGATGTGTGGTCTTATTTCTGAGTTTTCTAGTCTGTTCCATTGGTCTATATCCCTATTTTTGTATCAGTACCATGCTGTTTTGGTTACTATAGTCTTATAGCATAGTTTGAAGTTGGGTACCATGATGCCTCCAGCTTTGTTCTTTTTGTTTAGGATTGTCTTGGCTATACAAGCTCTTTTTGGTTTCCATATGAATTTTAAAGTAGTTTTTTCTAATTCTGTGAAGAATGTCAATGGTAGTTTAATGGGAATAGCATTGAATCTATAAATTACTTCGGGAAGTATGGCCATTTTCATGATAATGATTTTTTTCCATCCATGAGCATGGAATGCTTTTCCATTTGTGTCCTCTCTGATTTCTTTGAGCAGTGGTTTGTAGTTCTCCTTGATAAGGTCCTTCACTTGCCTTACTAGCTATATTCCTAAGTATCTGACTCTCTTTGTAGAAATTTTGAGTGGAAATTCATTCATGATTTAGCTCTTTGCTTGTCTGTTGATGTATAGGAATGCTTGTGACTTTTGTATCCTGACACTTTGCTGAGGTTGCTTATCAGCTTAAGAAGCTTTTGGGCCAAGATGATGGGGTTTTCTAGATATAGGATCTAGAAGACATCCTTATCTTGTGTCAGTTTTCAAGGGGAATGCTTCCAGATTTTGCCCATTCAGTATGATATTGGATATGGGTTTGTCATAAATGGCTTTTATTATTTTGTTATTTCTTATTATTTTATTATTTTGAGGTATGTTCCATCAATACCTAGTACATTCCTATGTACATTCCTAGTACAATACCTATGTACATTCTGTTGTTTTCGGGTAGAGAGTTCTGTAGATATCTATCAGATCCACTTGATCCAGAGCTGACTTCAAGTCCTGAATATCCTTGTTAATTTTCTGTCTCGATGATCTGTCTAATATTGACAGTGGGGTGTTAAAGTCTCCCGCTGTTATTGTGTGGGAGTCTGCATCTCTTTGTAGGTCTCCAAGAACTTGTTTTATGAATCTAGGTGCTCCTTTATTGGGTGCATATATATTTAAAATAGTTAGCTCTTTATGTTGAATTGATACTTTTACCATTATGTAATGCCCTTCTGTGTTTTTTGATCTTTGTTGCTTTAAAGTCTGTTTTGTCAGGCTGGGTGTGGTGGCTCATGCCTGTAATCCCAGCACTTTGGAAGGCCAAGGTGGGCAGATCACTTGAGATCAGAAGTTCAAGACTAGCCTGGCCAACATGGTGAAACCTCATCTCTACTAAAAATACAAAAATTAGCCAGGCATGGTGGCATGGGCGTGTTATCCCAGCTACTAGGGAGACTGAGCTAGGAGAATCACTTGAACCCAGGAGGTAGAGGTTGCAGTGACCCGAGATTGCACCACTGCACTCCAGCCTGGGCAACAGAGCAAGACTCCATCTCAAAAATAAATAAATAAATAAATAAATAAAGTCTGTTTTGTCAGATACTAGGATTGCAACCCCTGCTTTTTTCTCCTTTCCATTTGCTTTGTAAATTTTCCTCCATCGCTTTATGTTGAGCCCATTTGTGTCTTTGCACCTGAGATGGGTTTCTTGAATACAGCACACTGATGGGTCTTGACTCCTTATCGAGCTTGCCATTCTGTGTCTTTTAATCAGGACATTTAGCCCATTTACATTTAAGGTTAATATAGTTGTGTATGAATTTGACCCTGTCATCATGATGTCAGGTGGTTATTTTGCAGGCTTGTTGAGGTTGCTGCTTCATAATATCGTTGGTCTTTGTATTTCAGTCTGTTTTTGTAGTGGCTGATAACAGTTTTTCCTTTCCATAGTTAGTGTTTCCTTCAGGAGCTCCTGCAAGTCCTGGTGCTGATGAATCCCCTCAGCATTTACTTGTCTGAAAAGGATTTTATTTCTCCTTTGCTTATGAAGTTTAGTTTGGCCAGATAGGAAATTCTGGGTTGCAAATTCTTTTCTTTAAGAGTATTGAATATTGGCCTCCAATCTCTTCTGGCTTGTAGGGTTTCTGGGGAGAGGTCCACTGTTAGTCTGATGGGCTTTCCTTTGTAGGTGACCTGGCCTTTCTCTCTGGCTGCCCTTAACATTTTTTTTTTTTCAGTTGGGGTCCTGCTCTGTCACCCAGGCTGAAGTGCAGTGGTGCAATCTCAGCTCACTGCAACCTCCGCCTCCCCGGTTCAAGCGATTCTCCTGCCTCAGCCTACTGAGGTCCAGTGGCTCGCTCCTATAATCCCAACACTTTGGGAAGCCGAGGCAGGCAAATCACTTGAAGTTAGGAGTTTGAGACCAGCCTGGCCAACATGGTGAAACCCTGTCTCTACTAAAAATACAAAAATTAGCTGGGCATGGTGGCATAAGCCTGTAATCCCTGCCCTTAACATTTTTTCCTTCATTTCAACCTTGGAGAATCTGATGATTATGTGTCTTGAGGTTGATCTTCTCATGGAGTACCTTATTGGAGTTCTCTGGATTTCCTGAATTTGAATGTTGGCTTGTCTTGCTAGGTTGGGGAGGTTCTCCTGGATGATACCCTGAAGTGTGTTTTCCAACTTGGTTCCATTCTACCCATCTCTTTCAGGTACCCCAATCAGTCATAGGTTCAGTCTTTTTACATAATCCTGTAGTTCTCAGAGGTTTTGTTCATTCTTTTTCATTTTTTTTTCCTCTAATCTTGTCTGCCTGTCTTATTTCAGCAAGATAGTCTTCAAGCTCTGAAATTCTTTCCTCTGCTTGGTCTATTTGGCCATTGATACTTGTGAAGTTCTCGTGTTGTGTTTTTCAGAACCATCAGGTCATTTATGTGGCTCTCTAAACTGGTTACTCTGGTTAACAGCTCCTGTAATGTTTTATCATGGTTCTTAGCTTCTTTGCATTGGGTTAGAACGTGCTCCTTTAGCTCAGCAAAGTTTGTTATTACCCACTTTCTGAAGCCTACTTCTGTCAGTTAATCCATCTCGGCCTCAGCCCAGTTCTGTGCCCTTGGTGGAGATGTGTTGTGATCATTTGGAGGAGAAGAGGCACTCTGGTTTTTTGAGTTTTCAGCATTTTTGGCAGATTCTTTCTCATCTTCATGGGTTTATCTTGTTTTGGTCTTTGAGGCTGCTGACATTTGGATGGGATTTTTGTGGAAACTTTTTAGTTGATGCTGTTGCTGTTGTTGCTTTGTTTATTTCTCAATAGTCAGACCCTTCTTTTGTAGGGCTGCTGCAGTTTGCTGGGGATCCTCTCCAGACCCCATTCACCTGGATCCCTCCTGCCCCTGGAGGTGTTACCAGTGGAGGCTGCAGAACAGCAAAGATGGCTGCCTGCTCCTTCATCCGGGAGATCCGTCTCAAAGGGGCGCTGACCTGATGCCGGCAAGAACGTGCCTGTTTAAGATTTCTGCTGACCCCTGTTGAGGGGTCTCACCCAGTCAGGAAGCACAGGATCAGGGACCCACTTAACAAAGCACTCTGGCTGACTCTTAGCAGAGGGCATGCGCTGCACTTGCGGGGGATCCCACTCATCCAGACTGCCCGATTCCTTAAAGCCAGCCAGGGGAGAGACCAAGTCCACTATTCAGTGGATACCACAGCAGCCCCTCCCCGCAAGGGGCTCCATCCCAGGGACATCCAGCCCCTGGCTGGGGTTGCTGAAATTCCAGCGGGGAGGCCCTGCCTGGTGAGGAGGGATGGGTCTGGGTTTAGCCTAAAGAGGCAGTCTGGCCACGATCTGCCACAGCCGCTATGGTGCACTGTGGGGAATTCCTCCTGGGCCCAAACTGCCCAGTCTCCACGACTCCAGCAGGGGAAAATGGCAGACTGGAACTCCAGTGATGGCGGCCACCCCTTTCCCCAGGAGCTCGGTAGTCTTAGGCAGTCTCCAGTGTAGAGGCCGCCAAGAATCTGCACAGCTCTGTGCTTGAGACCCAAGGCCCTGGTGGTGTGGGCTCACGAGGGAATCGCCTGATCTGTGGATAGCACAGATCCATGGAAAAAGCGTGGTTTCCTGGGTAGGGTAGCACAATCACTCACCGCCTCTTTTGGCTGAGAATGAGAGGTCCCCTTGCCCTGTGCCGCTCCCAGGTGGGCAGGCGCTCCACCCTGCTTGTCCTCACTCTCCTTGGGACTGCCTAGTCAGTCCCACTGAGAGAACCTGGACACCTCAGTTGCTGGTGCAGGATTCACTCACCATTTTCATTCTCCTTGGTGAGAACCTCTGACATCAGCTGTTTTTTTTCTTTTTTTTCTTTTTTTTTTTTTTTTATTGAGACAGAGTCTCACTGTGTCCCCCAGGCTGGAGGGCAGGAGTGCAGTGGCGCGATCTCGGCTCACCGCAAGCTCCGCCTCCCGGGTTCACACCATTCTCCTGCCTCAGCCTCCCGAGTAGCTGGGACTACAGGCACCCACCACCACGCCCGGCTAATTTTTTGTGTTTTTAGTAGAGACAGAGTTTCACCATGTTAGCCAGGATGGTCTCAATCTCCTAACCTTGTGATCCAGCCGCTTCGGCCTCCCAAAGTGCGGGGATTACGGGCGTGAGCTACCCCGCCCGGCTGACCTCAGCTGTTTCTAGTCAGCCATCTTGGTCCCTCCCCGGATTTATTACTTTTAATGAGTACAATTTCTTATGTTGGTCCTAAAGTTTTGCAGGCATCTCAAACTGGAATCATTCTCTTTCTCTAACGTGCTTCCCCCCTAGTTCCCTGTCTCAATGGGCAGGCAACACCCCCCATCACCCCAGCTGTTGGGGCACTGTGTTCAGCACCTCTTCCTCCCCACCCCTTATACCTAAATTGCCATGTCCTGGCAACTCTACCCACTTGCTATCACTACCACAAAGCTAGTTCAGGCAGTTGTTCTCTCTCCCCTAAGAAACTGTGGCAATTTTTTAGCTGCTCACCTCACAGGGAACTCATGTTCCCTGAATACATCCTCCCTGGTCTAGCCAGAGTGGCCTGTACACACCTGACCACATTCCTACTGGGCTTTAGGGTAAGGCCCAAGCTCCTGGGCACAACCTGCAAAGCCTGTTGTAGCACCTGCCCCACTGCACTGTCAGATCCTTGAGAACAGGCTTCGTTTTATTTCTCTTTATAGCTCCTATGATCAGCCAGAAACTCACTCATTGTTACATAAGTGAATAAAGTGTTTAAAAATCAAAACAATGTTTGATCTATTGAGAAAACCAGAATATTTAAACTCATAGACTTAAACTATCAAACATCAGAGACAAGTCAGGACCCTGCTGAGCCGATGGCTGCCCTTTTGTAACTGGCAGAGGGTTGGCCAAATGTGCATGGCCACACCAATGGCTCCTGTCTCTGACCTTCCTTTGGATTTGGAATTAACTGAGTCCTGGAGTGAGTCCCTGGGCTATTTCTAGAAATTGCCATCTTTCTCCGGAGTGGTCTCCACTGACATCTGACACACTTAAACGATGTGGCTGCTCAAGAGAGCCTGTGCTAATCTATTTTAGAGAAACCATCCTCAGAAATGCATCTTCCAGTGAAAGACTTATCCAAAAATCATGGAACTGGCCAATCACACCAGCCCTGCTCTCACATAGGCTTTCTTTTCAATCACAGGGGCACCTTCCAATGTTTGCCAAAGAGAAAATGTTCATGACCTGATTTCTGGCACAAGTGTAACTGCCCAAGGGGTTCACCTTCCCCACTGCCTAGACAGAGCCAACTTATCAAGACAGGGGAATTGCAACAGAGAAAAAGTAATTCACACAGAGCTGGCTGTGCAGGAGACCAGAGTTTTATTATTACTCAAATCACTCTTCCCAAAACTCAGGGATCAGGGTTTTTAAGGATAATTTGTTGGGTAGGGGGCCAGTGAATCGGAAGTGCTGATTGGCTGGCTTAGGGATGAAATCACAGGGAGTTGACTCTGTTCTCTTATGCTGAGTCAGTTACTGGGTGGAGGCCACAGAACTGGTTGGTAGGTCAAGGTGTGGCCATCCGGTTGTTAGAAATGTGAAAACCTGAAAAGACATCTCAAAAGGCCGATCTTAGGCTCACAATAGTGACGTTGCCTTTAACAGTAACTGGGGAAGTTGCGAATCTTACGACCTCTGGAATAATGGCTGATAATATTTAGAATTCCAGCCCCTCTCATTCTAACTTGGTGGCTGTTGGGCTTTTAGTTGTTTTACAAAAACAGTTTAGCTTTGGGAAAGGGCTTTAATTTAAATTATAAATTAAATTCCTTCCCAAGGCTAGTTCGGCCTACGCCCAGGAATGAATAAGGACAATTTAGAGGTTAGAAGCAAGATGGAATTGGTTAGGTCTTATGTCGTTCACTGACATAATTTTCTTAGTTACAATTTTTCAAGACGATTTCACAAGGATTGTGCCACATTGACAGGTGGATCTATCTTTCATTGGACAAGCTACTTAACATCTCTGACGCTCAGTTTATTCATCTTTAAATGGGAATAAAAATAATAAGTACCTCACAAAGTTACTGTAAGGATTAATGAGATGAATCGTGTATTGGGTTTAGCATTATATTGTAAAGGTTTTCTGAATGTCACATATGGTCCTTTTTTTACATGTTGTCTTAAAGCAAGATTTGAGGGAGCAGTGGAAATAGGTGCCAAATTATAAGATAAAAATAAGGAAACAAGAAAACCAGGGTCAAGAGGGACACTGCATCATCTCAAAGAATCATGAGGGCTTCACCTTCCTTATATCACATACCAACTTGGCCCTTCATTTATTTATTCATTCACTCATTCAGTACTTAACTCTGAGCATCTCTTCAGCATGGTAGCATAAACAAATGAGTAAAAGACTTTGTGCCTTATGCTAGAAAGAAGAGCCTGGAGATGTCCAACTAAAACTCACTGCAGCAGGAACTACAAGAGACAGCAGAGGGTGTGCCTGCCAGGGCTTGCAGGGGGGCCGCGTGCGGTAGCCCTTGCCCTTGATGAGCTGGGTTTGCAGTTACTTTCCTGTCCTGATGACGTGTCTGCTTTGTGTTCACATTTTAGCAATCATCTGGGGGGCTAAATGTGACAAACCGAGAAGATGGCCAAGATCAACACCCAATACTCCCACCCCTCCAGGACCCACCTCAAGGTAAAGACCTCAGACCGAGATCTCAATCGCGCTGAAAATGGCCTCAGCAGGTAAGATGGGCTAAGATGGGCTTTTCATTTTATGCCTGGCTCTGGTCATTTCCACAGCTGATCTAGACTGTGGGGGAAGAATGCCTTCACGTTGGCCAGCCACAGGTCAGAGGGCAGGGGAGGTATTCACAGCACTGCCAACTTCATTTTTCATCTCACTTAATCCTCACAACCCCCAGAAAGTAGTCTGTATTCTTGTTTTAGAGATGTGGAAAAGCAGGCTTAAATAGTCACTTAATTGCTATAAGGTAAGAAAATGAAGACTCAAATGCAGCAGACTAAATTTTACTGTAAGAACTTCCTCAAACTGACACACTCTCCCATGTATTCATCAAAAATGTGTTGGACTCTTGCTGTGCACCAGCCACTGAACTGGGTTTGCAGTCTGAGCTGGGCACCAAAGATGTAGCATGAATCAGATGCCCTGCCCTCGCTTCCAGGGGAAGATCTGGAGGCAGGCCATGCCCAGGGCCTGTATAGGGAGTGGGCAGTGCCCCTTGTCAGCCAAGCCATCAACCCCATCAATGACATCCTGACACAGGTAGGAAATGGAAATCTGGAGCCTTAAGCTCTACTTCTAACCCTCTTCCTAACTTACTAGTAGACCTGGGAAAACGCATTTAACCACTCCATGCCTCAATTTCTTCACAATGAAACAGCATTTTTTCCAAGCTCCTGGTATAATAGTGAGGACACCCGAAGGGACCTATTTACTGTACATAGAGCTAAACCCTTATGTTTCTTTGTTTTTAGTTTTTTCCTTTTTGTTTTTCGTGACAGAGTCCCACCCTGTCACCCAGACTGGAGTGCAGTAGTGCAATTAGTGCAATCTCGGCTCACTGGGTTCAAGTGATTCTCCTGCCTCAGCCTCTCTAGTAGCTGGAATTACAGGCACCCACCATCACACCCTGCTAATTTTTGTATTTTTAGTAGAGACAGGGTTTTGCCATGTTGGCCATGTTGGTCTCGAACTCCTGACCTCAGGTGATCCACCTGCCTCAGCCTCCCAAAGTGCTGGGATTACAGGTGTGAGCCACTGCACCCAGCCATGTTTGTTAAATGATTAATGAGATGATTGAGTTGAAGCATGAGCAACTTTCTTTCCAATGTTTCTGTTATTTTTGCCCTATATATATAGAATTGAAAACTTCTCCCCACTATGCAGCTTAAATGCACACTGTCTGATGGCCCCAAAATGCAGTAACATCCCTCAGTCCCCACCTCCCTGCACTGGGCCCTCGTGCCTCATTTCTTCTCATTCATTTGTGTTCATCACTTCCTCTCCCAAAGGCACATTTGGTTGTTTCTCTGTCTACACTCTTGGTCCCAGCTCCTCAGCAAACTCTGCTAATAAGTGATGGTCAATAATTTTCAAAGAGATTGAGTCCCCATTATGGCAAACCCACACAGCCCTTGAACCCCACCTTCTGAGATTTCGGCAATGGAAGGAAGATCCCAGAGCATCCCAACAGATATTTATTTCCTCCAACCATTTTAACTCGGTGCTGGGGCCCCAGGAAGTGTGATATGGCTTCAGAGGCATCAGAAAGTTCCATCCTACTCAAATACCTTTCTCCTAACTAGCCCTTTGTCAATGCCTGCGTCGCACCACTGGAGACTTAGTCCTCTAAGTTAAGGCATTGCTCCTTATTTAAAAGAACAAAGAACACTATTAGGACCTTGAAACGTCTGTATGTTTTAATAGTTTATTTCCCATGTGTGAGCTAATAAAGCCCCTTGAAGGGGGTTTCAAAGAGAGGGTCGGGCATCAGGGAGAAGGAGCCCAAGAATGAGGCACAGCATAACATCACGATCCTGGGATCCTGGGCCCAAGACCTTGGGAGAAGGACCAGAGGCTGTCAGGATCAGGAAGATTTTGAAGCAGAATGGAACTTTTCCTCTTTGCACCCAACTTGCCTGGAGTGGGGCATGACCCAAGCATGTCATGGAGCTTCCAGATTCCCTAAAGGCAGAGAAGGCAGTAGTGGGATCTCAGTCCGGCTCCTTCCGGTGAGATACCCACTGGAGTAGGCACCCAGAAGAAGGCAGTCCTGGTCTGCAGGCTGCTGCGGCTCCTGCCCACAATGTCTGCCTGACTTGACAGCACCGTGGTCCTGCTGACTCACCCTGGTTCTGCTTTGGCCAGTGACCTCCAAGCCCAGCTTGACCTGTATCCTGTTGAAGCTTGCAAGGCCTCTTAGAAGATGACCATTTGCAAAATGAATTGCTAGCTTGTTAAGCCATGCTAATAGCAGCCACTGGCCTCTGGCTTCTGGCAGACTCTCTGCAGGCTCACTCTGGAATGCACACTGACAAGGGTCACAGCACCTCTAGGGATCAGCCACATGGTCAGGGGCTCTGAACTGACGTCTTGAGATAATGCTATTTGTCGTCTGCATGGGTGAGAAAAGGTCCTCCCTTCTCCTTCCTTTGCACTTTCTGTGACCAGAATGATGGTTTAACAGCACAAGCTTGGGGTCAGACTGCCTGGGATTGGACACTGGCTCTGCAACTGACCTGCTATGAAAAGTTGCTCAGTGGCTCCAAGCCTCAGTTTTCTCATCTGCAAAATGAATCAGTACTAATATTGCCCTCCTAGGGTTGTGGTGAGGTTACTGCAGATGTGAATGCAGAGGTCCTGGCACAGTCCCTGCTATGTGGTTAAGTGCTCAATTGACTCCCACTCCCGGTCTTGGAAATGATTACTTCTTCCTGTGGCCCTTCTCTGGTCTCTTCTCCTTGACCTCAGATAGCCGCATTTCCTGCCTGTGTCCAAGCCCTGCTGTTTCAGCCTGACCACCAGCCGAGGCTTACTGAACTCCACTCAGGTCTCGGCCCCACCCTTCACATGGTAAATTGACAGATTAATACAGTATCCCGTGGAAACACCACTGAGATTTCAAAATGAGAGACAGAAAGAGTGCTTCCTTTATGAAAGAGCTATGCTTTATCTTACAGAGGCGAGACTGGCTTTAACAGCCAGAAATTTTCAGAATGTTCCTTGGAGTCACCAAGGAATGACAGTGTGTACTCAGGATGGGGTACAGCAGCCTCAGGGATGGAGGCTGGGCCCAGCCCCTCCCCTGCTTCCCAGCCCAGCCCAGCATCTGTCTATCCACCGATGAGGTCTCTATGTGAGACTGATTTGAACAAAGGACTCAGGCACATACCACGCAAAAATTTTTAAGTTTCAAATCACTATTTTGGAGCCAGGAGAAATAGTGTTTGGACAAGTCACACCTCTTTGTCTTGAAATTCCAGTCCTTTTAGAAAGCTTTATGAGACAAATGATTGAGAATTGGGGTACACGAACGTTAATCGCTCTTTATCTTCAGTGATATCAAGAAGCCTGCACTGGAAACCTGCGTGTGGGTATGGCCCCTCGCTGAGTGCCCCCAAGAGGAAGGCATAGCCAAGTCTCTGTCCCCTGAGACTTCCCTGCCCCAAGGTCTTTTCACCAAATTGGAGGGCCAGTTTTTAAGTTATTGGAATTATTTTTATAGTGGAAAGTCATAGGGAAGAATGAAAACATTTCATTTGAATGAAAACATTTTACACCCTGAAAATACCAAAAATAAGTCTGAGTTTTCATTTCTACTTAGATCTTTTTAGTTGGCTCAATTATTTAAGAACTGTCTGGCATATCTGTGAGGATAAGGCAATAGAAACAGGCTATTCTCTGCTGCAGAGAATTGCAGCTAGGACTGAGGGCAACTTAAATCCCAGATCCATCTCCTGGCGTAGCAATTTTGAATGAGCTTTGGGGCACGGGGGTTTGTGTCTGACAGAAGAGTGGTCTTCTTGTGTTACTCCCTGAGCAGAGCCCAAAGCAATTACCACCAAAGAAAACCATTTTCATCCCACTTCTCCAGGACCAAAGGCTTAAAAATGCATTGGCTTCAGTCCCCCACCACATGTGGCCAATAGCAGTGGGTTCCAATCATTCAAGTTCCTCAGGGCTTAAGAAGAGGAAATTAAAGTGTCGTATTCCCCAGCCTTGTGCTGAAAGGTCACCTCTGTTTACTCTCATGTCCCCAAAACTATCTTGCTGGAAAACATCAGATGCTTCACCAAGTGCAAAGTTAATTTCCAGTTCCAGTTCTCATGGGAGCCCCTGTCCTCGCCCAGTCACAAGAAACCTTCACCTTACCAACGTTAATTCCTCTGTGCAAATAAACGTAGAACTTGAGCATTACAAGGTGAAAATTATGTTGTCTTTCAAAGCAGTCTCTCCATTCTACTAGTTGTTCTTGTTCTTGCCAACTACCAACATCAGGGGGGCCTCTTCCTTGGAAGGCATCGACCCCACATGGGATCTTAGAATAGCAGCCCACACGTGGGAGGGAAGCTCCAGGGTTGTCCTGGCCTGGTCTGTTCATTTTACAGAGACTGAGGTCCTGTAAAGCCATTGCCCCAGGCCCTTCCACCAGCCACAGGCAGAACAGAGCCTGGCCCCACGACTCTCATTTTCCATTCCTGCATTAGTCGCCAAAAGCATCTCCTTTTTTTCGGTACCTGTGTGTCCTTGGGGACTCCAAATGTCACCTCAGACATCAGTTCCTCTCCTCTCTTCCCACCTCCCCTCCATCTGCCTGGTAAAATCAGTTTCTGGGAGAAGTAATTAATGAAGTTTACTATGTAAACACCCCCAGGCATTTAATATGGGTAAAGCTCTGGAGCTAAAAGAAAGACATTGATCTAATGGAATTTCAGGCATTGAGAAGGAAGTGGGGCAACGCATAGGGAAAAAATGGGCCCCCCCATCAGGCCCCTGGAACTTGCATCATGTAAGGATCTCCCTGTTCTTCACGGCCAGTTGTGCCTTTCTGGTAACTGAAATCCACATGAAATTGCCAACTTTTGCTTTATTTGCTTTGTGAAGATCAGGAAACTTAAGCCCAGAGAGGGTAAGTGACCAGCCCACAGAATACTCAGCCTGCAGGTGCTGGAGCAGGGACTCAAACCAGGACCTGCCACCTTTCCACTCTGCCTCCTCCCCCTGAGTGGGCATCATAGATCCCGCCCATATGCAACAGCTCTCGCTGCTGCTGGTTGCAGGCCTGCTTTGCAATCCTGGGTGGGTTTTGCCTTCCTCACCCACTCACCAGCTCTGATGTTATCTAATTCATTTGCCGCGAATGCAAATAAATCTGGTCTCAGGATGTGCCCTCATGCAATTAGCAGGAACCAGACTACGCTAAAACGCTGGGCCGACTGCTTGGTGCCTAGAGCTCCCTGAGGAGCTGCTGGTGGCGGCAGAACACCTCCATCCTTGGGATTGCCTCCAGATCTTCCAGGCACACAGGCTGTGACAGGGCCCCCGCCCAGCTGTCAGCTGCCATCACCACCACCCCCATGCCAGCTTCTCGAATCCAAGGACCTCTGCCACCTCCTCCTGCAACCAACCTAGGTGCATTGGAACATGCATCCTGCCTTTATAGTATACAGAATATGAAGCGGGCAAGGGAATTGTAGCTTCTGGACTGCAGCAGGGTCTCTGACAGGGTCTTTTATGTGTACACAAATGAGATGAGAGTGGGTTTCTTATGAGTATAAGGGGAGAATTCAATCAGGTGGTTTGAAAATAAAGAGCCATGCCTATGGTACAGCCATATGGATTACAGCAATGTCTCTAGTGGCATGCCACAGGGCTCAGTCCTCAGCCATCCTATTAATTTCCTTTTCATCTGTGCCATATATGAAAATACAGGGCAGCTTCATGGAGTGGATGACAGCAAGTTTTGAAATGGGATGGAATAACATTGGAATCTCGGCTGTACCACCTGGCTATGGGATCTCGGTGAAGTTGCTTAACCTTTCTGAACTCCCATTTCCTCTCTTACAGGGTTGTTGTGTGGATGAAATGATAAAATGTATGTGGCTGGCATACAGAAAAGAGCCACTGAATGGCATGTGGTTTGTGTATTTTGTTTGTGAGTAGGATGGTGTTGGGAGGAAAGGTGAGTGTGTTCTCTGCATACCAATGCTTCCAAAACATCGAGTTACTCAGATCAGTGGGAAGGTCCAATACTTAATTCCAAAAAAAATCAATTGCGCATACACAAGCCGGGGTCCTCTGGCTGGCAGCAGCCTGTGTTACAGGACTGCTTTGGGTTTTCGCTGACTGTAGCTGGTGACCATCAAAAACCACCAGAAACACACAAAGCAATAAAGTCTTCCCAGAGTCTGCCCAGTCAAGCAAGACCCCAGGAACTTGCTCACAGGAGAAGGACCATGACAAGGAAGAGACTTGACCCCAAGGAGGAATTGCTGGGTGAGCTGGGGGTTCTGGCCTGGAAACCCAGAAGTCACACAGGTCCTGGTCATGGAAGGTAGAAGACGAAGCTACCTGACTCCCGGTGGTTCCAGCAGAAAACAGCCTCAATGTGGGGAGGCTGAGAGAGGGAAGAATCTGTGGGCAGGTGGCGCAGTCAAGAGACAGCCCAGGCAGACCGGGGCATGGGAGTGAGCTCCCTGTTGCTGGAAAAGGCAGGGAGGAATCTGTAGAAGAGGAGAAGCAAGCAGCAGCCTGGCCACCGTGATGCAAGGACTCTGACTTCTAATCAATCACCAGGGAGAGACTGAAGCTTTTCCCTGGTATTAATTCTTGCCTCCTTGTTAAGAAGGCTAATTGGGTTGGAACAGGTCATGTGATAGAATTAATTTGTCTTGCCTGGGCTCCTCAAGACTCATAGACTGAAGTGCAAATCCCTAGAGGCTAATGCCTGGCTGGCTTTTAATCAGGCTGATCAAACTTCAGCCCCAGGAGGTTTAAAAGAAAGGAAAATATTCCCAGACGCATTCCTAGTCTTATTCCAGGCAATTCAACCAGACTCTGCTGGTGTGACTGGTGGTTGTATGGAGTTACGGGCACCTGTCCTTTCTGGGGTCACACTTTCCACAATGGGTTGCACAAGGGGAGTCACCACACCTTACCTCTGCCTTGCAGGAGAGAGAGCCTAGAGTTTGGCAAAAGGGACGAGGGGAAGTGGAGTCTCATTTGAAAGCACTGTACAAATTATTTGAACTGCATGTGGAGAGCTAGGCCAGTTCTGTGCAATATTCCAGGGCCTCCGTGTTAACCAGCGGGTTCCCAGGAAGCCTGCCAGACAAGCCCACAAACAGCTGCCCAGGCAGTGTGGCTGCAGCACACGCAGTGGGAAGGGAGGCTCAGAAAGACCCCTAAGGAGCGGGTATTCAATCTAGCCTCAGAAGATGAAATTCAGTAGGCGAGAAGTGTTGGAACCAAAATCCTCGTTCTGGAGTCATTTTATGGAAGCAGCTGCTTTGGCTTGAAATGGCAAGCCCCGGGACCTCTCCCCACCCAGTGCTTTGATGAGGGCCAGGCCAGCATGTACTGCCACCTTCCCGTCCTTTCACCTAGCCCTGGACAGTAGCTACCTTCCTTGCTGTAAAGGAAAGGCCACGTTTATACCAAAATCCAGAATCTATCTGCAGGAGGCAAAGGGAAGTGGGGAGCCCCTGGGATGAGGATCTGTGAGGGTGGCTTTCCCTGCTAAGCAGAACATCTGACTGTCTCACTCCTGGCTGTGTCCAGGAGGTAGATGGGCTTGAAATCAATTCTGCTTGCTGCATATCTGATTTCCTAGAGCCCACTCGTCAAGTGAGGAGACATCGTCAGTGCTGCAGCCGGGGATCGCCATGGAGACCAGAGGACTGGCTGACTCCGGGCAGGGCTCCTTCACCGGCCAGGGGATCGCCAGGTAACTGACCAGCCTCAGTCCCTACCTTGGCCTGGGGGACACTGTTGCAGAAAGAAGGTAGTGACCTCTCAGGAAAAAGTGCTAGATGGGGGTGGAGTTGAAGATTTGGAAAAGAAAGGGTCAGGAGCAGAGCAGCCTGAAAACTATCAGTGAGTAATTTCCTCTTGGGTCAGATGTTCTGAGCTCAGAAAAGTCTAAGGAAAACTGCCTTTATCTGAAATTGCTTAATAAAAGCTGACATTGAGGTACTTGCTCAGGTTTGGAAGAATTCAGAAAAAAAGCCAACCGGAGAAGGTGGTAAGAGCAGCCAGCCGTGGGAGACCTTTGATTGGGTGGACACAGTGGTGTGCTGAGGATGGTGGTGATGAGTCTGAAATGGCTCTGGCAGGGTCTCCCGGGTGCTCGTCTGGACCCCAGGGCAGGTAGGTGTCCTTGCAAAAGCATTTGTTTGCAAGATTAGTGAGACTCCAAGCTCTGCTTCCCCCTGATGACATCCGTACTCCAGCTTCAACAGCTGCTCCATCCTGAGGAAGTCATTTCACCTTTTCAAATCTCATCTAGAAATGCATCTAACAGTGCCTACCCCACAGGTGGCTTGAAAGCTGCTTCAGAGCCAAGCACCGACTCACGGCAGGTGCTCAACAAACACCAGGCTCATTATTTCCTTCCACCACGTGGTTTTTTCCAATGCCAGAGTCTTACATAGTCACATGTTCTAAACTTTTTACTTAAGATTATCACAAAAGAAATTCACATATCTATTTATTCTTCATGCTTTTCATTATGAAGGATGCTACTCCACCATTGTTTATTTAACTAGTCCATTGTAGCTGGGCATGTAAGTGATGTTCAGTGTTTGCATTTTACTAATAAAGAGCTGTCTTAAGGTTCTTTGATGATAAAGGAAGAAAGAGAACACCTTTAAATCAGCTCTGTAGGGCTGATACAGGGTGTGTTGTAAGCTTGCAACACAAGCTATCTCAGGGAAACAGAGCCAGTGGGGCTCGCAGGAGGGGACCTGGGGAGGTAGTCACCTTCCCCCTCCCATTTTCTCATGGAGTTTCATGGTCTTTGTGCTTCTTTCTGCATGTCCCCTCCATTCTGGCTCTCTCTGTTCCAATATCAGCTGGCACAAGGCTGAAAACAGCCTTTGCCATGTGACCATGAGTTGAAACACCCAACCCTGTCTTCGAGTGGCTCTCAGTTCAGAGGCCTGAGTGGCTCTCTGTGCGTCAGTTGTCTGTCCTAGTCCCATTGTCTGAGGCTGGAGGAGGGAGTATGACCTTGGTTCCACCCTCTTGGCAGAGGAAGTGTGTGGTTACAGGAATTGTCTGCGGCAGAGAGACTGGGCTTGGCAGATACCTCCAAATATGTCTGCGGCAGCAGCTGTAAGCATCTGCCTACAGAGATATTTTCTTAGTCAATGTATTGCCTTAGGCTAAGGTCATAAGTGTGTGATTAGGGTCAAGGTATGTGACAATTCATAGCTTAGTTCCAGGTTGTTCAGTACTGACTCTGGCTCGGGACACCCCGTCCAGGGGAGGGCACTGCAGATGCCAAATCAGGGAAACCAGAAGCCAAGAAACAGAATGGAGTCTCTGGGCCTGTTCCCCACTGTTCCCCTCTGGCAGAGACACCAGCAACAGCAGGCAGGGTGGAGGGAAGGCCCCTCTCAGGCCCGTGTGTCTCAGATGAGCTCTAGGGACTGGCACTGTGGTCGCAGGTGTTGGAGCTCACGGCAAGCTCCAGGCAGGGCCGGGCTCCGGGAGAGGGCCCAGGGCAAGTTGCAAAGGAACCTCCCAGGCCTGGGGAGAAAACTCTAGTTTGTACAAGAACACACCAATAAGATAAAAGCTGGGAAAAGACTCCAGGTTGTGCCTGGACGCCTGTTCCTTTAAGCCTTGCTGTATCAGATCTCAAGAACTTCTAAATAAATAAATAAATAACCTTGCTCTCAATGTTGTCATCCTTTGAAACCCACATTGCTTTACTCTTCCTGCACTTGGCAGTCATAACAAAGAGCTCTCCATTGGGCAAAAGGAGTGAGCTAATCCCCCATTTGAAGGATCATGCCTTAGGCAGAGTCCAAGTGCTGCAAGGACAAATGGTAATAAAGAGAGTGTCCCTTTCCGGGGAAGCCTGCCCCTGACTGCAGGGTGGAGGGAGAAGGGGATAAACGGTCCCCATGGGGCAGAGATGCAAACTTAGACCACAGGGCCCCCAGCACCCGTACCCTGCTGGTCATCATTGCTTCTGCCCCATCCCTTGAGACAGACAGAGAGGGAGGGAGAAAGAGAGAGAGGGAAAGACTGGGGTTTGGGGGTGTGGGGGGCTTTTCCTCTCCCTCTGGCTCAGTGCTTGTGTCACCTTCCAGGCTGTCGCGCCTCATCTTCTTGCTGCGCAGGTGGGCTGCCAGGCATGTGCACCACCAGGACCAGGGACCGGACTCTTTTCCTGATCGTTTCCGTGGAGCCGAGCTTAAGGAGGTGTCCAGCCAAGAAAGCAATGCCCAGGCAAATGTGGGCAGCCAGGAGCCAGCAGACAGAGGGAGAAGGTAAGGAACGGAAAAGAAGAAGGGGCCTCTGGTGCCTGCTGGGGCCAGGCAGGAAGCCTGTGCTTTGCTCCATCCTGTTTGGATGCAGCACAGGTGGCCTGGAACGTCATCCCCATGAGCTGTTCCTTGAAGAAAGTGTTTGCCCTTGGGGGAGCACTACATGCTCTAACAGCCTCTGCGGAGTCCAAGAGGCCTTGCAGGAGGGAGAAAACCCTTGAACCAGAGCCCCCAGCCTCATTTGACCACTCACCTTATCCTACACAGGGGTCCTGTTAGGGTCCCCTGGAAATCATGTTCTCAGAAACTCATCGGGGGATGCTGGCCTTACCTATCTCTCTTCACCAAGGACCCCCGTCCTAGACTCCACTATGACCCATCTTGCTCAAAAGCAGGGTCTTTTATAGCAGGAGCCTTGGGGGGGTGTCTAAATGGTATCCACAAGTTTATGTGTAGGCACGCGTGCATTTTTCTGGGAAGAGAGTCTACAGGTTGGTCAGAATTTTCAAGGGGAGCCATCCATGTCCCAGATCAGGTTGAGAAATACCAGGTGGGGAAGGGGACAATGGTGAGAGTAGAGCGAGGTGGGGAGAGTGCTTGCTTTCTGGAGGGAAAATCTGCAGAACTGGGGCCTCTCTGCATCTTGCTTCGCCCCCACCCTAACTGGGAGATAAACCTGCAATCAGACTGGTAGCCCCTTACACACAGACACAGGGCTGCTGCCTCCCCTCCTGACTTGTTCATGAGAAGTCTCCCCAGCAGGTGGTCTGCAGAGAGACCCCTGGGCCAGCACAGGTTGAATCAATTGTCACTGAGCAGTAGAGGGTCTCTTTAGGACACTTAGGTCTGTCTGGAAGGGAGGAGAGGCAAGACGTTGAGGGGAAGCTGACCTCCCCTCGGCCTCCCAAACAGGTGGCTTCTCACCCAGAACCTATTTTCTGGGGGGTGGGAAAAGGGGATCAAATAAGCATGATGGCTGCAGAACAGACAGTCCCTATATAATTTGCTAGAGAAAAAGCTATCTGTATGTCAATGAGGAGAAGATGGGTTCAGGTTTGGAGCTTCTCAAATGGTCATATGAGGGTTTCTGGTGTGTGAAGGTGATGAAGTCTCAGGGGAAACCCAGTGGCTCTTTCGGGAACGTCCATTTTCATTCCATATTTGTATGGGGAGTGGCAGTGGGTATTTGTATGTCATAGATGATGCAGGGGATGGCGAACGGCACGGGCATTTTTAAGATGGAATATGAGAGTTCAAGGCCATGTCTTGCCAGTGACTGCTTTAGGAGACCCGGGGAAAGGTGTGAGAATCCCTGACTGAGATGGGAAGGCCAGAGTTTTCACACGAGCTTGGACTGCAAACGCTTGGGTTTCCTGGGCTGGGGGAAGGAGGCTGGGGAAGGCCTGGGCGCTGGCCCAGACAAGTGCAGGGAGGTCCCAGGTTCCCAGGACTGGGCATCCAGTATCCTCGAGGGACACCATGAGACAGAAAGATAAGGAGGCAGGCAGATAAGAAAGAGGACAAAGTGGGGAAAGAGGAAGAGGGAGGGGGGAAAAAGAAGTTTCTCAGCAAGCCAGCCAGACTGGTCTAATTCCTTTTGGGCAAGCAAAGACTTCCTTATTTAAATTGATCAAATTACCTTCCTACATCCTTAGAGATGAATGTTAGACTCTCTGTCCATTTCCCGATGGGACCAGACAAATGGAGGGTTGAGCTAGGACCATATCCAGGGCAGGCCCCGACCACCTCACAGACATCTGATGGATCACTCGCGGGCAGGGTCAGCATGGGAAGATGGATGCGATGGTGCGGATAGTGTTGGTCAATCAGCAAGTCTTCCTGGGGGTGAGGATTTTGAATTTTTCTGGAGGCAAAGTCTCCACTGCAAAGCCAAGTATATACACAGACAGGTCCTAGTTCTCCTGTGTGGGCTTGGCTTTGTGGGGTTACGGGCACAGAGGCATGGTGAACACAGCCACTGCATCCCCCACGGAGCTGAACCTTCCCTCCTTCACAATCCCACGGCGGTTCCAGTTCCTGGGAGATTTTCAGATGAGCAGAACCAATCTAGAAACAAGCGGTTATGGCCATATCTTAGACGGAGAGAGGGAGATTTGGGCAGGATGAGCTGAAGTCATCATAATGGCATTTATTTGGCTGGACATCAAGCATCGTGGAAGAGGTGCCCCGGGAGTCAGGTGGGGGTGTCGCCTGCCTCAGGCTCCAGTTCCCGTGGTCTCCTATGAGGGGTCTGCAGTGCCCTGCGAGGCCGCATGGCTTTTTTAACCCAGCCATGTTGAAAATGTGTTCTGGCGGTCAGAGATAATACCTTTTCCTATAGAACATCATGAAGTACTGCAAAATTCAACTTTAAATAAATATCCAGTTTGTGCAAAACCAGCCCCTACCTTCAACCAGATTCTCACATAGATCAGGGGTGTCAGGCCCTGGAGTCGTAAAATTTGGGGAGATAGGAGAGGACAAGAGGAGGAGAAACTGAAAACAGCAACAATCCCACCTATGCTCAATTACTTGCCCTGCTAATTGGAAGAGGCCTTCGCAGCTGAGGGAGCAAGTCGCTGTTGCTGCTGCAGGCTGCGTCCATCCTGGGGCAGAAGGTGCAAGACCTCCTCCACCACAGAGGCATGGAAGCACTGAGGGCAGAGGCCACGCAGGGTCCATTTCTGTGCCCCTCTTAGTGCCTGGCACGTGGCCCCATCCAGGGTGGAATGGAAGGAAATTGAGTGGAATTTGAGGCAGGGAAGCTGGAAGGAGTCAAACGGCTGAATCTTTTCTTCAGAAGCCTCAGTTTAGCCATGTTCACTCTCTCTTCCCCCAAGGCTTTTACCCGAGGTAACTAATCACAAAGCATTTTGGCCTTGACAATACCACCCCGTATTCTTCAAGCTGTGAGTGCAAAGGCTGGAAGCAGTGGGATAGGGATTGGGGGGTGGGGCATGGTAATCCCCTGGTGAAATGGCCCCAAGGAATGGAAACAGAGTTCAGACCCTTGATGTTCTCTCTACCTTCCCGCAGCGCCTGGCCCCTGGCCAAATGCAACACTAACACCAGCAACAACACGGAGGAGGAGTAAGTACCCACACACCCAGCAGAGCCCTCCCCAAGCCCGGTGCCCTCCACCCCATAGAAGCCCCAGCTTGGCCTCTCTCCTTAGTGCTCCTGCTCCCCACTCCCAGAGCACCAGTAGAATATTTTAGAATCCTGTTCCCTTCGTTGGAATTCCATCCCTGTGGACAGAAGTCGGGGAGGGATGAGATCTGTGTGACTTCTTGGGGAAGTCGTCTGATCTCTTCGCCTCTCATTTTTCTCATCCATAAAGCAAAGGAATTGGATCAGATAAATGCTTTAAGCTTTAGCACTCTATACCACGATATATCTGAGGGTGCAGAACCGGAGTTCCTTGACAGAGCACTGGAGATTCTCCTTAATGATGAAAAGGCATTTTCTTATTCTACAACCTCAGGCTCTTGAGTGCCAGTGAAATGCCCTTGTTTTTGCTGCTGTTGTTATTGTTGTTTGTTTGTTTGTTTTTGAGATGGAGTCTTGCTCTGTCACCCAGGCTGGAGTGCAGTGGCGCCATCTTGACTCGTTGCAAGCTCCGCCTCCCGGGTTCACGCCATTCTCCTGCTTCAGCTTCCCGAGTAGCTGGGACTACAGGCGCCCGCCACCACACCCGGCTAGTTTTTTTGTATTTTTAGTAGAGAGGGGGGGTTTCACCGTGTTAGCCAGGATGGTCTCGACCTCCTGACCTCGTGATCCACCCGCCTCGGCCTCCAAAGTGCTAGGATTACAGGCATGAGCCACTGCGCCTCGCCTGAAGTTCCCGTGTTTTAAGGCCAATTTGGGCCAATTTTGGGGGCGTAATCAGAGCAGTGGAAAAAGGCAATTTAAATATGTCCAGAGAATAGCCTCTTCAAAGGGTGACCTGCTATAATTCCTTTTTCCATCACCAGATACTAAGGTGGCAGATTAGGGACAGCGTGGCACTATTCAGGAGGGGAAGTCTTAGTTGGAGATTAGGGAAAAAATACCTATATCAGTGAGAAATGCCGATTTCTTGACTTCCAACAGACAGAGAAATGTGCCAAGGGTTTTTCTTGTTATTTCTCTCTTTGTTCCTCAGCTAGAACTTTTTTCTATTTTCTCCATGAAGGAAGCATGTCTTTTGTTTGCATAAATTTGGACATCAAATCCAGAGACCCAAATGCCAGCCATAACGAAAAATGAGATGATTTTATCTACAAAGCAATAGCTATAGTGATATGTGTTTGACTTAAAGCCAAACCTGACACTAAACACCCTTGCAGCTGCAGTATCAAGTCTTTCAGGCAGGGAACGGCTCCAGATACTGAAACCATGGACAGAGGTCCTGGGGGTTTCTAGGCATCTTTGTCCTGGGGCTGGGGTGTGGGCAAGGATGTGGGTGGATAGCGTGGGCTGCACCCGGCTCTTCAATCTTTCAATAAATGGGCTCACTTCACTGGTCCACTTTGAAGCCAAGGACCAAGGGACAAAACTGGGAACTATCCCAAAATGAGGACACACACAAAATAATTATTTATGAACACCTTCCCCGACTCTTCACTCCATTTCTGTCATTTTCATATGGTCTCATTTGTCCTGAATAATTTTTCCCTCCCCCATCAAACTGTTCCCAGCCAAAACCAGCAGCATTTTGCAGTTCTGTGTAGGGTTCTTTTGGGGCAGTGCTGGGTGGATTTGGGGATGCAGCCGATGGTGCTGGGTCTTTCCTAGGCTCTCAGCAGTTTGGTACCCAGACAGGCCAAGGCCCGTAATCCAGGGCCACAAATCTTGCACAAGGCAAGCTGAGTCCGGCGTAAACTGCAGGGCAAAGCTCACCCAAAAAGCTTGAGGGCAGCGCCGTCTGCTGGTGACTTGACGTTAAGACTCCAGTGCCTGAAAAGAGACCAGGGTTCACATCACCCTGGAGGACAGAGGAGGGGTAACTTTCCTTGCTCTTTTCATTTAATGATTTTAATAACCTTTTATTCTAATTCACTTTATTGAAATACTCTTGCTGAAAACTTGGAAAACAAGAAAAGCACACAGGGGCATACACACACAAAAACTGCACTTCATGCTAACCATGGAATTCCACTATCAGAGATAGCCCCACTTAACATGTTGACAAATATACTTCCAACTTCTTCCTAGGCATATATATTGAATACTTAGATTGATACAATATATTTTATATATACATATACTTGTTAAGAGCATCTGTTTCCCAACTCAGTTGCCTCAGAGCTTTGTGACCTTGGACAAGTGTATTAGTCCATTCTCACATTGCTAGAAAGAAATGCCTGAGACTCGGTAATTTATCAGAAAAGTGGTTTAATTGGCTTGAGGTACTGCAAGCTATACAGGAAGCATAGCAGCTTCTGCTTCTGGGGAGGCCTCAGGAAGCTTTCAATCATGGTGGAAGGCAAAGGGGGAGCAAGGAGTCTCAAACGGCAGGAGCAGGAGGAAGGTGGGGTAGGTGCCGTAAACAACCAGATCTCAAGAAAACTCACTCACTGTCTCAAGCAAAGCACCAAGGAATTGGTGCCAAACCATGAGAAATCCACCACCATGACAGGGACACAGATTCAAACCACATAAGCTGGTTACCTAACTTCTCTGTGTATCTGTTTCCTGGCTTATAAAATAAGGATTGTAATAGGGTCTTATTACATGGTGGGAGTGAAGACTGAATGTGTTACTCTGTGAAAAGTGCTCAGAACAGTGCCTGGTACATAGTAAGTGCTCAATAAATATTGACTTGTGTGGTAGGCAGAACAATCTCCCCCAAAAGATGTCTACCATCCTAATCCTTAGAACCTGTAAACAGGTTACCTCATATGGCAAAGGGAACTTCGTAAATGTGATTACATTCAAGGTCCTTGAGATAGGTAATGATTTGACTTGGCTGTGTCCCCACCCAAATCTCATCTTGAATTGTAGCTCCTCTAATTCCCATGTGTCGGGACAGATCTGGTGGGAGGTAATTGAATCATGGGGGTGGGTCTTTCCCATGCTGTGAATAAGTCTCACGAGATCTGATGGTTTTGTAAAGGGGAGTTCCCCTGCACAGACTCTTTGCGTGCCGCCACGTAAGATGTGACTTTGCTCCTCATCTGCCTTCCACCATGATTGCGAGGCCTCCCAAGCCATGTGGAACTGAGTCCATTAAACCTCTTTCCTTTATAAATTACCCACCCTCGGGTATGCCTTTATTAGCAGCATGAGAACAGACTAATACAGGTAGGTTATCCTGGATTATCAGGGTGGGCCCACTGTAATCACATGAGTCCTTAAAAGCAGAAGAGTGGGTCAGAGAAAGTAAATGGAAGAAGAAGAGAGTCACAGTGTGAGGGGGACTCGACCCATCACTGCTGGCTTTGAAGATGTAGGAAGGGGACCTGAGCTAAGGAAGCCACAGCCTCGAAAGGTGCAGCCAGCAGGGAAACAGGGATCTCAGCCCCACAATCGCAAGAAGCTGGATTCTGCGTAAGATCCAAACGAGCAGGAATCAGAGCCCCGCCTAGAGACTCTGGGGGATGGCAGCCCTGTCAACACCTTGATTTTAGTCTGGTGAGATCCACAGTAGACTTCTGACCTACAGATCTGCAAGATAATACATTTATGTTGTATAAGTTTGCAGTAATTTGTTCCGGCAGAAATAGAAAACTGATCCAGCTATTACGGTAAACTCTTTTGTAGTCTGCTTCTTAACTTAGCAAAATATTAGGAACCGTTTTCCCACGTCACTAGCTCTTCTGAAACAGCGTTTTAAGTGGCCATGTAGAATTCACCGTTGAGGATGAGCCTGCATGGTCGTGTGATTCGGTGGCTCTCCCTTTTTGATTGTCATGAATAATGGCAGTGATTATTTTTCCACACGTATCGCACACAGCCTTGATTATTTCCATAGGAAGTGTTAGGTAATTGTGAATGGATCTTTTTCAATGAGTGTTTAATTAGCAGAATTTATCTCTCAACCATGCCTTCCTTCAGCGTGTGGAAGAGAGAAATCAGAGGGGCCTGAAGGGGACTCGAGGGGTTGTCCCTTCCGCAACCTTTGTTTCTTCAACTATTCAATGGGGCATTACTGCCTGCCTTGAAGAAATTTACATGTATTCATTAGATAACTTTATAAGAGTTCCTAGCTCTTAAAAGACACCCAATAAAGAAGAGGCAGCAGTGTGAAGTCTTATGTTGAAGAAAAACCTGCAGTCACAGGACCATCCTGCGGACGCTGCCTGAACCGTCTCGCAGCCCAGCAAAGTCCGAAGGCGTGTCTGAACTCGGCCACATTTGCGAACCTGCGACCACACGTATTTGCCACTACATGCGTCACAGACCCGCCTCTTCGAATGTTGCTTCCCTTCTGCTCACTGGCTTTCTCATTAAGGCCCAGGTTTTCACTTGATCCAGAGAGAGGTTTCAAGAACAGCGGACAGGCCACACCCTTCCATTCAGAACGGAGAGCCTGGCGTGGGATTTCCAAAACTCCGAGTAACTTTCCCAACTTCAATGTGTGGATTTGGGTCTATGTCGTACTACCTCAAAACGTCTCCAGTCTCTGGCTGTTTGTGACTTCCCAGGAGCTCATGAAAATAGATCAGAAATTGTAGAACATTAGACTGAGCCACTAATTTCTCAATGTATACTCAATGGGGTGGTTTACCTCACGCTTCAGGAATAATAATAACAAATCAATAACCCCATTTCATCCCAATGCGCTGGAAGCACCCCTTGCCACGCCCTCTCTTCAGGACGTCTCCACGACGCCACACGCCACGCCCTCTCTCCGGGACGCAGCAGCCTGCCCCTTCCATTTGGTAATGTCCTTGATATATGAAGTCTGCTAAATGTGCCCCGGCATCATCCAGCAGCAAGGCAGAAAAGAACGAAGAGAAAAAAGAAGAGAGAAAAGCTACCTAAAACACGAGGAGGAAGTACTGAAGGAAGCTGCCTCTAAAGACGGGGTGCCATGGTCCCAGCAGGCCTGACCCCTCCCTGCAGGGCTCCAGGGCTGGGTATCTTGGAGCAACGCTATCAGGGGGCCTTAGCTTCGGCCCTGGAGGGGAGAGGGTGCTTGGAGCTGAGGAAAAGTCGGTCCCAGCAGGCTGCAGACCATGCCTCCTGAGACCATGTGAAGCCCCCATCTTGCAGAAAGAATCCTCTCCAAGCTCCGGGAACTCAAGGGGGGCTTATAAGTAAAGAGAGTTGCTTGTCTGCAGCCTCCGGTGGGCAGCCGGGGGCTGCCCCTGTGAGCCTGCTCATGTGCCCCCCACCCGAAGCATTTCGTTTGCCCTCACAAGTGGGCCGGCCACACGTAGGCTGAGGGCTTCTCTGGGGCACTGGAAGATACAATGTTCACAAACTTTCACCCAAATTCAGTGGTGATGAGAGCTGTAGGGAACGTCCCAAAGCCCGGTCAGTGAGTGACCTTGCACTTGCAGCATCCAGGTGAAGGCAGGAAGTCACTGGGGTCTCCGATGGAGCACAGGAGCACTCTGCAGGCCTGGGCCAGCGTGGGTCGCATGGGATGGCAGAGGGGACACATGGACCCAACAAAAAGGCAGTCTCCAGTACAGCCTGTAAACTTGAATCTGCGGGAAATTCTAAGAATAAAAGTTAAGCACTCTAAGCTATGTATTTCATTCCGTGCGGGCCCACGTGACAGGTTATTCCCAGGCTTTTGATGGAGAGGTGTGATGCAAGCCCTTGGAAATGAGCCTTTACATCGTCCGCACAAACACAGTGAGGGAGGTGGAGAGGGTTCTGGAGGGAATACTGTGGGGCTCCCCAACTCTGTCCAGAGAGGGGCTGCCTCAGAACTATCCAGGCAATGCTTAAATGCATATTTCCAGGCCCAGCCCTGGAAGAGGTGAGTGGGCCCTGGGAATCAGAATTTTCTGGAAGTTCCCCAGACTTTAGCAGACCTCTGTGACATTGCCATGCTGCGTTTTCATTCTCAGCATCCTGAAGGGTGTGGATGTTGTCGTGGGCACATGGGAATGTCATCACCATTACCTTATAGTCGACCGTGACCTCCTGGGACTGAGCTGGGAGAGAAGGACCTCTGGAGTCTACCCTACCTCCTGGCCTGCCTTCCCCTACAGGGACTCCCCATGTGACTCCCTTGAGACTAAGAGGACCCTGTTGTGGACAGCCACATCTTGGGCTTCAGCCTGAAATTGCCCTAGGCTCTCTAAAACCCTCCAAAGCTACAGTCTTGGAGCACAGTGCGCTGTTTGTGTATGTGTGGGTTTCCAGGAAGAAGACGAAAAAGAAGGATGCGATCGTGGTGGACCCGTCCAGCAACCTGTACTACCGCTGGCTGACCGCCATCGCCCTGCCTGTCTTCTATAACTGGTATCTGCTTATTTGCAGGTAAGCGACAGGGGTGGAAGGTGCAGCGGAAAGGGGGAAACCAGGGCACCAGGCCCAGGAGCCAGAGCTCCACCTCTCCCTCGGGAGGCCTGAGGCCTGGACCCCTCACGGCCACCACTTAGTTATTGTGCCTCGGTTTCTCCTTTTAAAAATAGAAGGTTCCCCAAGAGGACCATCAGAGTGCTCTGAAGCATGGGTGGGGAATTGAGCTTCAGGTGGACAGCCAGGGTTTCGGCACTGTGGGGCCCCCTCAAGTGAGTTGTACGAGGAGGATGCAGGGGCGGTTGCTTCTCTTTGGAGGGATAAGTGGGTGGTTCTGAACATGCAGCAGGGTAGGGAGGCAGGGGCAAGCTGCTACTATTTTTTTCTTTTTTTTTTTGAGACAGAGTCTCACTCTGTCACCCAGGCTGGAGTTCAGTGGCGCGATCTCAGCTAACTGCAACCTCCACCTCCCGGGTTAAAGCGATTCTCCTGCCTCAGCCACCCGAGTAGCTGTGACTACATATATGAGCCACCACGCCTGGCTTTTATATATATATATGTATTTTTTTTTTAGTAGAGACAGTGTTTCACCATATTGGCTAGGCTGGTCTTGAACTCCTCACCTCAAATGATCTGCCCACCTTGGCCTCCCAAAGTGCTGGGATTCCAGGTGTGAGCCACTGCTCCCGGCCTCTACTACTCTTCTAATAAGCAGAAGAGGGATTGAGGGCCTCTCCTAGGAAACCTGTTTGTGAATGCAGGGACGAGATACTGCTCCTCTTAGGGGAAGCCAGGGGCCTGGGCTTTTCTGAGCAGGCCTCCAGGGTGGGGCCACCAGAGGGAACGTTCCTGAGCACGCTGTCCACCAAGGATGCAGGACAAGCTGCTGCTTGTGGGGGCTGGCGGGGACTTTGGGGCATTTCTGAGGAAGCCTGCAGGCTGCAAGCTGCAGGACAAGGAGGAGGGATGACCTGCTGCTCTCTCTAGGTAAGCATGGGGTTTGGGGGCCCTTCCCAGCAGGCCTGCTCCAGGACACCAATGCAGGGTACACTGTTGGTCTTCTGAGGGTACACGGGAGGGCTTAGGGGACTTCCCAAGCAAGTGTGCAGGACAGGTGTGCAAAGGCAGGTCTCTTCTGAGATGTGTGGGACTGGGATGCATGCGAGAGGAGACGATGCCTCTGGGGCTCTCCGGAGCCAGTATGCAAAATGAGGATGCAGAGGCAAGTCCTGCCTGTCCTTCTGAGAGTAGGCAGTAGGCTTTGGGGCACTCCTGAGCAAGCCTGCAAGACAGAGAGCCACTGCTCTGAGAGGCTAGTTGATGAGTTTTGGGGCATTCCAGATTATGCCGCACGTCAGGGATGCCATCCACATGGAAGCAGAGGCTTTCGATTATTCGAGCATAGGCTGATCTCCTGCTCTTCGGAGGGATTGCGGGGCAGGTGAAAACTGGAAGAACTTGGAGCCTGTCCCAGCGAGCAGACAGGATGGGGTGCTTGGGCAAGCTGCTGCTCTCTGGTGCACGCGGGCTCTGGGGAGGCAGGGCTGGGCACTGTTCTCCTTCAGGTGGGCAGGAGGCTTTGGGGCGCTGAGCAAGCAGCAGGTGGGCGGCAGGGGCAGGCTGCTGTGCCCGTGAGGATAGGAGGAGAGCTGGGGGTGCTGCCTGTGTGGGAAACAGCAGAAAGATGGAGAAGGTAGAAAATATTTACTGTCTGTTCCATTGTTAATCTCTCGGAAATTCTCCTATTTTTGTTGAACTTTGACCCCAGAAAGGGCAGGTCTTTAGCCCCTTTACCTGACTCTGCCAGTGTGGCCTGGAAAACGGTACCTCCTGGGATCTTGTAGCTCTCTGCTGAGAGGCAATGGGGCCGCTCTTTGGGGTCAATCCCAGCTCTTCTCAGGAGTTCTGTGACTGTGGGACAGAAAAGCTTCTCAGAGACATCTCATCAGAAGCGGGGGTGATTACACTGAGGTAGTGACACCGCAGGCAGGGCCATTCCCATATTACATGATCCAGCGTCTTCCACACAGAGCCCGTGCCCACAGGTGGGTGGTCCACGCTCCAGAAACACACGCACAGCCATCCATCTCCCACATGGCTTCTTTAGGGCCTGTTTCGATGAGCTGCAGTCCGAGTACCTGATGCTGTGGCTGGTCCTGGACTACTCGGCAGATGTCCTGTATGTCTTGGATGTGCTTGTACGAGCTCGGACAGGTGAGTGTGCCCCAGGCCTGGGGAGGGGACCATGGCCCCCACGGGAGTGTTCCGGGAGACCCAGCATGGTGGATGGGACATTACCTACCCTTGACCATGAGAGGCCAGGCAGGTCTGGGGACCTCCGACAGTGAGGGTAGGTGGTGCGGCCTCAAGCCCTTCTACACGGAACCCTTGGACAGGACGCTGAGCAGGGGCCAGGACACCTAAGCTCTGGGCTCTGCTCTTCCAACAAGCTGTATGACCTTGAGCAAGTCAGGCTGTCTCTCTGGGCCTTGTTCTTGTCACCTCTGAGATAAGCAGGCCAGGCCAGGTGCAGTGGCTCACATCTGTAATCCTAGGACTTTGGGAGGCCAAGGTGGACAGATTACTGGAGGTCAGGAGTTCGAGACCAGCCTGGCCAACATGGTGAAACCCCATCTCTACTAAAAATACAAAAATTAGCTGGGCCCACTGGCATGTGCCTGTAATCCCAGCTACTTGAGAGGCTGAGGCAGGAGAATCGCTTGAACCCCGGGAGGTGGAGGTTGCAGTGAGTGGAGATCATGCCACTTCACTCCAACCTGGGTGACATAGCAACATTCTGTCTCAAAAAAAGAAAAAAAAAAGAAAAGAAAAGAAAAGAAAAAAAAAGAAAAGAAGTAAGCAGGCCGGACTGCAATCTCGAAGGACCCCTCCAGCTCTCACTACTCGACACTGGGGTAAGCAGGAAGGAGAGCTCAGTCAATCTTGGAGTTTCTCTTCTTGGACAGTCAGCAGATACAGGACATGTTACTCCGTGGCTTTCAGAGGACTTTTAACATGTGGAGAATGAAAATCTGAAATAGGGCCCAGGTGAATGAGGACTTCCTTCGAATCATCTGTGGTTGGGGATGGGAAAGGATACTCACCCCTTCACATTTCTTAGGTGCTGAACTGTGTGCCCTTGGGACATCTTTTTCTAATCTGCACAAAGACATTGCCTAAGCTGGTAGAGGCCCTGTTTCCAAGATTTTTGAACTGAAAACTGTGCCAGGCCAGGCATGGGTGCAGGCACCTGTAATCCCAGCACTTTGGGAGGCCAAGACAGAAGGGTCATTTGAGGCAGGAGTTCCAGACTAGCCAGGGCAACATAGCAAGACCTTGTCTCTACAAAAAGAAAAAATTAGCTGGACGTGTTGGTGTGTGCCTCAGGAGGCTGAGGTGAGAGGATTGCTTGAGCCCAGGAGGTCAAGACTGTAGGGAGTCATGGCCTCGGTTTACAGAGCAAGACCTTGTCTCAAAAAAAAAAAATGATAAAATAATGCTATGCCATAGCTGTTGATGTAAACACCAGCAGATCACAGTAGCCGACCTCCGTGTGGCTCCACGTACAATACATTTCAAGTGCGTCTTGCTTCTTCATTAGAACCACTGCATGAGACAAGAAGCTCAGGTGTGATTACCTCCATCTTGCTGATTTAGAAACCAACATCAGAGACACCAAGTGACTTGTCCAAAGTCCACAGTCACTGCCCAGCCACACCAGACTGGTCCTCTGTTTGCTTCCACACTGGTGCCTAGCGTCATAACTTAGAAGACCTCAGATACACAGGCTGAGGCTTGCGTGGGTGGCCTAGCCAGCCCTGGTCACCTGCCCCGCTGCTGCAGTCATGTTAAACTCCACAGACACACGAGCTCTGTAAGTGGCCCATTGGGCTGATGGTCCCTGGTCTCAGCCCAGCTTCAGTGGGATGAGACACCCCGACTCAGTCATTAACCCTGCACCTTCTTGTGCTTGGGTAGTACCCTAAGCAACCAAGATTCAGCAGGAAGCTGGGAGAGAGGGAGGCACAGGAATCACACTCCAAGGAAAACATCATTAGAATTGAGAGAAGACATCTTAAAGAAGTGGGGAGGAGGCTGGAGGCACAGGAGGCTACATAATGATCAAGGCCCTCAGTAACGCATGTATAACAAATAATGCTAAGAAGAACTGGGGGCTGTGAAGTGGGGTGTTCTTTGTTGTGACAGCACACTAGATTTTCAGTTTGAGCAGAGTGAGACGTCCTACCCCAGTCTAGCCTCGGTGGCCTGGACCCGCAGCCCTAGCATCACCTGGAACTTGCTAGACTTGCCCCCAACTTCCGGGAGCCAACTCTGGGTTGCAGGCTGGCACTCTGTGTTTCGCACAGCCCTCAGGGAAATTCTGATGCTCACCGCAATTTTAAAAGGACTAATTATATTATTCTCTCTACTTTCGTGCATGTTTGAAAATGTAAAAAACAAAAAAGAATGCAGGTCATGGCCTCCTTAATTGATTTCACCCATCATAATGCCCCTGGCTCTAGGTGTCCAGCCCATCTCCAGACCAGTCAGATTCTTTGGGGGTGGGTCCCGAACTTCATATATTTTAAAAGCCCTTTGGGTAACAGTCACGTGCAACCAAGGAAAGCTGTGTTCCTGGAAGGTGTTTTCAAAAGGCAGGTTGTGCCCCATTGCTGACTGGTGAAATCAATTTGGGAGGCCATGGCCTGTGTTTTTTACATTTTTATTATTAATATTTTCAAATGTATGCAAAAGCAGAGAGAATAGTGTTATGAATCCCCATGTACCCTCACCCAGCTCCAGCTGTTATCAGCATTCTGCCCATCTTGTTTCATCTGTTCCTTTTCTTGTTTCATCCGCCCTTTTCTTGTTTGATTTTCCTGTTTTTGTTTTTGCTCTTTTGTTTCATCCACCCTTTTCTTGGCTGGCATAAGCAAACCCCAGGCAGTAAGCACTTTAGCATTTTGAATAGAAAATAGAATGTCTCAGGAAGTCAAACTCACTCTGCCAAAGGGAAGAGTTAGGCTTGGGAACTGAGTCATGCAAAAGCTGCCTTCCTTTTCTGCCCAGATAGCTGTAATTTCACATGCTTACTTTATCTTACGTAAAATGTAGTTTGCATAATTTACTTTTCCTCCACTCCCTTCTTTTCACATGTAGATTCACTGAGCGCTAATCAAAGCCTAGCAAGAATATAACCACTGGCCTCATTGCCTACCCACCCTTTCTTTTCTTTCTTCTCTCCTCTCCTGCCTGCTGCCTGCTCTGTCCCCTTTAAGTATTGACATCCTCAAAACCCTCTTTGGAAAAAGCACAGGCCACAGATCTTACTGTGACTTGTGTTTCTTTCTCCTAGGTGTACCTTCAACCTTGATAAAAATAAACCTCTAAATCAATTGAGATCTGCCTCCGTCACTTTTTTTTTTTCAAAGACTCAGAGTCTCACTCTGTTGCCCAGGCTGGAGTGTAGTGGTGCGATCTTGGCTCATTGCACCCTCCACCTCCTGGGTTCAAGTGGTTCTCGTGCCTCAGCTTCCTGAGTAGCTGGGATTACAGGGGTGCACCACCACATCTGGCTAATTTTTGTATTTTTAGTAGAGACAGGGTTTCACCATGTTGCCCAGGCTGGTCTCAAACCCTTGACCTCAGGTGATCCACCCGCCTCGGCCTCTCAAAGTACTGGGATTATAGGCATGAGCCACGGCACCCGGCCCTCTGTCACTTTTTGATTTACAACATGTATCTCTAATTTTAAAGGATCCTTTTTTAAAATATGTATATAATTTCCATTTATCTTTTAAAATTTAATAATCATTCTTTGTTATCATGTAATACCCAATTTATATTTAAATTTACTCAATCAACCTATGTTTTAAAAAAATTCAATAGAATAGATTAGAACCTCATAGAATAGAAAATATCAGAGTGCATTTCCTGTAGTAATGGTAAGTGTTGTTTTTGAAATCATTTCTATTATATATGTATCACTGCATACTGTGTAGCCGTGAGGTAAAATATGTTTCTTTGTACTATGGTCAAAAAAAGTCAGCCTCTGTGATGCCCAATGACCTCCATCTTCTTCTTTAGGTTTTCTCGAGCAAGGCTTAATGGTCAGTGATACCAACAGGCTGTGGCAGCATTACAAGACGACCACGCAGTTCAAGCTGGATGTGTTGTCCCTGGTCCCCACCGACCTGGCTTACTTAAAGGTGGGCACAAACTACCCAGAAGTGAGGTTCAACCGCCTACTGAAGTTTTCCCGGCTCTTTGAATTCTTTGACCGCACAGAGACAAGGACCAACTACCCCAATATGTTCAGGATTGGGAACTTGGTCTTGTACATTCTCATCATCATCCACTGGAATGCCTGCATCTACTTTGCCATTTCCAAGTTCATTGGTTTTGGGACAGACTCCTGGGTCTACCCAAACATCTCAATCCCAGAGCATGGGCGCCTCTCCAGGAAGTACATTTACAGTCTCTACTGGTCCACCTTGACCCTTACCACCATTGGTGAGACCCCACCCCCCGTGAAAGATGAGGAGTATCTCTTTGTGGTCGTAGACTTCTTGGTGGGTGTTCTGATTTTTGCCACCATTGTGGGCAATGTGGGCTCCATGATCTCGAATATGAATGCCTCACGGGCAGAGTTCCAGGCCAAGATTGATTCCATCAAGCAGTACATGCAGTTCCGCAAGGTCACCAAGGACTTGGAGACGCGGGTTATCCGGTGGTTTGACTACCTGTGGGCCAACAAGAAGACGGTGGATGAGAAGGAGGTGCTCAAGAGCCTCCCAGACAAGCTGAAGGCTGAGATCGCCATCAACGTGCACCTGGACACGCTGAAGAAGGTTCGCATCTTCCAGGACTGTGAGGCAGGGCTGCTGGTGGAGCTGGTGCTGAAGCTGCGACCCACTGTGTTCAGCCCTGGGGATTATATCTGCAAGAAGGGAGATATTGGGAAGGAGATGTACATCATCAACGAGGGCAAGCTGGCCGTGGTGGCTGATGATGGGGTCACCCAGTTCGTGGTCCTCAGCGATGGCAGCTACTTCGGGGAGATCAGCATTCTGAACATCAAGGGGAGCAAGTCGGGGAACCGCAGGACGGCCAACATCCGCAGCATTGGCTACTCAGACCTGTTCTGCCTCTCAAAGGACGATCTCATGGAGGCCCTCACCGAGTACCCCGAAGCCAAGAAGGCCCTGGAGGAGAAAGGACGGCAGATCCTGATGAAAGACAACCTGATCGATGAGGAGCTGGCCAGGGCGGGCGCGGACCCCAAGGACCTTGAGGAGAAAGTGGAGCAGCTGGGGTCCTCCCTGGACACCCTGCAGACCAGGTTTGCACGCCTCCTGGCTGAGTACAACGCCACCCAGATGAAGATGAAGCAGCGTCTCAGCCAACTGGAAAGCCAGGTGAAGGGTGGTGGGGACAAGCCCCTGGCTGATGGGGAAGTTCCCGGGGATGCTACAAAAACAGAGGACAAACAACAGTGAAAATGCAGCATCTGTCTCCTGCTTCACAGGGTCGACTGTCAGGGTGACCGTATGTGGCCGCAGCTGTGTGGCATGGAACTTGGTCAGGGTTGAATTCCAGCTCTACTCACCCTTTGAAAGCTGTGTGACTGCCTGAGAGAACCTGTTTCTTCACCTAAAAAATGGGACTTTTTGTCTCAGTCCCAGTGAAGTGCCAGGTTTGATTGTGAAGTCCGCATGAAACACTGCACCAGGCAGGGCTTTGCAAAGTGCAAGGTATCCCCAGTCCAAGTATATGAAAACGTGCACACAGGACTCTCATTACTTTTTTATGGAATCTGCAAGGTGTTTTTAGGCTTTTTAATCTGATTTTCTTATAAATGAAAGATTATTTAGTCACCTTTCTCCTGTCCAACTTCACCACCACCTGATAATGGGTATATAACAGGAAGCTGAAGGTACAACATAGTGACTAAAATTCAGACTTACACAAGACAGTTTGAGGCATATTTCTTAATCTGGTATCACCTCGTGTGTTCTTTGGGGCCCTAGAAACCCTGGCTTTTGGGAGTGCTATGGCAAGTAGAAGTTCTGCCGGATGGAAAGAGGCTGCCCCATTTGAGGTCATTTAAAATCTGTGAAGCAAATCCAGACTCCTTGCCGTTCAGCCACTGTGAAACCAGAATCTGCTTCACAGAAAAAAGCATCTCAGTTAGGAGAAGAGACATCCCCTCCTTCTCACTTGCCAAAGAGATTCAAAGACAGCCCCTATCCTCCATTCTTGAGTCAGGGCCCTAGGTGACCTATTCTAACTCAAGGAGGAGAGCTATGTACAGGGAGAGCATTTTAGATTGAAGGTTGGAATGGTGTACTAAACCAAAAAAGCTGACAACTGAGAGTTTTAGAAGATTAGACCATTAGGAACGTATCTTTGCAAACTGCCCATTCACCCATGAAGAGGAAGCCTCAAGATCCCTTGGAATTGCATCCCAAGGCAAAGCTTTTGGCTCACCGAAAGCTCACAGATTGCAGAAATTAGCTTTTTTAAAAAACAAACCCCAGTAAATATAATTTCATTAACATTTTATAACAGATTTATATTTTTGAGTTCCGTGATTGCAAATTATGACCTCAAATTCCATCCTTCACTTATGTAACATGTTGCAAATTACCCAAAGATGAGTCTTTCTTCTTTCTTTCCTTTTTCCTTTCTTCTTCCTTTCCTTTTTTCTTTCTTCTTCCTTCTTTCTTCCTTTTTCTCTCTCCTCTTTTCCTCCTCAAAATGTATATATTTTAAAAGCCTTAACTGTTAGTTATGCCTGCATTCATATTTGCACAGGAAAAATAAAGACCTGGATTTAAAAATAGGAATGACTCTTGCTTCAGCTCTTGCCATAAAGGAAGTTTCAGTCCCAGAGTATGTTTCTAGGGCAATGGCTTCCCTAGAAAGGATAGGTGCTGATGTGGGGGACGG